>NC_000002.12:102035072-102338102 GCF_000001405.40 Homo sapiens
ACAAGGTCCCACGTACCAAAGCATCAGAAACACATGGTTAATACAACTGGGACAGCCAAGTGCAAAGGGGTTGCCGGAAAAACTCCAATAGGCCTGCGCACTGGGGTGGAGACTTGGGAAGTTCAAGCCTTTTGCGGCGGGGAGGAGCCTGGCTCGTCCTCTTCCTGGGTGGAACCAGGGATTCAATCTGCGAGGCGGGAAGCACACTAGCAGTGCTCTGCCTTTGCGGAGGGTCCCTGTTTCTCTTTTTTCCCCCCTTTTTGCCCAATAAATTCCACTTGTCTCACCCTTCAAAGTATCTGCAAGCCTAATTTCTCATGGCCATGTGACAAGAACCTGGCTGTTAGCTGAACTAAGGACAAAGGTCCTACAACACAATTACATCCTGCCTTGTCTGCTACAGCTCATCAGAAGCTCTGCACAGAAATTAAGTGGCCAAAAGTAAACAGCCAACAAAATAAATATGCTCCCAATTTTATTTTATTTTATTCTCTCAAGAATACCAAATATCCTTTATGAAGCATGGTAAAACAACTGCCATAAAACCTTAGAAGCGTTAGCAGCAAAAGCTTAGTGCCGCATAGAAATGTAGTCTTACATTTGTAGCCTGGGCAATATCTAAAAAGGATGTACACTAAGCCTCAAAAATTTTAAAATTAAAGCCTGAGTTTCTCCACAGCTCCTTCTTGCTCCATCCCAGCAAAGAGGCTGCTCCATCCAGGAGAGGGGACTGCAGTCAAGGCTGTCTTCCGTCTTCTGCAAGGAAGGGTGTGGCTCCTTAGGGCATTGCATTGGCCTCGCATGTCCCCTTTTAATGTGTCCCAGGCATTTATACAAGATCAGCACAGCCCTGACCCCACCTGCAATGAATTTTAAGACAAGCCATTCTCTGGTCCCTGGAGCAGTTTTTCTGGACAAATGTTGCTCCCAGGAATCCATACCCAGCAGTAACAGTGACCACAGCAGCAGTTCGGAGATATCAGGGGAAAGAATGGGGGATGCAGGTGGACCTCAGTCCAGTATCATCAGCATCCCTCTGCTGATTAGAGCCACAGGGTGGCCCAGTATCCTCGTTCCGCAAGCCCTCCAGGACATTCTTACTCCTGCTGTCAGTGGGAGCACCTCGATTTCTATGGTTAGGTCTAGAACCCATGACTTGGGAATGTTAGCTCTCTTTGGCCAATTATTCCAGCAGGAATTAGTGACAGTACCACCTTTGTCACATCTAGGGGAAATTTCACCGTGCATCTTATCTCAGCATTTGGGACCCTGGGCTTTCTTGAATAATCTTCAGGGGTAGCTCCCCAGTCTCCCAGGCTCCAGTCCTTTTTTGGAGACTTTCTTCCCCATCTAGCATATTCGGAGCTTCTCACTGTGTTTTTCCCGTAAGCCCATGATGATTTGGCTTCTGTCTTAGTGACAGAGCTTCCCCACTCTGTTGTCCTCAAGGCGACAGGGACCATGACCTCCTGGTATGGAACTTTCTAGGCCTCTGCACCTTTTCTGAGAAGAGGGCTCTTCCCCAGCCGCACTCCAGGTGCAAAATGACCCTCAGCAGATCACTCAAAGTGCTTCCACCCCTGGGTGAGAATGACCTTCTTGCCATGTACTCCTCAGTATGCAATTCTCTTCCTCGGCTTTTCAATGTTCAAGATGCTGTATGGTGTTTCTGTTGCATAGATATTTTTTGGAAGTGGAGAGGTATGCCTCGAGTGACTGTGTACCAGTTAAGCGTGGGTCCTCAGCGGCAGACTGGGATCATCTAGAGAGGTGAAACAACAATGCCACTGGTGTCTGGACCCATGCCCAGGGCCTCTGCTGTAAGTGATTGGGGTCCTGGGGGATTCTAATGAGTGGCATGGGCTGGAACCCCTGGTTTGACTTCTTTTCTTTCTAACACCTGTGGTCTGGTACTCCCGGCCCTTTGCTTTTTGTACCAGAAATTCATTCATTCACTTACTGCTTTATCCTAGCATACTCCTCTAGATTTTTGTCTCATGTGGGTCTTCCTTGTGGGAGCTTTAAAATCAGTAAATTTAGACTTGCCAAAACACCCTCTGTTTCTGATTTTAAAGACAAGCAAGGCAAAGTCCCTGTCCAACACCTCCACGTCCATCTAGGAAGTTCAGTACTTATTCCTGGCGTGTCCGTGTCCCAGTGTTTTCCCCCAGTGGTCTGTTTAACTATCCATGTGTTCCCCTGGATCCCTCAGAGGAATCCAGCCTGATCGATGCTGTTTGGAAAGCCGAGGTCTACAGGTTTCCCAATGTCAAAGACATGTCAAATGAATGAATGGATGAAATACGTTGGTGCTTGGTATCCGTCGGCGGTGGGATGTTCTCACAGCTAACAAGGAAGGTCTTCCCTGTAATCTAAGGAGAAGATTTGACTAGTAGCCCAGGAATCATTCCCTCCTGCTCAGTTACCAGTCTTCTTCCTCTTTAAGATTGCCTGCTGCCAGGCTGTCAATGGCACTCCAGCCTTGAGCTCCTTTATCTCACTGGGAAAAGAACCCTCAAGTTCTCCCCTTTAGTTTCATCCTTAATGTGTTCCCAATGAAATAGGGGACACTTGGGAGTTTGGTGTGAGCAGAGGGTAACTTTTCCAAGTCATCATGGGCACGGTTCTGTGTTTTCTGCTCTCTGGATTCAGTTTCCTGTTTAAAAGCCTGAAAGAATATCGCTGTTCGGCACGGAGTACTTGCTGAGCTCTGACTAAATACAAGTCTGTGATTAAATTATTTCAGACTCTAATAAAAATATTTTTAGAAGAAAGTCCTTTGGGAATTATGTAGAGTGCTGAGTGCATTTTTCTCGGCAAACACTTGGACCTGCCTTGTCTTTCTGAGTCAGCTTTTCCTCAGCTTTGTCCATCCTGGGGAAACTCAGGAGACGTATCTTCAAAGTCAAAAGGCTGGGTTGATTTCAGACACCTCATGGAGATAAAGGATCCCGATAAGACTTCTCATGGTCTGACCAGCGCATTTTGTATATGTATTTCTCCTCTTTCTTCTTCGTTTAACCCTTTAGCTAAAACTTTTCTGTAACACACTTGAAATGTCAATCTTTCAAGGGAGAAAATTTATGAAGGGGTTACCTTCAGCTTCCCTTTTCTCTGCACCCCCATCCCTGAAATACAGACAATCTGGTAGTAGGGTGGGGTGGCTTTGGGAGGGCACGAGTTTCTTGACTTTCTCATGCCAACTGACAATACCTACACCAAAACTTTTAACTAAATCACAATTTTTCTCCAATAGCCCAGCATTTTCTCAATTTCTTCTAGCTTAAAAGCAGATTTTTTTTAAACTTTTATTTTAAATTCAGGGGTACATGTGCAGGTTTGTTACATAGGCAAACTTGTGTCATGGGGGTTTGTTGTAAAGATTATTTCATCACCCAGGTATTAAGCCTAGTACGCATTAGTTATTTTTCCTGATCCTCATCCTCCTCCCATCCTCCACCCTTTGATAGGCCCCATTGTGTGTTGTTCCCCTCTATGTGTTCATGTGTTCTCATCATTGAGCTCCCACTTACAAGTGATAACATGTGGTATTTGGTTTTTTGTTCCTGTGTTAGTTTGCTAAGGATAACGGCCTCCAGCTCCATCCATGTTCCTGCGACGGATATGATCTTGTTCTTTTTTGTGGTTGCATAATTTTCCATGCTGTAAATGTACCACATTTTTTTCAGTCTGTCATTGATGGGTATTTAGGTTGATTCCATGTCTTTGCTGTTGTGAATAGTGTTGCAATGAACATAATGGGTGCATGTATCTTTATAACAGAATGATTTATGCTCCTCTGCGAATGTACCCAATAAAGTGGTTGCTGGGTTGAGTGGTATTTCTGTCTTTAGGTCTTTGAGGAATTGCCATGCAGTCTTCCACAATGATTGAACTAATTTACACTCCTACCAACTGTGTATAAGTATTCCTTTTTCTCCACAACCTCGCCAGCATCTGGTTTTTTTTTTTTTTTTTGAGACAGAGTCTTGCTCTGTCACCTCTGTCGCCCAGGCTGGAGTGCAGTGGCGAGTGGCGCATTCTCGGCTCACTGCAAGCTCCGCCTCCTGGGTTCATGCCATTCTCCTGCCTCAGCCTCCTGAGTAGCTGGGACTACAGGCGCCCGCCACCGTGCTTGGCTTTTTAATAATAGCCATTCTGACTCGTGTGAGATGGTATCTCCTTGTGGTTTTGGTTTGCATTTCTCTAATAGTCAGTGATGTTGAGCTTTTTTCATATGATTGTTGACTGCATGTATATCTTCTTTTGAAAAGTGTCTTTTCATGTCCTTTGTCCACTTTTTATGGGGTTGGTTTTTTCTTGTAAATTTGTTTAAGTTCCTTATAGATGCTGGATATTAGACCTCTGTCAGATGCATAGTTTTCAAAATTTTTCCCCCATTCTATAGATTGTGTGTTTACTCTGTTGATAGTTTCTTTTGCTGTGCAGAAGCTCTTTAGTTTAATTAGATTCAATTTGTCAATTTTTGCTTTTGTTGCAATTGCTTTTAGCATCTTTGTCATAAAATGTTTTCCCATGCCTATATCCTGAATGATATTGCCTAGGTTGTCTTCCAGGGTTTTTGTAGTTTTGGGGTTTACATTTAACTCTTTAAACCATTTTGAGTTAATTTTTGTATATGGTGTAAGGAAGGGGTCCAGTTTTAATTTGCATATGGCTAGCCATTATTCCATCACCATTTATTGAATAAGGAGTCCTTTCTCCATTGCTTGTTTTTGTCAGGTTTGTTGAAGATCAAATAGTTGTAGGTGTATGGTCTTATTTCTGGGTGCTCTATTCTATTCAATTGATCTATGTGTCTGTTTTTGTACCAGTACCATGCGTTTTGGTTGTTGTAGCCCTGTAGTATAGTTCAAAGTTGGGAAGTGTGATGCCTCCAGCTTCGTTCTTTTTGCTTAGGATTGTTTTGGCTATTCAGGCTTTTTTTGGATTCCATATGAATTTTAAAATAGTTTTTTCTAGTTCTGTGAATAATGTCAATGGCAGTTTAATAGGCATAGCATTGAATCTATAAATTGCATTGGACAGTTTGGCCATTTTAATGATATTGATTCTTCTTATCCATGAGCATAGAATGTTTTTCCATTTGTTTGTGTCATCTCTGATTCCTTTCTTTCTTTCTTTCTCCTTTCTTTCCTTCCTTCCTTCTTTCTTTCTTTCTTAGTTTCTTTCTTTTCTTTCTTTCTTCCTTCCTTTCTTTCTTTCTGACAGAGTCTCACTCTGTCCCCCATGCTGGAATGCAGTGTTGCAATCTCTGCTCATTGCAACCTCTGCCTCCCGGGGTCAAGTGATTCTTCTGCCTCAGCCTGCTGAGTAGCTAGGATTACAAGTGCACACCACAATGCCAAGCTAATTTTTATATTTTTGGCAGAGTCAAGATTTCCCCATGTTGACCAGGCTGGTTTCGAACTCCTGACCTCAATTGATCTATCTGCCTCGGCCTCCCAAAGTGCTGGGTTTACAGGTGTGAGCCACCACACCTGGCATCTCTGATGTCCTTGAGCAGTGGTTTGTAGTTCTCCTTTTAGAGATCTTCCACCTCACTGGTCAGCTGTATTCTTGGGCATTTTCGTCTTTTTGTGGCAATTGTGAATGGGAGTTTATGTTGATTTGATTTTCAGCTTGAATGTTGTTGGTGTATGGGGATGCTGGTGATTTTTGCACATTGATTTTTGTATCCTGACATTTTGCTGAATTTGTTTATCAGCTTAAGAAGCTTTTGGGCTGAGGCTATGGGGTTTTCTAGATATTGGATCATGTCATCCACAAATGGATAGTTTGACTTCCTCTCTTTCCATTTGGATGCCCTTCATTTCTTACTCCGTCTGATTGCTCTGGCCAGAATTTCCAATGCTATGTTGAATAGGAGTGGTGACAGAGGGCATCCTTGTGCTGGTTTTCAGGGGGAATGCTTCCAGCTTTTGCCCATTTGGTATGATGTTGGCTGTGGGTTTGTTATATATGCTCTTATTATTTTGAGGTATGTTCCTTCAATACCTAGTTTACTGAGAGTTTTTAACATGAATGGATGTTGAATTTTATTGAAAGCCTTTTCTGCGTCTATGAGATAATCATGTGGTTTTTGTCTTTAGTTCTGTTTATGTGATGTATTGCATTTATTGATTTGCATATGTTGAATCAGCCTTGCATCCCGGGGATAAAGCCTATTCGATCATTGCGGATAAGCTTTTGGACGTGCTGCTGGATTTGGTTTGCCAGTGTTTTGTTGAGAATTTTTGCATTGATAGTCTTCAAGGATATTGGCCTAAAGTTTTCTTTTTTGTTGTATCTCAAAAGCAGATTTCATTTAAAAAATCTATTAAACAGCTATTATGAGATGCTGCACTTGGTGAGGGTTGGGAAAGACACACCAGTGGACAGCACAGTGCTTCCTTCCTCTCCAAAAACTTGTGAAATGAGTGGGCATGACATCATCACAGGACTGGAGGACATCAACAATGTCAGGGTCAGTGCCTCTTTTGGTTTGGCCTTTTCCTCGTGGTCACAAGATGATTGTTGGAGTGTCAGACATAGTGTCTACATTCCTGGCATGCAGAAGGGAAAGCAAAACATCAGTCACGTTTTTACCTGTATCTGGAAGCCCTTCCCTGGGCTCCCTGAAGGCTTGTGCTTATGTTTCATCAACTGGAATTTGCCATATGGGCTTCTCTGTCCCAAGGGAGCCATCCCAGTCTTAAGCACTCAATTTTCTACTATACATTAGTGCAGACTTTTTAAAAGGTTTCTAATTTTCATTAATTACAGTCCCAGCTTCCTACGAACCTAGCAAAATGCTTCAAAGACAGCAGGATGGCCATGCCACATGAGCCTTCAGATGTGTCCCTCTGCTCTGCAACAAGGATCCGTGATCTGGTTCCCAGGCCTGCCTTTCCTTATCTTGGGGCAACTTATTCCCCCAGTGGGGATATTGTTTTAAAGGATAAGGGGCAGCCAGTGCTCCCTGATTTTGGAAAGGAGGTGAATCTGGGGTAAGGCAAAATGTCAGCTCTACATGCAGTACAACAGTCCCAGAGTGCTCAGTCAGCCAAGACCCAGGGTGGGTTGACACTTACATACCTGAGTTCCTGTTGAGCACGTGGCTTATTCTTTTATGCTGAGACTCTCAGAAAGAAAGAAAGGAAGGAAGAAAGAAAGGAGAAGAGAGGAGAGAGGGAGAGAGGAGAAAGAGAGGGAGAAAAAGAAAAAGAAAGATGAGAGCAGAGAAGAAGGAAGAAAGGAAGGAAAAAGGAAGAAGGAAGGAAAAAAAGAGAGTAAGAAAGAAAGGAGAGGGAAGGAGGAAGGAAGAAAGAACAAAAGAAAAAGAAAAAAACAAACAACCAAATAAGCAAAAATATCTAAACTGAATCACAGAGGAGAATGTAGTCAATGCAAGTTACCACAATATGCTGTGGGAACACAGGAGGGGAGAAGTGGTGTCCAGGGTGGCCATGTGTGTCAGTGGTGGAGGGCAAATAGGAAAGAGGACAAGGTCAGTGCATAAATCACAGGTGAAAGAACATCTTGTGTATTCATTCATTCATTCATTCATTCGACAAATAGTAATTTTTCCTTTCTTGGCTAGGGAATACAGACCTGTCCCCTGTCCTGTGGGAGCTTAAATCTCATGAAGAAGACAGACAAAGATAATATAATGACCCAGATAAAATGTAAACTTGTGGAAAGTGTAGGGAAGGAGAGAGCTGTGTTTGCTGTAAGTGGGTATAACCAGGGGATTTCCCCCACCCAGGGAGGTCAGAGAAGGATGTTTAAGGGTGGGTGAGATTTCAACACCTCAGAGGAGGGCGAGATATCCTATTAGGAGAAACAGACTGGGCAGTGAGCAGGGCTGGAAAGGGCTGGCCAGGTGTAGGGAAAGATGAGTGGTCTGGACCCATGAAAATGGCAGGGAATGAATGAGAGACAATGAGGTACGAGGCTCTGCGCCTGGCAGTTTCTATGTTTGGAGTTTATGTTACACTTAGAACAATCCTGTAAGGTAAGAATTCCCTTGGTTTTTGTTCTCCTGGAGGTAGATCCTGAGGTAAAGACTTGGATGCAGGCAATTTATGGGGGAAGTGATTCCAGGAAGCAAGGATAAGGGGGCAGGGAGACTGGCCCATTCTCCCTGCCCAGTCTTAATTGGTGTTTCCATTTAAGGAAACACCATGCTAAGGGTGACTTACGGAGGTCACCTGCCGTGGCTGATGGAGTTCGTGTCCACCAGGACTTTCTCAAAAGTACATACAAGTTCTCCCACAATTTTTTTCTTGAAGGAATGGACATAGCTCAAGAATTAGGGGTTCCTGAGACAACTACTGCAGGTGTTGTATTCATTTTAAAGCCAAGGATCAGAAAATTTCAGTCCCTTGCTTAAATTTACATGGCTGGTAATTGACAGAGCAGGGACTTGAACTTAGGTGGATTGTGATTGCAAAGTTCTTACTCTTACCATCATAATTTGCTGTCCTCTTCCCTATGTATTAAAACATAATTGTCTAATGGATATTAATGTCAATGTTGCTATGATATTTTTTCTAACATTCATTAATTCTTCCAGCCCTAAAGGTGATGTTGAACCTCTGATTCTGCTACAGTACTAAGATTTATTATGTCACTGGAGGGCAGTGAAGATATGATGTGACATGATGTACAGAGCAAACCAACTGGCCCTGTGAGTACTTAATCCAAGCATAACATTGTGAAAGGGATAAAAATAGAGTCTGTGGTGGATTAAAGATGCCCATGAATTCTTTGCTACTTCTTTCATTTAAAAATGGAGTTTAAATCCTCTTTTCCTAAATGCGGGGTGGTCTTAGTGACTTGATTGACCAATAGAATGAGACAGAAGTGACTTTCTGGGACTTCTGGGAATCCCTGCAGCTTGCAACTGGAACTCTTGAATGGAACACTTGCTCTTGGAGTCCTGAGGGGCCATTGAAGGTATCCAACTACTCTGAGGCTCCCATGCTGGAGAGATCCCAGGTAAGTGCTCCAGTTGAGGGTCTCAGCTGACCCCAGTCTTCCAGCTGTCCTTGCCAAGGTGCCAGATGTATGAGAGCCCCTCCAGACCAGACCATCTTTTAGTCCAGTGCCACCAAGTCAACTCTGTTGATGCCACATGGAACAGACGAACCACTCAGCTGTGCCCTGTCCAAATTCCTGACCTAAAAAATTCTGAGGTAAAATAACATATTTTTAATGTTAAACTTCTAAGTTCTGGGCTAGTTACTCAGGAAGGGAGGACTGGAACATGACCACCACTTTCTATTTCCTGTAGTCACTGCAGTATTACTCTTCTTAGCAGACTATGTAGCATGTTTAATGTAGGCTGAAATGTTAGGTTGAAGTTCAGCTGTTTGGACTAAGTTCTGTTATAGACACATTTAGCAATCATTGGAAGTTTGGGAAACTCTCTTTTTCTCTGTTTGTTAGCATGCCTGGAACTTTGAATAATGCATCTGAAGAATCTGCCCGCATAGGTAAAAACATGCTCCCTTCTTGTCATTGAATTTTAAGCTGTGGACACAAGTCTTATGAGTTCATCTATAAACATAAGCATAGAAAGCAGTAGAAGCCACACCTGTGGTGAGGAGCTCTCCATATGGGGTTGGTAAGTAAAGCAATAATCATGGGTATGCTTTCTGAGAGAAAGTATAGCAGAAAGTAGAACAAAATCTTGGGGGAATGCCCACAGTTAAAGAGGCAGGCTTGAAAGGCATAAGAATGATATACTAGACTTTGGGGAATCAGGGGGAAGAGTGGGAGGGTGGAGAGGGAGAAAACACTACACATTGAGTACTGTGTACACTGCTCGGGTGACGGGTGCACCAGAATCTCAGAAATCACTGCTGAAGAACTTATCTATATAACCAAAACTACCTGTTCCCCTAAAACTATTGAAATAGAAAAATAATAAAGAGGCAAGCTTGGAAGGCAAGGGGATGGTTTGCAGAGCTCACATCAAGGATGGGGGAGGGTTTCAGCAGGAGGCATTGGTGTCCAGGTCACAAAGATGTCCAGGATAAGATCATGGCTTACTTGCCTTGCAGGCACCCTCATGATAGTTCCCTGTGACCTCAGTTATAAGTTTGTGTAGTCATATATGTAGTGTTGGGCAAAAAAACTTTTTGTCACTAGTTGTGTTACTGATTTAGTGAGGCATCTTTGGGAGCAAAGCCTTGCCGTGATTTTGTTTTTTATATAACCACAGCCAGCTGTCTCCTGATATGCCCTTATCCACTTGGTGTGTGGGGGAACCACACTACCGAGTCTTTGGTCTATTTTTTACAACTTTTCACAAAGGTTGAGTTATTAGAGCATTCTAGTTCTGATCTTTTTAAATTTTACTTTTTAAAAAAATTTTAAGTTCTGGGATACATGTGCAGAACATGCAGGTTTGTTACATAGGTATACATGTGCCATGGTGGTTTACTGCAGCTATCAACCCTCATCTAGGTTTTAAGCCCCACATGCATTAGTATTTGTCCTAATGCTTTCCTTCCCTTACTCCCCACTCCCCCGACAGACCCCCATGTGTGATGTTCCCCTCACTGTGTCCATGTGTTCTCATAAGACTTGCTCTTGTTCACTTAAAGTTTTAATCTCATGGTCTAGTTCTTTTGATTCACTGCTGTGTGCTTGTGGATGTAGGGGGTTGGCCACTTCACATCCCCTTTTTCTCCCCCGGGCTCACAGCTCTGCTTTGGTTGGTGCTGTGGGTGGGGGAAAGAGAAAGCCCTCAAAGACCCCATGGTGGCTGCCTCTGGCCAGGCTTCTGTCCTCTCCCTTCTGGTGGCGCGGCCTCTCTCTCTTGTCCTGAATAGCCGCAGGGTATACTTGCTGCTTCAAGCCAGGGCTGCTGTCTGGAGGTGGGGGAAGGAGGGCATGGGCTGTTTTCTCGAGGGTGCTAGGGAGAATGGGCTCATTCTCCACAGTTCCCTGGGGTTTTTGACGATGTTAATACCCCCAGTACCTTGATCTTTTCTGGCTGAGGAATCCTCAACATTTTAGACCACTGTCCCGTAGCACACCTCCCATTAAGAAGAAAAGGAGGAAAGGAGGCTTCTCTGAGCTCTCACTACATCCCAGACATCATGGAAAGCCCTTTTACCAACGTCACCTAATCAAGTCCTCTTGATCCTGAAGAAAACAGAGGTTGAGAAGGCAAAGGGCTGCCTGGGGCCACAGTGTGGTGCATGGTCCGTGGCCTCGCCAGGCTTCTCCCTGAGCTCTTCCAGTCTGGTGTTTATCCCACACCATGCACACATCTCCCAATCAATCACTGTGCCTCTGAGAACTTCCTTTAGCTGAATGGTGTGTTGTTTCTAGATGTGTTAACCCAAAGTTCATGCAGTTTTCCAAATGTGGCTGAAGCTGGGTTTTGTGTAAACACAGGATGCGGGCTTGACAGCAGCCGGCTGCACTGCCCTTTCACTAGGGTGGGACAATGCAGGAGGGATGCTGCCAGGAAATGGTCACAGTGACCCCTGGGTTTCTTTTCAGGGCTGTCATGGATAGATTGGAGATCTTTATCTCGCAAAATAGTAAAGGTGACTTTCTGGAAGTCATTTTAAGGGAAAACTGTAATCTCAAACTACTTCCAGAGAAGTACAACTATCATTCCTGTCTACTCTCCACTACTTTGTCAGAGCTTTTAAACATTTTACTAGCTTGCAATTTTACTGCGTGGAAGACTTGCAAGTCATCTGCAAGGGTGAGGTTTCCCTGTGTGCTCACTCATTTTAGGTCATGGAGAAGTATTCATTTGTCCTGATGGTTGGTTTTGGTCTCCGGGTTTCCTGTCTAGACCCGCTAAATGCCTACTGGTCTCATGGCTGCATTTTGAAGTCATCAGGTTAGACTTGGGGCATGTTTGAAGTAGGATCTGAATCCAGGGGAGGCAATGGCTTCCTGACAAGGGTAGTTTCTCAAAACCTGGGATTTTCACTCCTGCAAGTTAGGAGTGGGCATGATGAGAATATAAAATCATGAAGCAACTCAAATCAGACTTACTTAGTATACTAGAACAAGGAGGGTATCCCTTGATGTTGGCAGGGACAAAGAAAGTGAATTTTCTGTTTAAATATCATTAAGGAAGTGTGTGGAAGTCAGTCACGAAGGGGTGGTGCAGACTAAAACACCAAAAGGTTCAAATGAGCTCTGAGTCAATCAATGCGTGATTAATAAGTAAGGAATCACTTCAGGGAATTAGGGGTGTTTCTTTTATTAAAAAAAATTAAAAATAGAACTATCATACAATCCAGCAATCTTACTACTGGGTATATATCCAAAGGAAATAAAATGAGTATGCGGAAGAGATATCTGCACCCCCCCACCCCGTTTATTGCCGCACTATTCATAATAGCCAAGATGTAGAACAAACCTAAGTGTCCAACAGTGAATGAATGGGTGAAGAAGATGTGGTGCATATACACAATGGAATACTATTCAGCTATATAAAAGAAGGAAATGTTGTTCTTTGTGACAACATGAATGAATCTGGAGGACGCTATGCTAAATGAAATAAACCAGGTACACAAGGACAAATACTGCATGATCTCCCTTGCATGTGGAATCTAACCAAGTTGAATTCATAGCAGCAGAGGGTAGAATGGTGGCTACCAGGGGTTGGGGAGGGTTGGAAGACTTTGGTCCAAAGATACAACTTTTCAGTTAGACAGGAGGATTAAGTTCTGGAGATCTATTGTACAGCATGGCAACTGTAGTTAATAACAATGTATTGGGTACTTGAAAACTGGGTAAACATGTGGAGAAATAGAAATGCTTTTACACTGTTGGTGGGAGTGTCAATTAGTTCAACCATTGTGGAAGACAGAATGGTGATTCCTCAAGGATCTAGAACCAGAAATATCATTTGACCCAGCAATCCCATTACTGGGTATATAACGACAGGAATATAAATCATTCTACGATAAAGACACATGCACATGTATGTTTATTGTGGCACTATTTACAATAGCAAAGACTTGGAACCAACCCAAATGCCCACCAATGATAGACTGGATAAAGAAAATGTGGCACATATACACCATGGAATACTATGCAGTCATGAAAAAGAATGAGTTCATGTCCTTTGCAGGGACATGGATGAAACTAGAAGTCACCATTCTCAGCAAACTAACACAAGAACAGAAAAGCGAACACCGCATGTTCTCACTCATAAGTTGGAGTCGAACAATGAGAACACATGGGCTCAGGGAGGGGAACATCACATACCGAGGCCTGTTGGTGGCGGGGTGGGGGGAAGGGGAGGGAGAACATTAGGACAAATACCTAATGCATGTGGGGCTTAAAACCTAGATGAGGGTTGATAGGTACAGCAAACCACCACGGCACATGTATTGTGCCCCAGCAATTTCTGGAGCAGGAGAAGCAGGGCACACCTCGTGATAGGTGGAAGATCTGACAGGGAAGCTTGACTATCAGAACAGGGAGTGACCTTGTGGATCATGCTGTCCTCAGAGGTGGCACAAACCAAAGAGCGGGGCTTGCCAGAGATCTAGGCGAAGTCAGAGAGAAAGCATCATAGCAGCCTGTGCTCAGAAGTCCCTGGGAACGTCCTGAACCTTCCGAGGGTGACCCTGGAGAAAACACTCACCACTGAGTGACTCACAGCCTCTTCTCTGAGCCACTGAAGTCAAAACAGGGATCCGAAGCTTGCTCCCGGCCACTTCACCTTGTCGTTGAGCATCCTCTTCCTCTGGAAACACTGGCCTCCTAGTTCTTGGTCTTTTCTTCTCTTCTTTCCTGTAGAGTCTGTGAAAAAAAAAAGATGAACTCACACTTTCATGTAGTTAATACTAAACTTAATTAATCCTGGCAACAGCCTATGGGAAGGGTGTGGCATTGCTTACTGCACTGATTTAATTGAGATCTGAATAGTTCTGGGGACTAAGATCCCACAATCCTAGTTTTTTTTTTTGTTTTGTTGGCAAAATCCTGCCTAGTTTTTTTTGTTTTATTGGGGGATCAAGTTCCTGGATTGCTATTTGTAGACAGCATTTACCTTAAAGCAGGTGCCTTCAAAGGAGAAACTCCTTACTGTTAGAATTTTAGACAGCATGGCAGGGTCTTGAAGTAGATTTGTGGGAATTTCCCTGGGACCCTCAGGTCACATGACCATTTATTGGCCCTGCTCTGCAGGGCACCTTAGGTGATGTATTGCAAAGGCAGATCAAGGGAAAGCAGATGTTGCCATGGAAATGGCCCTGCCCCCATTCATTATTAAAAGTTGTTGTTATTGTTGTTTTTTGGCAGCATCAAATAGCAGTGAAAATTTTTGAGGCAGCTGACCTAAATTTTGAATGTGATCTCATAGTCAGGGTTCTTAAATTAGTGAAAACGAATATGCTTCCTACAGGAAATTATTTAAAAAGATGACACATGAGGATTTAGTCCAGAAGCCACTGGATTGAAAAGATACCTCAGTGTGTCCAACCTGGGCAGAAAAGTCCTGCCAAAGAAACATTTATAAGGTTGCTTTTAAATTGGATTTGATAAAATAAAAGTTACAATAAAAAAATAAGCTGGGTTTGAGTTAATAGTAGTAAAGGCATGGGTATATGTTGTTATTTATTTGAGTTATCAGTGCTGGTATTTTTTTAATTGCATGAAGTGAGTTTCCAAGAGCAGAATTCCCACCCATACTGGGCCATGGAAAGAGGCGAGTTTAACTTAAGACAGCTCAGTTTGCATTCATCGTTTGGGAGCCAGTTAAATGGAAGGTGAGGTGGCAGTTGTTAGTGCCGCGTTTGTCAGTGGGTGGCCGAGGATGGTGTCTTGTCCAACTCTGCGGAACTCCGGCTGCTGCTCTGTTAACCCAGCAAGGTCTTCTGGTGGTGGCTGCAGACTCTGCACTCTCCCCTGTGCCGGGACTCTGGGTCTTGCTTCTGAGGGTTTGCTGCAGTCAAGGGAGAGATATTTTCAATGCCTCTTGGCAGGGGAAATTATTTCCTGAATTGAGTCCAAGCAAAAAAGGATCTTCTGTAATTTGGTGAAGTATCGAGTGCCAGGACACACCCTGACTGGCAACATCACTAAATGCCCTTTGTGACTGCTGGGGCTCAGGGTTTTATTGTGTAAGCTCATTTAGGCCAATTTTACGTGGGCAGCACATGTACTGCCAGCTGGAACCCTTGTTCTGCAGACAGCCATGACTGTGGAACATGTCCAGCACCCATGAAAGGCCTGGTAGATGAATAAATGTGCAGAATGGGTGTGGGCCTCAGCAGTGTCTGACCAATACAAACAGAGCTGCTTGTGTTTGGGTCAACTTTTATAAGTGGAGATGATCTGGGGCTAGAACCACAATGATCACATGTACTGGGTGATTTGTGGAAGAGAAGTTTATATACTAAAACTACATCACTCTTGAATATTTCTGAAAGGACACATAAAAGAATGTGAAGTGTGGCTCTCTCTGGGGAGGAGAACAAGGGTTCTGGGATGAGCAGAACTACTTTTCACTGAATTTGCTTTACCAAATGCGTATGTTCATTTTCTGTTTAGATAACTAGACTGGGTTTCTCTAGCTATATTAAAGATCACCATGTGATCTTAGATGTACATCACTTAACATTGCTGAATTTCCTGTTTCTTGTTTGCAAAACAAAGGATTTGAGCTAGAGACTTTTAAATATCTTTCTAGCTCTTCATATGGATTCATTTTAAGACAAAAATACTGCAGGAAGTTTTTGTATCTAAAAACCATTTTCCATCTAAGTTAGTTAAGTTGATTATGACACCTACAGAGGGCATTTCAGCCCCTAATGCCTGTTCCACTGAGGGCTAAGACGATGGTTTATCTTGACAGCAGCAAGCCCACAGATGTCAAAGGTCACTCATACATCCCTCCCTGACTCTTAACATGGGGGAAGGGGAGACAGTGCATCACTTCCGGTAGATCCAATAGCTGCAACAGATCTTCCTCTGTGTGTGTGGATGAGTGGGACTATTTCAATCTTTTTAAGTCAAGCCCAAAACTGGGACTTGGGCCAACAGCTGAAGGAAGCCAGCAGCCTGTTGGATCAGGATGCACGAACACTTCCCAAATGCCTCTTCAAATGGCCTTGTTTTCAGAAGCCGTCCTCTTGTTGGACATTGACACCAGCCGGTGCTTTGAAAGCTGCTGTTGATGGCTGGTTGGCTGGTATCCTTCAGGAAACACTTCCAGGATGGAAATATTCATGTTTTACCAAAGCCAAGGAGCTTAAATAAATAGATTGTGATTTCTTCTCTCAGCGGAGGAATTTAATGTGCTAGAGGTTATTGTTGGCCGGCCACGGTGGCTCATGCCTGTAATCCTAGCACTTTGGGAGGCTGAGGTGGGTGGATCACCTGAGGTCAGGGGTTCGAGACCAGCCTTTCCAACATGGTGAAACCCCATCTCTACGAAAAATACAAAAATTAGCCAGGCATGGTGGCCAGCACCTGTAATCCCAGCTATTTGGGAGGCTGTGGCAGGAGAATTGCTTGAACCTAGGAGGAGGAGGTTGAAGTGAGCCAAGATCATGCCATTGCATTCCAGGCTGGGTGACAAGAGCGAGACCCTGTCTCAAAACGAAAAAAAAAAATAGAGGTTACTGTTAACATCCAGTTGAGGCCAACAGATAAAATGAAGTTAGTTCTGGAAGGATTTTGCCTTACCATGGCTGCAATGGGCTCACTAAGTCAAAACCTAGTGGAAGTCCTGGGAAGTGAGGTCATCCCAGGATTGTGGTTTGAAGAGCCCCAGGAAGAGGGAGGCAGCACGTGCTGGAGGGCCTGGTGGTGTCTCAGGAAAGACCTCACTTAGGCCAAGTGCCATTGTGTGAGTGAAACCACTGGGGTCTTCTTGGACTGAGGCCAGAAATGCAATTTTGTTGGTGATCGAAGATGTTCAGACTCCCAAGGGTCGGCTCCTTCAAATCATTCTCATTCCAAAGTGCTGATTTGTTAATTATAGCAGGGATGTCTCTTTCCGTTATTTATGGAGGTATCTGGGGACTGAATTAGGCATCTGAAGGCAGCTTGGGGAGTGTGAAATGAATGTCAGTGGAATCACTGCCTGGCGAGTATGAGGTCAATGCCTGACGGAACTTTCAAACAGCATAGCGCAGCCATTAAGAGCATGGTTCCTGGACCCAAAGTACCCTGGACTGAGTCCCAGCCTCTATTAAATTGGGAACATTGGAGAAGTTTCCTGAACTTTCTTTCTCTGTCTCTGTTTTCATATCTAGGAGTTGATATAATTTCATCAGATAATTTCAAGGTTTGGTGTGAGGATTAAATGAGATATTACATGCTAAGCACCTAGAACAATGCCAGGCACATGGAAGCACTGGGGTGTGTGAGTTGCAATCATCATCATCGTCATTATCTGGGGCAGGGCTCAGCAGACTTTTCTGTAGAGGGTGAGAGAGTAAATATTTCAGGCTTTTCTGGCCACACCGTCTCTATTGCAATGACTTAATTCTGCTGTTATATTTCAAAAGCAGTCATAGGCAATATGAAAGCAAATGGGCGTGGCTGTGTTCCAGTAAAGTTTTATTTATAGAAATAGGTGATATGTGGGGTTCTGTCCTGTGGCTGTCGTTTGCCTGACCTCTCATCTATAGAATTACCATGATACTGAAACACTAGGTAGAAATTACTGAGTCAGAGCAAGGGCTAAAAAGAGGAATGTTTAGTCTTTCTCCTTAATTCAATAACTATCCTATACTTTGTGGGCAGGTAGGGAGACCGAGGCACCCATTCTCATATTGTGAAGTTGGTAAAATTCAACTCTCTTGACTCTTATATTTTAGTTCCTTCTCTCCAATCCTGGGCAGCCCAGTAGTCACATGGCTGGAAATAATCCATTTTGATCATTTGCGGTGGAGTTAGAGACAAAATTCCTAACCAAGGGCTAGCTACCAGAAAGGAATATTAAAGTATCATGACGGATGGAATCTCCATTAAAAGGAGATCTTAGTGGCCAATGTCAGATGCTTCTGTCCCCTCAATGGCATCCCATCTAAGGGGATGTGTGATGAACTCACAGCCAGCCTTGACCAACAGCACCCTCCAAGGACAGCAAATATGATGGCTGGAGTCTGAACTGCCCTTAGACCCGCGGGAGGGCCCTTGCGCCAGGCCGTACACCAGAACCCAAAGACTTCCTTCAAAACATATTTTCGGTTGCATAGGAAAGTGTTTTGAAAGTTTAGCTGAAAATTGAGCAAAAGGAAATAGTGGAAGAAGGTTGCCAGAGGATGCCATGAAGGGAGGAGGAAATCGCTGGCTTGCTCTTGGGATCCAGAGAAAGTGCTGCTTTTGTTTCAAGCTGACTTCCCCAAACTACCCGAAGTGAATGTCTAGGTAGGAGCTGGGTTCGCAGAATAACTGTGCCCCCTCCCTCCTCTTTGTGGAGAGGGTGTAGTTTTGGACCGGCTTAGAAATCCGGAGTGAGAAAAGTGAGGCGTGGAACTGGGGTGGGGACCTGTCACTCCAGGTGCTTGGTCCTAGTTCTCCCTAGTTGGGTCACTGTGTTACTGCTCAGGCTTGCAGCAGCCTGGATGAGCTGGGAAGGGGGTCCTTAGGTTTTGGGGTGAGGGGATCCCCTGGACACATTCCCTGGACACAAATAGGTAGGAATTCAGATTAACATTCTTAGGGGTACATTAAGTAACTTTGAGCTCTCTCAGCAGGTGCCATGTGAGTCTCCATGTGTGGTTGTGTTTTAAGCCCAGGAAGTGCTAGGAGTAAGCTGGAATAAGCTAGAACTCACAGCTGGTTCTTCCACATAGAGGTGGGTGACCTGTGTTCTGGGACCGCTTGATTTCTCCAGTTCATCTTCTGAACATGTCCCCTCTAGATATGTTATTCACACCGCCTTGGCTTTAGTCCAAGCTATTCTAGCTGGGGTACGGTCCTTTCCCTTCAAAGCAATCATTCATTCATCAAATTTTACACATCTATAGGTCTAAGTAAAACAAAAATTCTCAGAATTCTAGTTAATTACTGTTATTTGTATGTGTGTGTATGTATACATATATGTGTGTACATATGCGCATATATTTTATTATGTTTTAAAAACTTGTCTCCTATATTTTCTAATTACGAGGAGTGTTGGGGTAGTGGATGTATGCAGGGTAAAAAAAATCAAAAGTTTTTTCAAACTCTCAAAAGTGGAGAAGTCTGCTTTGTCATCAGAATGTGTATTCCTAGGGCCTTCACATCTTTGGTCTGATTAAATCATTTTAATACCATCTCTAAGACAGCAAAGGCAAATGCTACAGTATTACGTTTAGTTCACAGATGGGAAATTGAGACAGGGAACTTAAAGTAGCAAATGTCCAGTGTTGCAAAACCAGTACCTGAACCAAACCTAGAACCCAGGTCTTTGACTTGTGGCTGATAAGTTGGGGTGCTTAAACCTTCCTGAATTCCATGGTGTCTTAGCATCTTTTCTTTTCTTCTTTTTGTTCACTTTAAATTTTAAATTAGTCAATTCTGTAATGTTAGTAACTGACCGTCTGCTCACACGGAAGTCATTTATTTGCTACTTTCAACCATTCAGAATGGAGTTAAGAATTTGGAATTACCTCTTAAACAGCTAAAATAGACATCACGTTAGTTATCTATTGCTATTTAACAAAATTTCTTGAAGACTCAGTTGCCTGAACAATGATAATCATATATTCGCCCCAGTTTCTGAAGGCCAGCTGTTTAGGAGTGGCATGGCTGAGTGGTTGTAGCTCAGGTCTTTCATGAGGTTGCAGATAAGACGTCAGCCAGGGCTACTGTCATCTGAAGGCTCAACTAGGTCTGGGTGATCGGTTTCCAAGATGGCTTACAACTGGAAAATTGGTGCCATTGATTTAGCTATTGGCAGGGGAGCTCAGTTCCTGGCCACATGGACTCTCCACAGGGCAGCTTGATTGTGTCTTCCTGACATGGCAGCTGGCTTTCTCCAGAGTGTGTGATCACAAAGTTCATGATGGAAGCTGCAATACCTTTTATGATCTAGCCTTGGGATCTACCTCCCATAATTTCTACTGGTCAGTCCTGATTTAATAGTTTAATATACTCTCAGGGCCTTATTTTTCCCCTTCTGTAAAATAAAGGTGTCCCTAGGTGACACACATTTTCCTTACAAAGCCAGCATTCTGTGACTTACAATAACTATGTGATAGAATCTTAGTGAAGGACATTCATGTGGCTGATAGTGCAGAGGTGAGAATGGCAATGATTCAAGGGCTAACACCTTTGCTGCCTGGGCTTTTCTTCACCATTTCCAAGTGAGACCCACAGTGAGATGGCCTGGGAACACAGCACTAGGACCTCTAATTCCAGCTCCATCATTGAATAGCTTTATGATCTTGGGCATTGACTGTCTTGGGATTTCTATCAGAGTATCAACCTCCCAAGATTGTAGTAAGGACAGTGCCAATGACAGGGTTTGGCGCATAGTGTTTGAGCAATAGCCTTTGATTATGATAACTTCTAACATGCTCCGTAGTGGACTGAGGATGCATGAGAATCCTGGTCCACCAGCAACAGCAGGATAGAACATGGAGCCATGGTTTCTGAGCTCGTTATTAACAAAACATCTTAGTGAGGGCGGAGCAGTAATTAGATTCTCCAGAAAACATTGGACTTCAGTTTCCTGGAAGTGCTTTTATAGCTTTGTAATACCACAGAAGTAAACATTTTTCTCTTCTGCAATTGAAGGGCTGAGTGAGTCCACTGAGCGTTCTCTTCTTTGGGAGTGTTTCCTTTGGATAACATTCAAAACAGCAAAATCCTATTACCCATTCCAGAGTGGAAAGCCCCATTTTGACTGTGTTTGGCCAAAGATTAACTTCAAATTAATACCTAATGAGCAGGCAACTTCTCTCAACATATTTATTAAAGTCATATTTCAAGATTTCTAATGTATATGGTTTTCACTTAGGACCTTTTTTCTGAATCATGGTCAAAATATATAGACGAATAAAAATGTAAAACTTTTTACACATAATCCCACTTATTTATGACTAAGCACTTATATTAGTAAATTTTTTTTTATTTGCAAGTGACAGCTTATCTCAAAGTAGCATAAGAGAGGGAGAGAGAGAGGAAAGAAAGAACCTATTGGCTCATAAAATGCTTGAGTAAGACTCAGAAACAGATGATAACAGCTTCAGGCATGGCTAGATCCAAGGGCCATTAGGGTGTTTTATCTCAGTGTTTCTTGGACAGGCATATTAGCCATTGGTAGCTCAAGGCATACCTTATATTTGCACAGCAGCCCACATGAGGAAAGATCACCTCCCCTGACATTTCTGGCTGAAAGAGCCCAGGGAACAGTCTGACTTGTTCAGCTTGTGTCCCGTGCTCCTCCCTGGGCCTGTCACTGTGTCCATGAGGATGATGTCATCTATCTGATGAGACCAGCCTGGCCAACATGATGAAACCCCGCCTCTACTAAAAATACAAAAATTAGCTGGGTGTGGTGGTGGGCGCCTGAAGTCCCAGTTACTTGGAAGGCAGAGGCGTGAGAATTGCTTGAACCTGAGAGGTGGAGGTTGCAGTTAGCCGAGATTGTGCCACTGCCCTCCAGCCTGGGCGACAGAGCTAGACTCTGTCTCAAATAAAACAAAACAAAATAAAATAAAATAAAATAATAAATAAATAAATAAATAAATAAACTAAATAATCTGCTTGATGAGGCCTGAGAGACACGTCCTCACGTCCCTAACCATTCTACAACTCAAATAGTGTCAGTCTGCCTTTGCATCAATGTCTCCTCATTTCTACAAATAGTAAGAAAAATATTCTTCTGGTTTATTTCTTAACGCTGTCATGTAGGTAAATTGATGATCAGGTGATTGCCTTCCGTCGTGTGCTTGATTTTTCTGGGAGTGCAGTGTTGCATGGCAAAGACAGGTAGAGACATCTACAATGTTAAGTAAGACGCAGGCTTCCAAACCCAAGGCCGGCCACTCTAGCTGGGATTCTTGGAGGGGTATGGCTCCTCTTCCCTTCTCTTTTTGGGATAGAGAGAGAGCTCCGTCTCTTCCTGAGTTTTTAAGTCCCTGGCTATTTCATCCAGAGCCCAAAGTAGAAAGTCAGGTTAATGTGAAAAGCTTGATATGTATTCTTGATAAAAACTCAAAGCCTTTGCAGAGTCTTGCATTGGTTGAAATCAGGGGCTGGCGCCTCCAAATGAAAGGCAGCCACCATTCGTGTTGACTGACGCTCAAAGCCATGCCATTTCTGACGAGTCTATGTCCAATGCCAAGTCTGTGGTGTTTTTTTTTTTTTTTTTTTCCCTTTTCAGAAATGAAGGAGTGGAATCACTGGGGATACCTCCCGCAATAGGAAAGCCCCTTGAGAACTGAAACAAGTCATCTGTTTCTCAGGAGGAGCTGACCAAGAGCCCCCTCCTTTCGTGTGAATTTAAATTCCCCTTTTCATGAGACTTTTCTTAAAGACAAGGAAAAAAAGCTATCAGGGGAAAATGAATAATATGACATCGAAAGTATTGAAAGGCTTGAAATGATCCCACATGTGTCATCTGACTTTGAGAGGTGAAGGGGCTCCCGTCTGTACGTAGAGAGGCTGGCGTGCTGCCTGGATTACTTGTCTGATGTCACATGCTAATGGGATCCCAGCTAGAATGCTGGCAACTCTGACTGTAACAACCTCAGACACCTTTGCGCACAGCTTCAGTTTCAAATTAATTTTCACATCCTCCTTAGGAAACTGGGCCCTCCGTAATCAACAGAACTCTGCATCGCACATCCTAACATTGAAACTCACCTGAGCACAAGGATCCTACAGTTCTCCTAGACAGACCTCAAGAACCCGCACAGACCCTCGGGGCACACTCCCCTGTGTGTTTTGGAACAAATAGTCACTCTCTGTGTTTTCAAATGTCCTTTGGCCTTTTGTCAAATCCACACTGACCTCTTTTCAAATGCGTGTGGTCAGTGTTATTTTTCAAAGGCCCTTTGAAGTTTGCTTTGTTGCCTTCCCTCCCTGTGGGTCACAGAGCAATTACTGGAAGATTTGTGGGAGGCCGCTTTTGGCTTTGTGTACATGTGAACGCCTGTTTATAAATCAGGTGAGTTAAGAACTGTGATGTGGGGGTCCCCAGCTTCCAGCTAGCAGCAGCTTCCCAATTCCTTCTGCGTGAGGATCACCAGAAAATAACCAAAGCCAAAATTTCATTCTGAGTCTGTGGGGTTTTCTACAACAGGTCCCGTGTCTTCTTTCTTGGCCCCATCCTTCCCTGTGGCTTCCCTCTCCTTGGAGTTAAATACTGGCTGGATGTCAGGCTGGGGACCCTCAGTGCACCCCACTGGCCCAAGTGGGGCACCGGGAGCGTGTTCCAGGCCTGCCAAGGTGGCAGTGTGTGCATCCCCTCTCTCAGGGTTCTTCTAGCTGTAATTTCAAGATTGGGAGCTTTTCCTGACAGCGCAGAGTCCACTTGCCCTACATTTAATTGACTTCACAAACTTTCAGTTCCCTGTCTGTAAATGGGGTTAGTATGTAAATGGGACTGCTGCAAGGATACATGAGAGAATACCTATGGGATTAGAGGGACCCTTGTCCTCACCACTCCATCAGGCAAGGAGGGAAGCCCCCGTCAGATTAATTGGATAACTGGAGCTGCCTGCAGTCATAAAACGAAATCATGTTTGTATAGGGACCTCTACGATCCAGACACATCACTTCATTGCATCCTCATGCCCATCCTGTGCGGAGGTTATGGTTGTTACCTCATTTTGACAATGAAGCATCAAAGGTTGAGAGGTAAAGAGACTTTTCACTCTGTAACCTATCTTTTTCCCACTAGGGTGGAACCACTCATAAATAACTGTATTCATAAAATGTTACAGTTCCGTGGGAAACAACGCAACTTGGCAACTCGTAGAAAGACTTTGTGAGACTATGTGGGGCTATTTGTATCTTAAGCTAATTGAGGCAAAGAGCTAGGGAAGGAGACGGGCTTTCTATCACAGCCCTGCCTCCGTCCTTTCCTTATGAGGATTCCAGACTCTCCCACATATCGTGTACCTGATGACAAGGCACAGGATAAGGTGACCAGAGGTGCTCAGACAGTGGCTTTCTCACCAGAGGTAATGACATTCTGATCAAGATTGGATTGATCACTGGCTCTTCTCATGCCACATTTTCACATCAAGTGTTGAAGGCCACTGTCTTCTTCTTTGTCCTGTGGTTACACAACATTGAGTGGAGGAATGTTCTGGCCGTGTGTCCACACAGCCTTGAGGCATCCCAAGAGAGTGGGAAGATCAAAGATTTGGGAATCAGAAAAAGCAAGTGAGAAGACCAGTGCTGTCATCCAACAGCTGTGTGCCTGGAATCACTCTGACCTGTCTCAACTTCATTTTACTCTTTTGTAATATGGGTTTTTGACACCTACATTGCATGGCTATTGTGAGGATTTAATGAGATAAAGTATGTAAAGTTCTTGTCACAGAAGACAGTCAACAAGTTAAAGCTGACATGTCCTTCCACCTCGAGGGTCTCAAACCTCAAGTGCATGCTGTCTCTATCTCTCTCTCTCTCTGTCCCCTCTCATCGTACCCTTACACCCTTTGGACAATTATGTGACCTCTCAGAGCCTCAGTGTCTTCAACTCTAATAGAGAATCACAGAGTTGCTGGAATGCCCAGGACAACGAAATTCTAAATTAATGCTTTCAATCCCAGGTGCAGTTTCCCTGTGTTTGTGCAGGGCTGGGCCGAGTTAGGAGCCTGAATCTCTCTCCACCTCCATGGCTTCTCCAGGAGGCTTCATCTTGCTGCGGAGGTGGACTGCAGATGGCCACTGCCACCACTCCTCAGAGGGCATGTTATACTGGTGGAGTTAATAACTGACACCTGGGAGATTAGGTCTGTGGCTCTCCTTTCTCTCTAGTGATGATCAGTTCTATCCATGGGGACTCAGAACGGAGGGCCAGAGAGGACTGCAGAAACAAAGTCCAGAGATGTGAAGTGACTTGTCCAAGATCCCAAAGCTTGTCCATGTCTGAATCACGATAAACAACTTCAGGGATGGTCTCTCTATGATATTTAAAACAGTGTGTGTTGTCTTCTGCTTTTCCTTTGATTTGGAGCCTGCTGTTATAACACTGTCTTGTTGGACTGCCACGTGTCCACTGGGAATTGCTCCCAGAGCAGAATTGGACTCAGCAGGGCTGCAGCGGAGTGTGGTGAAAGGACTGCTGAACAGGGTGGGGAGCAGAGGTCTGAGGGCCAGTCTCCCTATCCACTGCTGACTTTTCTTGGGTATTTGAGGTTTTCCTAGGTTTAAATTAGTTGAATAAAATAGATAGTTTTCAGGCCTTTTGATTGTTCAATGCTCTGGAATTGGAGCCCTTTGGACAGAAGAAATTTACATGTCACCTTAAAACATACATAAAAAAGTGCAAAGCTGCTCCAGTTGAAGTTAGAAGAGGAAAGCAAGAACCTCTTTCCCTGGGCACCCCTGAAGCACATTGCGGAACCCTGGGCCTCCTCAGAGCACAGTCTGGAAACCTCCAGACTGGAGGCCTCTAAGATCTTCTGGTGGGATGATAAGTGTGAGATGCATCCAGAGGTACTACCAAAGATCTTCACTTCTCCAGGGTCCTCCCAGGAATATACATTTGTCTCAGAAGCCAGCAAACTCCCTTGTCTTCCCTTCACTTCCTGCCCATGTGCCAAGGTGGTAGGTTTCAGAGTTAATGGAAAGCTGGGACTTGACCCTGTTCCTCAAGGAGCTTATTCTTAAACTTTCAAGGCAGATGCCCCACGAATGTTTGAAAAATAGATGAAAACACCTCTTTTGAGGGATACAGAAGCCAAAAACTGTGCCTAGCACCCAGTCCTCAGTAAGAAGTACATTTGGCATGGTGCCCAGAGCATATATGCTTATCCATATGAATGCCATAAAAAACCTGGAGAGAATCCATTCTCTTTGTTTCATTAAAAAGATGCTGGTGGTGAGCCACTGACGTGCTTTTGTGATCCCTTAATGGGTTGTGCTCTGGAGAACGCTGGCACGGGTGTGCTCACTGGTTACTCCCTGCAACCACACTGGGGTCACATTTAGGTCTCTTTTGCTACATCTAAGGTCAGCAAACTATGACCCACTGACAAACTGTGGGTGGTCACCTACTTCTGTATGGCTCAGGGACACTCTGCAAGCGCTGTGAGCTGCAGGACCCAAGCTGAGGTGGTTCCATCTGTCCCTGTCCCCTACTTGGCTTCCAGCACCTGCCTCCCCTGCCAGAGGACTCACCTTCCTGCCACACAGGGCCCATGCTGGTCACTCCTACAGCATGGGGGCTCTGCTGTTGCAATGCGGGGCGCCAGGCTGCAGAATCTAAGTCTGGGAATTGGTGACGTGTTAGCTTCACTTCCGTTCAGCTGTCCAGAGGGAGGGGGCCGGGATCTCCAGGAGGAGCTGGTTTGGTTGTCCCTGGGGCAAAGAGAGAAAATGACCGTGGTGGCCAAGTCCCCTTCAACTCCCTAAGCCCACTGAGCTGGCTTGCCAGGCCCCTCCCTCCATCAGGCTGCCCTTCTTCCCAGGACCGTCTCCAGTGGGTTCAGGGCACACTGTGCCTGCCCACAGGAAGCCCACCCCAGGCAGATAGGGCCAGGCATGCAGAGGTTTCTCTCTTGTTATAGAAGTATCTACATTATATAAATACACACACATATATCATATATATTTTATGTATATATAACATATGAAATATGCTTCTTGGCCTACAGTGTCTAAAATATTTACTATTTTAGAAATGTTTGCCTCTCCCAGTGCTACCTGATTATGGCTGTGCGTTACATGACCCTATAAAGATTTAACTGCTTTTAATAACAATAAACAATAATATTAGCTACCATTTATTGAGGCTCAGAAAGGTTGAGTAACTTGCCTAAAGTCACACAGCTAGTAAATGGCAGAGCGGGATCTTGCAGTGATGGTTTCGAGGGAGAGGAGAATCACTGACAGACTTGGTTCCTGCCATGCAGATGCAGGCGTCCCCTGGGACTTCAGCTTCTCCAGGGCCACCCTCACTCCAGAACTGCTGGTCAGCTCTGTGACCCATCTCTCCTCATGAGCTTGCTCTGGGGTGGCTGCCAAAGCTTCTTTTTAATTATTATGGTCATGCGTGAGAACACTGGGGCCAGAAGCTTCTATTTTTCCAGCGTTTTCTTTCCTGTGGGGCCTCCCAGCTTCAGCCATTCCTTTGTAACTTGGCTGACACCCCTCCAGTTTCCACTTCACTTCATGGGTTCAGAGAAGAGACCATGGTTGCTAAGCCCTGCTGAGTGTCATTTCTGGTGTGTCAGAGTTGACAATTCTCCTGCTTCTTGACTACTCCTGACTCATCTTTACAGAACAGACACATCTCACTTCTTGAGCATCACTGAAGAATGTTCTGTAAAGTAAAATTTCCAGGAAACAGAGCTTACTGCTCAGAACACTCAACTTTAGAAACTTGGAACTATTTTGCACATTAATCTTTGCAGAATCAATTTCACCATGGCTTGCACTCTGAAGCAGAGCTCATGGCACACATTTAACCTTTTCTGAAAACTTAGTACACCCACGCATTCTTAAGCAGAGGTCATTGCATACATTTAATCTTTTCTTGGTAACTTAACACGTCCATTGAAAACAGTAGTGATTATGTATGCCGCAGCAGACAGACAGCATGAGATGGTGGTGACCTTAAGAAATTTATATAAGATCTTGAGGTTTCTGACTCTTCATCTGTGAATGGGGAAAAGAGTAGTTCTGAACCTGTGGGATTAGGGGAGGGGGAAATGAGATAATACATGGAAAGCCCTTGGCATGAGGCTTGGCACATAGTGCCCTAGGATCCCCTGGCAGGAGCGTCTTAAACGTGATTGCTAGGGCCCCATCCAAGGCCAGCCAGATCAATATCTCCAGGGCTGCTGCTGCTCCAGCATCGAGGCTTCTGTTTTCATCTGAGCTCAGCTGCAGCTCTAGTTGGCAACCAGAGATTCTAGGTGTGTCCAGGTGTTTGCCCCAACACTAAATTCCCCATCCTGCTGAAGCTTTGAGAGTTCATATTTTCTTTTTGGAGTTCTTTTCTGCCTCCTCCGTTTCCTAATGCTCTTACAAGCAGCTGATATTTACTAAGGGCCAGTCTCCTAGGCACTGACTGCACTGAGCACTTTGATCAAACACTTTTGTGACTCTTTCACCTTCACCCCAACCTGGTCCCAGGTGGCCACAGTGTTGTTCTCAGGGCCGTGCAGGTGCCCATAGGGTGCATGCCCCTTAAATTTGGGGCCTTAGGCACCTGCTTGCCTTCCCCTAGTTCCAGCCCCAGCCCACCGAGCCCCTGCTCTATTTTCCCCCCTTCATTCTCCACCAGAGTCAGAATCCACGTGGTTTTCTCACTGGTGTGCCAGCCCTTAGAACTGTGCTTGCACACAGTAGGTACTCATGAGTGCATGAGCAAGCGAGTGAGCCCCACAGGGACCCTGTGCATTAGGTTCCATCATTATGCATCATTCCTCTTTTCAGATGAGGAAGCTGAGGCACTCACAGGCTAAATAATTTGCCCAAGGTCCTCAGTAAGTGGAGGCTCCACCCTGGCTCTGAGGTCTTGGCCCTCGCAGACTGCTTCCTGATTCTGTCACTTTGGCTGCCCTGAGACGCTCTGGCTTGCAAAGGGCTCCTCAGTCCGGGAAACCAGTCAACATATTTCTAAAAGGAATTGTGTGATAAGTAAGAGGCCCTGAGTATCTAGGGAGTGTTTTCTCCCTCCCTTTTCCTAACAAGATAAGCCCCGCTATTATTTTCCAACAGATAAAACTGTGAGCTGAGGAAATTTGAAATTTTCTTAATTCTCAGCCCAGTTCTTGACCCAGTTCCTGTTATCCACCACCCAGCAGTGGTGTTTGTCCCTGGGCTGCTGGTTGCCTCTGATGGCTCATTTAGCCTCAGGGAAAGGTGGAAGAAAATGAAAACATCCCAGAGGGAGAGTTAGGCCTCCCAAGAGCGAGTGGCTGCCCCCCTCCAGCTCACAGGTATCTGGCCAGGGTGGGGGCACCGCTGTGTTGTAGACATGCTCCTTAAAGAGTGCTTTGTTCCCACTTGGAGTAGGGGACCCTCCCTCATAGGGCTGTGGCCTCTCTGCCAGCCAGGAAGGGCCTGAAGTCTGATGGAGGAGGGCATCTGAGGACAGGGTCTGAGAGTACACGGTGTGCTGGCCTGCTCTGTGGCTGGGGTCCTTGGGCGACTGCAGGCTGAGGCTGCTCAGCAGTGAGGAATGCTGAGTCAAGAGGATGAACAGCTTCTTTCTGAGAAGCCAGGGTGATCGCTGAGTCATGCCACTCTTGGCTAACACATGTGCAGCCTGCCCGGGGCTTTAGGGCTGAGCATAACCAGTCCTGCTTTTTATCTTCTCTTTCTCAACCCCATCTCTTCTTCAGGAAACATTTACCAGATGTGTGGCTTGAGTGTCCATTCCCGCAACAAAAACGCTCTGCAGTAAAGCTCCGAGATGGCTGTGTTTGTGTTGGACTGCTCTAGATGGTAACTTTGAACTGTGTCTTTCTGCTACTGCCTAGCTGCCTCCTTGCTCTCAGGGAAAGAGCTTCATTTTATTGCAAACGTATGATTAAAGTCATACATGGTCAATATTCTGAACTTTCTATCAGTTCTTAGCATCCCCACGAGGAAGCCTGGCTAATAATGGTGTAAACACAGTGATGGGGCTGTGTGGACTCTGAACTCGCTTCCAGGAATCTCTGAGCTGGGAGTCTGGTGACATGAATTCCATGTGCCGTGTTTTATTCATACCGCCCTGAAGTAAGAGCCATAGAGTTTAACCCCCTACAGAGTGGCTTGTTTCTAATTGATAGGGCTGATTGCCCATCATGAGGGTGGGCCTTTTTTATTGGACTTATTAAGAGACAATAGACTATGTGCATGCAGCCCAGAGTGCATAGAGCAATTTTGAGCCAGTCACGGACACGGAGAGCGGAGGGGAAGGGATAATGGGGCCGTGAGAGGCTCTCCTGCCCTAGGGTACCTCTCTTCCCTGGTATCATGCCCTCATTTCATGGTTGAGGAGAGGAGGAGGTAATGGGATCAGGGAGAGGGTGCACTTGGGAAGAAGAGGGTATATTTCTGGGAAGCCTCATGTAACATGAATGTGTGGTGCAGAGGGCCTGGAGGAAAGTCGCAGTGACTTTGGTATGGGGCAGAGAAGATCATGAACATGGGCACTGTGATAGTGGGGCTGACTTGATACCACCCGCTCCCACTGCCCTCCCACCGCCCTCCCTGTTCTCCAGCTTGTTTGAGGAGTGGTCTGAGCCCTCACCATGTCAATGCTTCACAGCTTCTCCCAACGTCTCAGTGCTGTTGCGTCTGCCTTCTGAAGCGTGTTAAATGTGCATTTCCCTCCGTGTCCACTGCCTTAGCCTGGAGCCCCTTCATCAAGCCCCGGGGACTGTTGTTCCAGCTACTAACTGGTCTCCCTGCCTCTACTTTCCCCTGCTCCAACCCTCTCCCAGCTTCCTAGACAGGGCATCTTTCTGAAGCACAGATCCCTCCTGACAGAGTCTTCCGTGGGAGAAAAAATTAACAACCTGTTATCAAGCATGGCCCCTGAGCCTTTGTCCCCCTGCGGAATGGGGCAGATCCCACTCAGAGGGCAGCACCCTTCCCAGGTTGCTCAAGACCCCTCATCCCCACTTAAGGGGACTAGGGGATTGCATGTGCGGGGCAGGGGCACTGCAGGGAGCACCTGGAGGAGTCCTAACCAGCAGCACCTCACTGGTGCTACACTGCCCAGCTGCTCTCGGTGAGTCAGCACACTGTGGTTGAGCAATGCGAGCCCAGAGGCAGAGTCCAACGTGCTTTGCAGGACTTAGAGGCATTTCCCGGACTCGCGGAGACCTACCTTTCTATTGACTCTCTCTATTTTTTTTTTTTAAACAGTGGCCACCACCCTCCCCCAACCTTGTGCCTTTCCTGGAGCCCCGTCTGCTTTTTTCCTTGCATGTTTTGCACATGCTGTTGGCTTCTGCCATGTGCTTCGTCCTCTTCTCTGTCCAGTGCAGCCCTTTCTGACTTTTCAGTCCCTGCCCAGCTGCAAAGTCTTCCTTCACCCCTTGGGTGCTTTGTGCGCTTGTTTGTTGTAGTGCTTCTCAGGTCTTGTTTTATTTTCTCAATCTGATTTTTAAAGATGAACTTATTTTGTTCTAATTCACAAACAAGAAAATGCACCTGTTTTAAGTGTGCAGTTTGACGAATTTTGAAAAATGTATAGACCTGTGTAATAACCACAACAGGCAAGATATAGGATATTTCTAACCCCTCAAAAGATTCCCTTCTGCCCCTTCCTGGTCAATTCCCCTTACCCCAGTCCTACAAAATTATTGGTTTGATTTCTATCATTATAGATTTGAAGGTCTTTCCTGGAGCTTCATATAAATGGAGCATAGAGTACGTGCTTGTGTGTGTCTAGTTTCTTGCACTCAGAATGATGTTTTGGGATTCATCCATGTTGTGTGCGCCAGTAGATCATGAGCACTATTCAATTGTGTGACTGTGCCACAGTTAGTTTACCAGTTCTCCTGCAGCTTGGGCACTTTCTAATTTTGGGCTATTATTTTTAAACTTACTCTGCAGTACAGCTGTTTCATGGGCAGATATTTTTATTCTCTTGAGTAGACACCTAGGAATGGAACTACTGAGTCAAAGACAGGCATATATTTAGTTTTATATGAAAGTGCCAGCATTCCCCCCCGAGTGGCTGCAGCATTGCACATTCTCCCCAGCAGCGCAGAGAGCTCTGGTTGCTCCGCATCTTTGCCGACATTTGTTCTTGCCCATCTTCTAAATTTTAGCCGTTCTGATAGGTGTGCAGCACTCGCTTGTTGCGTTAATTTACATTCCCCTTTATCACAGTGTATTTTAATTATCTGCTTAAGAGTCAGTCTCACCCGTCAGAATTCAGTGCAGGGAAACTGCATTCACTTTTGCTGGTTGAATGAACAGTCTGAACGCCACATGGTCCTTTTCCTCACTCCACTTAAAATCAAACAGGGACAGCCGGGTGTGGTGGCTCAAGCCTGTAATCCCAGCACTTTCAGAGGCTGAGGTGGGTGGATCACCTGAGGTCAGGGGTTCAAGACCAGCCTGGCCAACATGGTGAAACCCTGTCTCTACTAAAAATATGAGAAATGAGCTGGGCCTGGCGGCGGCGCCTATAATCCCAACTACTCGGGAGGCTGAGGCAGGAGAATTCCTTGAATCCAGAAGGCAGAGGTTGTAGTGAGCCGAGATCGTGCCACTAGACTCCAGCCTGGGCAACACAGCAAGACTCCATCTCAAAACAAACCAAAACAAAAAAACTCCAGTACATCCTGGACAGATGATGCATTGGTGCCAGGTGAAGGTGGGGTGACTGACCATCCCAGTGTGCCCAGGCCTGAGGGATCTCTTGGGCTGCAGGACATTCAATCCTAAAACCAGGACTATCTTGGGCAAACTAGGATGGCTGGTCATCCAGGGAAGGTAAGGGGCCAGCATGAAGATAGCAGTGTGACATTTAGTCATAATTACACCAAAATGGGACTTTCTTTCTCTATAATTGATCTTAACTTAGCTCATGAATCCCTACTTCTGCTTATGGTGGAAAAATTCAGTTTTTTCCAGCTGGTATGGTTTGAATGTGTCCCCACCCAACTCTCACCTTGAATTTTAATAATTCCCACTTGTCAAGGGTGAGGCCAGGCCGGGCACGGTGGCTCACGCCTGTAATCCCAGCACTTTGGGAGGCCGAGGTGGGCAGATCACGAGGTCAGGAGATCGAGACCATCCTGGCTAACACGGTGGAACCCTGTCTCTACTAAAAATACAAAAAATTAGCTGGGCGTGGTGGCAGGCACCTGTAGTCCCAGCTATTTGGGAGGCTGAGGCAGGAGAATGGCGTGAACCCGGGAGGCGGAGGTTGCAGTGAGCTGAGATCGCCCACTGCACTCCAGCCTGGGTGACAGAGCGAGACTCTGTCTTAGAAAAAAAAAAAAAAAGGGGGTGAAGGGGTGAGGCCAGGTGGAGATAACTGAATCATGGGGGCAGTCTCCCTGATACTGTTCTCAAGGTAGTGAATAGGCCTCATGAGATTTGATGGTTTTATAAAGGGCAGTTCCCCTGCACACACTCTCTTGCCTGAAGCCATGGCAGCCATGTAAGATGTGACATTGCTCCTCATTTGCCTTCTGCCATGATTGTGAGGCCTCCCCAGCCATGTGGAACTGTGAGTCCATTAAACCTCTTTCCTTGATAAATTACCCAGTCTTGGGTATGTCTTTATGAGCAGTGTGAGAACAGACTAATACACCATCTCAGGGTCACTCAGGTCCTCTCAGTCCTACATATGGTTACTTAAGGGTTTGAAAGAGCTCAAGATTCTTTGCCTTTCTTCTTTTCCTCTCTTCTCTCATTGCTGCCCACAATTGGAGCTGCTTAGTGATATGGACCTGGTCACTGCACCTTGTGCTGTTGATTTCTGTGTGTCCTGCATGGGCCCTGCATGGGTCCGTGGGGCACGTGCTTTGTAGGAATAGCCCAGGAACTTTCCAAAACCCTTCTGTAGCTTGCTGGGGTGATTTGAACCTTGAGACTTCCCTCAAGCCCATCTTCCCAGGTATCCCTCCCTCCCCTACCCACTGCCAACCCCCTTGTTGCCCATCCACAGGCTCCATCGTGGAGTGGGCTTCAATCCAAGGTTTACAGTCTCTGGCTGGAGCCTGGAAATCAACACAATTTCCTCGTTTTCTCATGCCCCCTACTCCCTAACTTCCATTTCTGCCCCAACCCTAGTCATCTTCCCTCAGTGTTCATTGTGTTATGTGCTGGTTCAAACGTGTACTTCCCTTGAACAGGAACTCTCTGGTTTATGGCATAACGTTATGCTCCAGGCTCTTGATATATAAGGATATGTTCTAGAGTTCCAACAAATAAAAGCAAAAATAAAACCAAAATTCTTCTCTCTCAAGTGGCAGACTTAAAAGTCAAGGTTTTTAAGATTCACATTTTGAAAAATCAGCTTGGTGACTATGCTGGTTTCTCGACTCCATCCTGTGCTTGCCCTCCTGTCAGGGCAGTGCCCGGCGAATGCAACCTGCTGCCTTAGTGTGGGGGCAGAAGGCATAGGGGAGGATGGAGGAGAGAGTCGGCTCTGGAGTGAGGTTTGAAGGCTTACTGGAGATGTGTGACCGGAGATTGACTTTAAAGGGCAAACTTTGGCTAAGGGGGTGCGGGGGCTGGAAACCCCTTCCACAGAAGAAACCTGGCAAGAATCAAAGCACAAAGTTGGCTGCGCCTGGTGTCAGCCCCTGATAAGCAGCCTGACTGCAGGGGAGGACGTGGCTACAGGGCAGATAAGATGTAAGGGTGGCTGAGGAGGTCCCTGGGCAGTTTATCTCATACCTCCCACTGGCTTCTGCGAGCCCAGGTGGGTGCCAAGGTTAGCCACCTCCCCCAAACCTGCTCTCCTATTCGCAGCACAACCCTCCTGGACAAAGCGTTTTTCCTCAGCCTTCACCACCCATGGAGGAGGTGTGATTACCTCTATTCACAGAAAGGAGACTGGGACCCAACCAAGGCAAGTCATTTGCTTCAGACCACAGAGCAAAGAATCATTCTGTCATTCCAGAAATATTTGTCAGGCGCCCCTGGTGTGTCAGGTAGGTGCACCTTGAACATTTGTTTAATTTGTACTTAATAACATTTTCAAGAGGACATTACCTCCTTAAGTGAAAAATCTGTGAGGAGTTTTCTATCTTTCTAAGTCTTTGTGGCACACTTATCACATGCATAGTACTATTTCTCAAGTTACCCAGGCACACACAGATGTATGGCTTTCAGGAAGCCATACATCTGTGTAGCTCTGAGGCCCAGCCTTGTTCAACACTTCACTCAGAAGAATTGCTGGCCTGATGACCAACAATAATTGTCAACAACTTAAAACTTCATTGACGGCTCCTAAAAAAAATCAGTGTGCATGTGTGTGTGTATGTGTGTGTGCGTGTGTGTGTGTGTGTGTGTATGAGTGTGTGTATAACATTCATTACTGCAAACTGGAATGGAGTGGGGCTGGAAGGCAGCCCAGAAGCAAGGCTCAGAGCCTGGAGCTGCTGACCTCTTGGGGACACTGCAGCCCTGGCCTGGCCTACTTTTCTCTTCTCCCATATCTGGAAAATGAAAGTAGCCTGACGTATCCGGGGACCCGGCCCAAGACTCCACCCATTGGCAGCTCTTCACTTGTATCTTTTCATATCAAAAATGGGAGGTGACACCCAGTTTAAGGAAAATTCCAAGGCATTTGTCTCGACTAATGTGAAAGATGATTACAGTGGCCAGAGGACTGCCAAGGCTCCTTCTCAAGCTGCTTGAGTCAATGAGGGTAAGGTTTTAAAGGGCCCGCCCTGGCTTCCTTGGGCCTGTAGTTTGTGACTGTGTCGTTTTCAGAGTGGGAAGGCCCAGAGTTGGCCCCATGGAATTCTTTCTGCTTCTAGGGTGTTTGAAGAGATAGAAAGCCAGGGTAAGGTTCACCGAACCTCCAAGCAAAAATAAATTTCCAGAAGGGGCCCCTTTACTCTGAGGACATTGAATAGCAACAAAAACTACCACTGAAGAGTCATTTTGTCCCAGGCCCTGTGCTGGAAACTTTGAACACCTGTGTTCACCCCTCCCTCATGACACTCATGAAGATATACCATGGCTGTCTTTATTTTCTAGGTGGGAATCTCAGGCTTGAGGGTTGGGGTGGCTTGGGGAAGGTGTGTATCTAAGAGGTAGCTCTTATTTATTTTTACTTCTAGAGATTAAGACACATTCTTTTTCAAGATAGACATGGAACTGTCAAAAAGGATTAAAAGTTAAATAAGGATAAGGTTATGTAAATTGATCTTATGTAAAAAAAAACACTAAGATATTTGAAGACTAGGCATCATTATGTGTTATATCATGATTTTTAAAATGATGCTACCAAGAGTACTTCAGAGGTCCAAAGCTGAAATATATTTGTATACTTATATATATAAAGTAAGGGATACTTATTTAAAACCTCAAAAAATCAGAAGTATGTAAAGGAAGAAATAAAAGCTCCCTCTTCCCTTCTGATTCTAATTTATATCAAATTTATATCTCTATCTGTAGCTCAATTTGCCTTTTTAACTAAATAGGGTGATATCACACATATCATTCCTTAACACTTTTCTCTCTTAACGACTTCTAATGGACATCTATTTGTGGCACTGTATATAGGGCATACTTTCTTGAAAAATCCATTGCATGGTATTTTATTCTTGAATAAATCACTTGCATGGCATTTTATTGTAAGATTGTGTCATAATGTATTTATTCAGTTCCCTGGTGATGGCTTTATCATGTGGCTTTTGGCTGAAAGTATCAGAAAGTGGCCCAAACTGGCTTACATAAATTTACCATCTCATGTAACTGAAGTTCAAAGAAAGAGTGGCTTCTGAGTGGGTTCCATACTACTAGCATAATATTTGGCATTTCCCTGTATGTCCCCTCCTCTGTGTGTTGGTTTTGTTTGAAGATTCTTTCCCTTTATGGTGGCAAAATGGTTTTTGTAGTGGCACCAGGCTTTACAACCTCTTGTGAGGGAAGAGGGAGAAATGCCATGCCTTAATGTGCCAAGAAGGAGGTGTGAGATCCACCCTGGTTGAACCCCATGGTGCCGGTGTCCTCTCCTAGACCAGTGGCTGCCAAGGGCCATCTTCCGAGGAAGCACCTGGACTATACATCCTCCACAATGGGCCCTTAGAATTGGTCCATATTTTTCAAAATTGCAAATAATGTGTAAAATCATTGTACTTGGCCGGGTGTGGTAGCTTATGCCTGTAATCCCAGCACTTTGGGAGGCCGAAGTGGGGGGAATCAGCTGAGGTCAGGAGTTCGAGACCACCCTGGCTGACACGGCAAAACCCCGTCTCTAGTAAAAATACAAAAAAATTAGCTGGGCATGGTGGCCTGTGCCTGTAATCCTAGCTACTAGGGAGGCTGAAGCAGGAGAACTGCTTGAACCCGGGAGGTGGAGGTTGCAGTGAGCCGAGATTGTGCCATTGCACTCCAGCCTGGGTGACAGAGCAAGACTCTGTGTCACCAAAAAAAAAAAAAAAGAAAAAAATTCGTACACTTTACATATAGCACTGTTTACTTGGGCAATTATCTGTTTAGGATAAACTAGAAATAATATTGCTAAGCCAAATAGAATATAGGTTTTAAAAGTTTGGCGCTTTATCCTCCAAAACAGATTTTAATAGTTTACACTTGTAATAGATGTACCTGGTTTCTTATACCTCACTTACTGGAATATTAGAAATCGTTTAGTCTCTACCAAAACATGGCATTTTTCTATTATCTTAATTCACATTTCTTTGGTTATTAGTAATCTTGAACATGTTTTTCACGTCTATTGGCTTTTTGCTTTTTGCTTATTGCTTTTTGCTTCTTTCTTTTTTCTTCTGTGGACTGTTTATTCATGTCTTTTGCAGTATTCTCTCTTGGATTTGTGAGAATTGTTTATTTATTATAAACATTAAACCTTGATTGGTAATACATGTTGCAAATATTTTTCCCTAAGTTTTCATTGATTTGCCAAACTTAGTTTTTTTTTCCAAGTTGTCTTTTCTATGCAAAAGTTTTCGCTTTTTTGTAGGTGAAACTATGAGAAATTTTCCTTTACCATTTCCGAGTTTAATGTCATGCTAAGTCCTTCCTGTCTTGGGAAGATGTGTTCACAGCCCACTGACTGAAGGCCCTTCCCGGCCAGTTCTGAGCTTGAGCTGAGTCAAATGTAAACAGCTCCTGGGGCTGTGGGTATAGAAACTCCCTTTCTCTTTGGGTCTGGAATACCATGATGCCTTTTCCCTGTCCTCATTTTTCTTAAATGTTTTCATTTAATCCAGGCATTATGTACTGGGGGATCAACTATTCGCAAAACTCAGTAAAAGGCGGATTCCCAAGGCTCCACTTTGGATGCAGTAGGTCTGGGGCCAAAGCATGTGAGAAAAAAAGTGTCAGCATTTATTCATTCCACAGCTATTTCATGAGGGTTCAGGGCATCATTCTGGGGACCACGGATACAATACGGTGAACATCATAGACAAGGTTCTTATTCTCATGTAGCCTAAATTCTACTGGGGGAGATGGATAATAGGTGAACAAATAAACAAACAAACTCATCTGGCACCAAAAAGTCCACTAGGCAAAGTGCTGACTGTGAAGAAAAGCTGGGGTGGAAAGAGAGGCCATGGCCCCTGCAAAATGGAATAGGAACAAAGATTTAATCATTTGCCTCTGAAAAATCTCAGTGATGAGTTCCTTCCCTCCCTTCCCTCAACCTCCAGTGTAGAGGAGACTGATGATGATTGACAGGGAAGCACTGGTGGCTTCTCAGAAGTCCATGTGCCTCTTCCACTGCCTTAGTCACCCCTTACTCTGCATTTTCACAGAATCTCAGTGAAATTGCTTAAACCTCTGAGTACCTGAGAGATACTCAGGGCTCTTTCTTGGATGCCAAATAGATAAAATATTGACTCTTAAACATATGTCTGAATTCCTCTTGCCTTTCCAAGGTAGGAGACCATACCATACTCATTTGACAGCACCATTTACGGTCAACAAATCTCTAAGCTCAAAGAAGAGAAGAGGCAAAAAGCAACCCTACCTTATGCAATTAAAAAAAAATCTCCCTTTATAGAGTTTCATTGACCCTTTCTTAAAACCCCCTAAAATGGACGTCAACAATGCCCCTCTTTTATGATGAGAGGATGGAGGAGCAAACAGGTCGAGGGACTTATTCCAATCGAACGTCTCAGTAGCTCAGTCCCAAGGAGCTCTGCCCCAGTAGTGCCACTTCAAGTCCCATGTTCTTTTCATCTTGTGAGTGATGAGCAGCACGTGGTCTCTAGGTTTGCAATATAATTTAGGATTTACTCCTTGGGTTTAGTTTTGGTAACTCTCAAAGAAGTTCAAATATTAAGAATTTTGCTAGCTGTTTTAGTAATCTATTGCTGTGTAACTACCTCTTCCCCTACCCCCAGTCCAGAAAACAACAACCATCTTCTCTTTTCTCGTGGTTCTGTGGGCAGTTCTGCTCCACATGACGTGGTCTGGGGCTGCAGTCCTGTGGATGCTTCTTTGGGCTGGTGAGGTTCCATATGGTGCTTTCACACGTCTGGTGCTTTGGTGAGACAGTGGGGAGGCTGGGCTCAGATGGCAAGCTGTGATGACTGGGCCTATCTGCCCATGTCATCTCTGGGCCTCTCCATATGGTCTTTCTGCATTCTCTCCAGCCGGGTGGCCTATTCCTTACATGGTAGTTTGGGGCTCCTAAAAGTGCAGACATGGAAGCTGTTCAACCTTTGTGAGATGCTGCCCCAGAGCTAGCCTAACATCCCTTCCTCTGCCCTCTATGGGTAAAGCAGAAGCACCAAATTCAAGCTGGGAGGAAAACAAACTTCCTCTTTCAAAGGCGAAAGTGACAAAGAATTTGCAGGCCGTTTAAATCCACCACATTGTCCAGTCAGGAGCACCCATTTTCTCATTGACCTTCTGCTAAGTGAAGAGGTAGAAGGAATTTTCACAATGGCTTTTAGAAAAGTAAAACAATACAGGAAGGGATTTTGCTGTCATTTAAAACATGGTCTGCTCCAGATGGAGGATTTGGTGATTTTTATTTTCTTCTTTACTAAACATTTCTGCATTTCATGAAGTTTTTCAGTGCATCATTTTTATTATCAGAAAAACAATGACATTTTATTAAATATATATATATTTAACTCATTAATTATCTAACTCATTGAATATATATTTTCATTCTATATGTATATATATGTGTGTTTACATATAAACGTGTGTTATGCGTATTCTTTATACATTTTTCTCTTGTTTTTTGAGTTGGACCTTGGCAAAGTCAGTGGTGACACCTGGATTACCTTGTGTTAACTTTAATCAGTTATGTGACATCCATGGGATTGGCAAGTAAAACAAGTTATTGGTAGTGGGAGTTTGAATAGATGGCTTCTAAACACCCTCCCAGACACTGTACCTTCAACTCTCTGATCTCATCCAATCCAGACCAACACTTCTTTACTAAGTTTCTCTGTTAATCAGTTTGCACAGGAAAATGTTTCCATTCAACACATATGTATGATGAGCATGTTGTGACACTGGCTCTGTGTAGACATAGTGGGCACTGAGGAAATCTGGGGATCCTGCCATTAGGAGCTTGTGAGCTGGCGGGGAGCTATGGTGATGCACAAAATTATAACACATGCTAAAAGAACACAGTTAAAAGAGAAATAAAATTTAAATGTTAAAGAGGTGATTACCAGTTATTTGAAAAAAAAATTCACCTCTTTCCAAGGAGATTAGATTTCTACTTTTAGAATTCTTCATACAAATACACATATTTTGAGTTCTTGATCTCAGAACCCCATTGCATATATTGCATGCAACTGGTTTGCAAGTTTTTGGTACACACCCACCCCACACATACCTGATTGCCTACTGCACTTCCTAGAAATGTCGAGGAAGCCTAGATGACAGAAGTTAATTTCTTCCCAGGGAATGTAAAGCATATCTTGGCAGATAAGAACGAAAATACAGGTTAAAGACAGAAGATTTCACTGGGAGTGGCTATGAGGAGCCATTTAAATTTCTAGCAGCAAATGGGTGGCACAATTGGCTTTAAGATGATCAATCTATTGGCAGTGTATCATAGAGCTTCCCAACTTATCTGTGCCAGGGAGGGATCAACAGTGCACACCTGAAACTTATTACAGACTAATTTCAAGTGATATTGTACTGCTTCAGGTATGATATAAGAACTTTATAACGCTTTCATTTCTCCCTTCCTGGTCTTTGTGTTATTATTGCTGCACATTTTCCTTCTACATATGTTATGAGACCCACAATACATTTTTAATTTTGCTTCAGTTATGTTTTGAAATGTTTTAATTAATAAAAATATCTTACTTATGTACCCATGTAGTTACCATTTCTATTGCTTCGTATTCTTTTTTTTTTTTTTTGAGATGGAATCTCACTCTGTCGCCTAGGCTGGAATGCAGTGGTGTGATCTCGGCTCACTGCAAGCTCCGCCTCCCAGGTTCACACCATTCTCCTGCCTCAGCCTCCCAAGTAGCTGGGACTACAGGCGCCTGCCACCATGCCTGGTTAATATTTTGTATTTTTAGTAGAGACGGGGTTTCACCGTGTTAGCCAGGATGGTCTCAATCTCCTGACCTCGTGATCCACCCACCTCATGTTTCCATTTGGTATAATTTTCTTTTTATCTGGAGGGCTTCCTTCAACATTTCTTATAGTGCAGGTCTGCTGGTAACAAATTATTTCAGTTTATAGATGTCTGAAAATGACTTCATTTTATCTTCATTTCTGAAAGACATTTTTGCTGCATAAATTTTTATAGGTCTAGAATTATTTCTTTTAGCCCTTTAAAGATATTGATCTAGGGTCTTTTGGCTTGCATTGTTTCTAATGAGAAATCTGCTGTCATTCTTTTTTCTTTTTTTTGCTCTTCTTTGGCAGCTTTTAAGATTTTCTCTTTAGCAGGTATTGTAAGCATTTGATTATGATGTACCTTAGTGTAGTTGTCTTCATATTTTTTGTATTAGGGCTTGTTGCCCTTCTTGGATCTGTGGGTTTACAGTTACTGTATTTGGGGGGTTTGTAGCCATTATTTATTCAAATTTTTTTTCTATTAATTCCTCTCTCATAATCCCCCCTTGAGGGACTTCCATTACACATATATTTGGATATTTTACATTGTTCTACAATTCATTAATGCTCTGCTCATTTTTTCAATCTTCTTTTCTCACCGCTTAATTTTGGGTAGTTTCTATTGCCATGTCTTGAAATTTACTAATTTTTGTTTTTCTTTCTTTCTTTTTATTTTATTTTTTTTGAGAGAGAGTCTTGCTCTGTTGCCCAGGCTGGAGTATAGTGGTGCAATTTCAGCTCACTGCAACCTCCACCTCCTGGATTCAAGCAATTCTCACATCTCAGCCTCCTGAGTAGCTGGGATTACAGGTGCCTGCCACCATGCTGGTCTAATTTTTGTATTTTTAGAGATGATGGGGTTTTGCCATTTTGGCCAGGCTGGTCTTGAACTCCTGACCTCAGGTGATCCACCCACCTTGGCCTCCCAAAGTGCTGGGATTATAGGTGTGAGCCGTGGCACCCGGCCGAAGTTTACTAATCTTTTCTTTTGTAATGTGAATTTGCCATAATACAATCTAATGTGTTTTCTCAAATCTAAGATACAGCTGATTTTATCTCAATTAGTTATTTTACCTTAAAAAAATCTCTTTTGTGTCTCTGTTCAACATGCTTGATCTTTCCTCTAGCATCTTGGCCTTATAGAATAGTCATAATAAATGTTTTCATGTCCTTGCTTGTTAATTCTTGCTCTGTGTTAGTTCTGCATCAGTTTTGATTGATTCATTTTTCTCCTCCTGTTGGTTATATTTTCCTGCTTCTTTGCATGCATGGTAATTTTTTATTGGATCGTAGGCATTGTGAGTTTGACATTCAGGTTAGACCTAACATATACAGAACACTCCACACAAGAACAGTGAAATACACATTTTTATCCACTGCATGTGGACTATTTTCCAGGGTTGACCATATGTGAAGACATAAAACAATGCTTAGTACACTAAAAAAAGAGAGAAATCATACAAAGTATATTCTCTGATCACAACGAAATGAAATTAGAAATCAATAAAAGAAGAAAATTTAGGAAAGTCACAAATATGTGAAAATTAAACAATATACTCTTAAATATCAAATGGGTCAAAGAAGAAATTAAAAGAGAAATTAAAAATACTGTAAGATTAAAGAAAATGAAAGCACAATACACCAAGCTTATGGGATGCAGCTAAAGCTATACATAGAGAAAAAATTAAAGAAATAAATGAGTATATTACAAAAAAGGATCTTAAATGACTTATCATTCCACTCTAATAAACTAAAAAAGAAGAGAATACTAAATGCCAAATATCAGAAGGAAGTTCATAATTAAGATCAGAGTAGAAATAGATAAAATGGGGAATAGAAAAAAATAGAGAAAATCAACAAACCAAATGTAGGTTATCTTCTCTGAAAAGATAAACAAAACTGGCAAAGCATTCACTGGACTGATCAAAAATTGAAAGATGACTCAAATAACTAAAATCAGGAATTAAAGAGGGGACCTTACAGAAATAAGAGGGATTATAAGGGAATACTACGAAAAAATTATATGCCAACTAATTAAAAAGCCTAGTTGAAAGGCACAAATTCCTAGAAAGACACAACTGAAACTGGATCAAGAAGAAATAGATAATCTGAATGGGACTATAATAAATAAAGACACTGAATTAGCAGTCAAAAAACTTCACACACACACACACACACACACACACACACACACACAAGAAAAAAAAAAGGAAAAAAGCCCATGCCCAGATGGTTTCACTGGTGAATTCCACCAAACATTTAAAAGAGATGAGCAGCAATCCTTCAGAAAACTATTTCAAAAAGTTGAAAAGGAAGGGACACTTGCGAATTCATCCTAGAAAGTCAGTATTACCCCGGTACCAACACCAGATGAAAACATCATATGAAAAGTAAAATAAAGACCAATATCCCTGATGAATACAGACATACAAATCCTCAGCAAAACACTGGACATGAAATAGAGCAGCTATAAAAGAATCATATGCCATGACCAAGTGGGATTTATCCTAAGAATGCAACATTATTTCAACATCCAAAAATCAATCAATGTAATGCAACATATTAATAGAATAAAGGATGGAATTGCATAATCATCTCAATAGATGCAGACAAAATGTCTGATAAAATCTGACACCCTTTCAAGATTAAAAACAACAACAACAACAACAACAAACCAACAAAAATCAGCAGAGTAGTAATAGAAGAGGACTTTCTTAACCTGATAATGGGCATCCAAAAAACCCCACAGCTAACATTATACTTAATGATCAAAGACCAGTAGCTTTCCCTCTGTGATCAGGAAGAAGAGAAGGATGTTTAATCCTACCACTTCTATTCAACATTGTACTAAGAATGCTAGCTAGGGAAATTTGGCAAGAAGAAATAAAATTCATATTGGAAAAAACCAGCTCTATTCTCAAATGACCTGGTCTTGTATATAGAACATTCTAAGGAATCCACTAAAAACTATTAGACTACTAAACAAGCTCAGTAAGTTTGCAAGATACAAAATCAATATATGAAAATTAATTGTATTTTTATATATTAGCAATGAAAAATTTGAAAATGAAATTAAGAAAACAATTCTACTTACAATAGCTTCAAAAAGAATAAAATAGCATAAACTTAAGAAAAGAAGTATAAGACTTGTACACTAAAAGTATAAAATATTATTGAAAGTAATTTTAAAATCGCTCAATTAATTGAAAGACATCCCATGTTCATGAATCAGAAGACTTAACTTTTTTAAAGATGGCAGTACTCCCCAAATGTATCCCAGATTTATCACAATCCTTATGAATATCCAAATTGCCTTTATTGCAGAAATTGAGAAACTGCTCATAAAATACACAAGGAAATGCAAAGGATGGAGAATATCCAAAACAATCTTGAAAAATAACAAAGTCAATGACTTACACTCCCATTTTAAAACTTACTACAAAGCAACGGTATCCAAGACAGTAGGATGTTCTCAGAGTATAAATATAAAAATCAATAAAAATAGAATTAAGAATTCAGAAATATGCCCTTACGTTTATGGTCAATTGGTTCCAAGAAAGATGCCAGCAATTCAGTGGGGGAAAGAATAATCTTCTTAATAAAAGGTGATGGGACATCTGGATATCCACATGTGAAGAAAAAATTTGCATCTCTATCTCATACTGTACACAAAAATTTACTCAAAAAGCAATCATAGAACTAAACGTATGATCTAGAACTGCAAAACTCTTAGAAGGAAATATAAATATAAATCTTTGTGACCTTGAATTGGGCAATGCTTCCTTAAGTATACAGCGCCAGAGCACAAGCAACAACAAAATAGATAATTGCACTTCACCAAAATTAAATCCTTTCATGTTTTAAAGTACTCTCTTAAGAAAGTGAAAATATAGCTCATGGAGTGGGATAAAATATTGGCAAATTATCTGATAATGAACTTGTATCCATAATATGCACAAATCTCTGATAAATTAACAATAAAAAGACAACCCAATTAAAAAGTGAGCAAAAGATTTGAATGGACATTTCGCTGAAGAAGATAGATAAAGGGTTGCTAAGCACATTAAAAGATGCTCGACATTACTGGTCATTAGCAAACGCAAAGCAAAACATACTAAGATGCCATCCACTAGAATGACGGGATGAAAGAGGCCAGAAATAATAAATGTTAGTGAGGACATAGAGAAACTGGTACACTCATTTATTACTGGAAGGAATGTAAGATGGTACAGCTACTTTTAAAATAGTTTGTGGTTCTTTGAAATGTTCAACATAGAGTTGCCATATGACTCAGCAATTCCACTCCTAGGTATCTATGTGACATAATTAACAACACAAAAATCTGTACACCAATTTTCATAGCAACATTATTCAAAATAGCCAAAACATAGAAACAACCCAAATGTCCATTAATGGATGAATGGATTAACAATATGCAGTATATCCAAACAACGGAATATTATTCAGCCATGGAAAGGAGTGAAGTACTACCTATACACAGTACAACATAGAGGAACCTTGAAAGCATTATGCTAAGTGAGAGGAGCTAGTTACAGAAGCCCACACATTGTATAATTCCATTTATATGGAATGCTTAGAATAAGCAAATTTATAGAATCAGAAAGTAGTATATAGATTGCCAGGGGCTAGAAGAAAGGGGAACGAAGAGTGATTGCTAATGAGTATGAAGTTTCTTTTGGGGGTGATGAAAATGCTCTGAAATTGGATAGTGGTGATGGGTGCGCAACTCTATGAATATACTGAAACCCTTTGAATTGTACACTTTTAAAAGGGTAATTTTATGCTGTGTGAATGACATCTCAATAAAATTCTCATTAAAATAAGAATATATGAGAGTATCTATTTCTAACTGTAGAGATTTTTGCAAATCCTGCAGAAATATGCTGAATTAGTTACAACCAGCTAAGGGAGCCTGGGATGGAAGAGTTTGAACCACACCCAATGGCCTGCATCTGGTGCTCTCCCAAGATCCATGGAAATAATCTTCCAACCTGCAATGTACCAGGGCATCTACCAGCCTGGCTCCACGGTGGTTTCAGGCATTGCTCTACAAATGATCAAGTTTTCATTCTAGAGTACGAATGAGGATTGAGTTAGACTAACTGTACAAGGGACAGGAAATAACAGCTCCTTCCCTGTCCTGGGGTCAGTGGTTTGAAAAGCACCCCATCTATCAGTGAATATCCAGCTTCCTGACAAAGAAAAGGGCTAGGGGATTTGCCCCCACCCTGTTTAGAAGGCGAAGGCGAATTAGGCCTGAATGGCGACTTGATTCTCATCTGAATATCAGAGAAACACATGTGTTGCAGGCTACACTGGAAGTCCTAATGGCTTCAGTTTGATAGTGGATTTGGGCTTAATGGTTGAGCAACTCCAGTGGCTTCCTCTCTTGATTACGTTGGTGGCTGTGAGATGAACTACCCAGTCATCAGTCATCATTATCAATGGCCCATTTGCCTGGGATGCTTTGGAAGAATGAAAGAGAGTAAAGGCAGTTCTACTTTTAAAGAAGTTAAAACATGGGCTACAGAGCATTTTCGTTTATTGTTTATCAAATGTTAGCCTGCCTCAGAATACCTGGAGGGCACAGATTCCTAGGTCCCACCTCTGGAGCTGCTAAGTCAGTTGATGTGGGCAAATAACCTAACACCTTGGCATTCACTTCCAGGTTTTCTTCATTTCCTCGTCCTCCCTTTCCTTCTTCAAATGTTCTCCTGTTCCTTCTTGGCTTTATAACTATCTTTGTCTCTGCTTCCCTTCCTATACATTGCCTTAATTAATCCTTTAATTTAGATTAAATTAAAGGATAAATATAAATTAAAGGATAAATTAAAGGATAAATCTAATCCTTTAATTTAAATATTATTTCTGGAGATATATTTGCCATGTGATCCATTTTGTTTGTTAGAAAAACACAAGAGAAAAAAATTGCTGATAATCTTCTCAAAAAGGATTATCTTGTTTGTTCTAAAGCCAAGGATGTATAGTGCATCTTGGAATGTTTTGGATTGAGGTGGGACATTTGCTTTCTTTTTGTTTTCAAACATCATTAATTTACTTGGTATAAGAACTTCAGAATCAGCATAAAGTAAAAGTAGTTTCTTAGGAATAGTGTCATGATAATTCCATGCACTTAACATGAGGTAGGTGATAACGGAAGTAGTGGTTTTCTTGATTTTTCTTATTCAAACTGCTTCATCAAACAAAACAAAACAGAACAAACGCCCTGGAGACAGAGAGTCTTATTGTGCCATAGTATTTCTCTTTCTCTCTCTTTTTTAAATATTTCAAGCGAGCATGCCATCAGCAGGGCTGTCTTCACTGAGCTATTTGTTGCTGGGAGATGTTGTAGACTGTTGCTCGGTCAGTGCAAATGAGAGCTGCTAGCCTCGCTGTAACCTCGCTGGCTGGGTACTCTCAGAGATTGTTAAGAGTTTTAAAATTTTTCTAATCACTAAGCATGTTAGGAAACCAGAGCTTTGTGTATGAAGAACAACTTCCTCTCAGGGACTGTACTCAAGGCTGAGGTTTGGACCTCAGCCAATTTTATGAACGAACAGGAACAATGTCAAAAACATCAGGATTCCTGGTCATGAGGACCAGAGGGGGCCACTCCAATGGGATGGTAAGCTTCTGTAGGGCTGGCACGTGACTTTGCACCCCTGATGCTCCGCATGAAGGGATTTTCTGCACCCAGCAAGTGCTGACTGATTTCCTGAGGACACTTAGTCCTACTCTAAACTCTAAGAAGGTCTAGGGCCACATCAGGAAAGTGAGATTCATGCACTGACTCATTTCCACACTTCAGAGGACACTTTCTTTGAGTGGGTGTTTGGAAAAAAATGCAAGGTAGATGTAATTCTCCACACATCAGCTGATGACTCGTACTGACAGTGTCTAGAATAGAACTTTTTTTTTCCTTTTGGGTAGGTACCTTCTCCCCAGATGGATGGTGTGTTCCCCAGAGTGCCGAGGTATTTCTGGGTGAAGTAATATTGTTCCCTTGTGTGTAATCCTACTAGTTCTCTTTCATGAAGTAGCTGGAATGTCTGAGTGGTCAAGGGTAATCCCTGAGCTGGCCTTGACACAAACAGATACGGGCTCTTCCATCCTTGGGTCCCTCTGTTCTGACACCTGATGACACACTTAGGAGTTTTCCTCTAGTACCTAAAACTATAGTTAGTAGGTACTTAGAAACAATTACAAGCTGTGCTAATGCTTTTTAAAAGTGGAAATATCGGCCAGGTGTGGTGGCTCACACCTGCAATCCCAGCACTTTGGGACGCCGAGGCAGGTGGATCACGAGGTCAGGAGTTCAAGACCAGCCTGACCAATATGGTGAAACCCCATCTCTACTAAAAATACAAAAATTAGCCAGGCATGGTGATGGGCGCCTGTAATCCCAGCTACTCAGGAGGCTGAGGCAGGAGAATTGCTTGAACCTGGGAGGCAGAGGTTGCAGTGAGCCGAGATCACGCCACTGCACTCCAGCTTAAGCGACTGAGCAAGACTCCGCCTCAAAAAAAAAAAAGTGGAAATAGCAATATGTGCTTTAGCTAAATATTAATTTTGTTTTTGCCCTGCCTTTTAGCTCTGTGGTCTTGACCAAGGCCTCATAGCGACTCTGAATCTCTTGCGACTCTGAATCTCTTGCGACTCTGAATCTCTCGCAATCTCAATTTTCTTGTTTGCAAAACTAAGATGTAGCAGTTATAATGTGAGGCGCAAATGAGAAAGGCCATACAAAAACCCTAACCAAAAAATCCAGTAAAATGAAGCTCAGTTAAACTAAAGACAGCCCGTTGACATCTTTTGTGCGTTTCCTCCTTGGTTCCCAGGAATGCTGGAAAAAGAGGCATTTGTTCTAAACATGGAAATGCAGCAAAATAATGATTCTTTTATGGCCTGGTGGTCTGGTTTGACACAATCAATAACTAAAATAAATACACACAGCGTACAGCCCTGTAATAATAGAGGTTGCTCGGAATCAACTCACAGTAGTAAAAATCCTGGTTGAGAAATTATCCCCAAAGATGATATGATTTTATCGCCCCGTACAAAGTTAACCAGTCTTATACATAATATGGATCTTTTCAAACTTTTAAATGAAGTATAATGCATACACAGAACAGTGAACTCATCATGGGCAACTAAATTAATTTTCACAAAATCATATTTTGTGAATATGCTATGATTTATTAATACATTGTACTGCTGATGAACATTTGGATAGTTTCTGGTTTTTGGCTAATAAATATAGGGCTGCTATGAGTATTTTTGTATACATACTTTGGTTGACATTTCTACTATTTTCTGTTGGTCTTGTACCTGTGAGTGAAATTACTGAGTCATAAGATATGTATTTGTTCCTCAGCAGTAGTTACTGCTGCCACACAGCATGGTTCTGCTAATATGTACTTCCAGTGGGAATGTTTGACAGTTCCAGCTGATGGAAATCTTTACCAGCGTTTAATATTTTCTCTTATTCATTTTCACCATTCTGGTAAGAGTGTCCCGCAATTTCATTCTGGCTTTAATTGAATTTCCCCAATGGCTAATGCAGTTGAACACTTTTTCAAATTATTTTTTGGCCATTTAAATATTTTCTTTTGTTAAGGATCAGTTCAACCTTTTGTTTGTATTTCTATTGGGTTACCTAGATTTTTCTTACTGATTTGCAGTGGTTTTTAATGCATTCTGGGTAAGAACACTTTGTCAGCAGTATCTATTCCAAATACCTGCTTCAACTCTGTGGATTGCATTTCATTTCCCTAATGGTGTCTTTGGATGAACACACCTTGATTTATCAATAGTCTTTCTTTGATTATTAGAATATTTTGTGTCTGTTTTACAACTATTTGCCTACTCCAAAGTCATAAAAATTTTCTCCTGTGCATTTCTTTAAAGGCTTTATTGTTTTACTTTTCACATTCAGATCTGCAGACCAACAATTAAGATTTGGATATGGTATTAAGCAGTGGCTCAAGGTTCAATTTTCATTTCTCCATTTGACTATCCAAATGATTCAGTGCCATTTAGAGAAATGAATACTCTTTTCTCTCTTCAGTTCAGTGGCGTGTTGGGCATAAATCAGGTAACTATGTAGGTGTGTATGAGTCTTTTTCTGGACTATTCATTCTATTGCATTGGCCAGTTTGTATAAATTTTCACTGAAATGCTGTCCTAATTACTATAGCCCTGATATAAAATGCTATCTAGTAGGGTAAGTCTTTACTATTCCTCAAGATTGCCATAGCTATTATTTGCATTTAATATTTTCATATGAATTTTAAAATCACCTGTCAATTCCCACAAAATACCAACAGCGATTTTGATTGGGATTGCAATTAATTTATAAATCAATTTGGGAATAACTGACAACTTTACAACATCAAATCTTTCAATTATTGAACATGCTACATTGTATAGCTCCATTTATAAGATATTCTTTAACTTCTCTTGGCAATTTTTAAAATTTTTCAGTGTAGGGAACTTACATGTTTTTCATATTTTCAGAAGAATCACTGTCTGTGTCAGCAATAGCTTTATTTTTAGGTGGTTACTATTTTTAGTGAGCTTGTACATGAAGTAATTTTTGAAACATTTCATTTATGACTTGTTCGTTGATAGAAATAAAAGTGATTTTAATATTGACCTTTTATCCACTAGCACTGCTAAACTTGTTTACTGATTTTAATAATCTGTACATGCTTGTGAATATTCCAGAAAAACAATCATGCCATCTGCAAATAATGGCATTAATTTTTAAAGGGTGGTTTCACTGGGTAAGATTTCTTAATTGACAGTTTAGTTTTCTTTAGGTGCTTAGAGTATGTTGTTCCAATGCCTTTTGGCCTCCGTACTTTCTCATAAGAATTCAGTTGTTAATCACTTCATTGTATTTCCTGTATGTGATGGGTCGTTTTTCTCTAGCTGCTCTCAGGATATTTTCTTTATCATTGGCTTTTAACAATTTGCTTATGATGTGCTTTCTTTGTGATTATTCTTTGTTGGGTTGTATTGAGCTTGTTGAATATGTAAATTAATATTTTTCACTGTTTGAAAAGTTGTCAGTCATTATTACTTTAAATATTTTCTACGCCTTTCTCCCCCTCTTTTTTTTTGGGGATTTTAATTACATATATTTTGGCAGAGCCAGGGGCTCTGTTTATTTTTCAACAGACTTTTTTTCTTTGTGATCTTTCAACTGTGTAAAAAACTCACTAGTTCTTTATCTGTCACTAATCTGCTCTGGGAATCACCTCGTAAATTAAAAAATTCTCGTTACTGTTCTTTCCAGCTGTTTTTAAACGTTATCTAGCCTCCCTTTCTCTCTCAAAGATTTTATATTTGTTCACTCATCAATATCTTATTTAAAAATTATTTGAACATGTTTCTCTTTATTTTTTTGAGCATATTGATACACAACATGTGGACCTACTCAGAGTGACCTACATTTTTGAAGCCCATATTTTTTAAGATGTAGAATTCCAGTTTTGCAATTATTTTCCACTCACACATTAAATATATTATAGGTGTATCTCAGAGATATTGTGGATTTGCTTCCAAACCACTGCAGAAAAGTGAATATTGCAATAAAGCAAGTCACAATTTCTTTTTTTTTTGGTTACCCATTGCATGTAAAAGTTATGTTTACACTATACTGTAGTCTATTAAATGTATGGTAGCTTTATGTCTAAAAAACAATGTACATATCTTAGTTAAAAATACTTTTTCACTTAAAAATGCTAACAATGATCTAAGGCTTCAGTAAGTTGTAATCTTTTTGCTAGTGGGAGGTCTACCCTTGATGTTGATGGCTGCTGACTGACCAGAGTGGTGGCTGCTGAAGGTTGGGGTAGCTGTGGCAATTTCTTAAAATAAGACAACAATTAACCATGCCACAGCGATCAACTCTTCTCCTCTTGAAAGATTTCTCTGTAGCATGTGATGCTGTTTGACAGCATTTTACCCAAAGTAGAACTTCTTTCAAGATTGGAGTTAATCCTCTCAAACCCTGACACTGCTTTCTCAATTCAGTTTAGGTAATATTCATAATCCTTTTGATATGGTTTGGCTCTGTGTCCCCACCCAAATCTAATGTCAAATTGTAATTCTCGTGCATCAGGGGAGGGACCTGGTGGGAGGTGACTGGATCATGGGAGCTGTTCTCATGATAGTGAGTGTGAGTTCTCATGAGGTTTGATGGTTTAAAGGTGTGGCATGTTCCCCCTTGCTCTCTCTCCGTCTCTCCTGCCACCGTGTAAGACGTGCCTTGCTTCCTCTTCACCTTCTTCCATGATTGCAAGCTTCCTGAGGCTGCTCCAGCTATGTGGAACTGTGGGTCAATTAAACCTCTTTCCTTCGTAAATTACTCAGTTCTTTCTTTATAGCAGTGTGAAAATGGACTAATATACCCATGTTGTCATTTCAGCAAATGTTCACAGCATCTTCACCAAGAGTGGATTCCATGTCAAGAAATCACTTTCTTTGCTCAACCATAAGAAACAACTCCTCATTCATCCAAATTTGGTCATGAGACTGCAGCAATTGATTCCACCTTCAGGCTCCACTTTTAATTCTAGTTCTCTTGCTATTTTCACCACATCTGCAGTTACTTCCTCTACTGAAGTCTTGAACCCCTTAAAGTCATCCACGAGGGTTGGAGTCAACTTCTAAACTCCTGTTAATGTTGATATGTTGACCTCCTCTCATTAACCATGAATGTTCTTAATGACATCTAGAATGGTGAATCCTTTCCAGAAAGTTTTCCATTTACTTTTCCAGTTCCATCAGAAAAATCACTATCTATGGCACCTATAGCCTTACAAAATGTATTTCTTAAATAATAAGAATTGAAAGTCAAAATTACCTCTTGATCCAATGGAAATTGTGTTAGCAGGCATGAAAAAACATTAATCTCTTTTTACATCTTCATCAGAGCCCTTGGATGACCAGTTCCCTTGCCAATGAACAGTGATATTTTTACAGGAATCTTTTTTTTTTTCCCCTGAGAACTAGCTCTCAACAGTGGGCTTAAAATATTCAGTAAACCATGCTGTAAACAGATGTGCTGTCATTCAGGCTTTGTTGTTAAGTTTATAGCGCATAGGTAGAGTAGATGTAGCCTAAGTTTTGAAATGAGAAATGGACGTTGGCGTCAACTTAAAGTCACCAGCTTTATTAGCTCCTAATAAGAAAGTCAGCTTGTCCCTTGAAGCTTCAAAACCAGACGTTGACTTCTTTTCTCCACTATAAAAGTCCTAGATGGCATTTTCTTCCAACAGAAGGCTGTTTTGTCTACATTGCAAATCTGTTGTTTAGTGTAGCCACCTTCATCAATGATCTTACCTAGATATGTGTAACTTGCTGCAGCTTCTACATTAACACTAGCTGCTTCATCTTGCACTTTTGTGTTATGGAGATGGCGTCTTTCCTTCAACCTCATGAACCAACCTCTGCTAGCTTCCAACTTTTCTTCTGCAGGTTTCTCACCTCTCTCAGCCTTCCTAAAATTGAAGAGTTAGGGCCTTGCTCTGTGTTAGGCTTTGGATTAAGAGAATGTTGGGTCTGTTTTGATCTATTATTGACACTACTGAAACTTTCTCCATATCAACAATAAGGCTGTTTTGCTTTCTGATCATTTGTGTGTTCACTGGAGTAGCACTTTTAATGTCCTTCAAGTATTTTTACTTTGCACTCACAACTTTTCTAACCATCTGGTGCAAGAGGCCTAGCTTTCATCCCATCTTGGCTTTCAACATGCCTAAGCTTCATCATTTCTTGTTTTTATTAAAGTGAGAGAATTGTGACTCTTCTTTGAATGCTTAGAGGTCTTTGTAGGGCTATTAATTGACCTAATTTCAATATTGTTGCATCTCAGAGAATAGGAAGGAGACAGAGAGATGGGGGAGTAGCTGGTCTGTGGGACAGTCAGAACACATTTATTAACTTTTCTGTCTTATGAGTGTGGTTTGTGTCACCTCAAAACAATTACGATAGTAACATCAGATATTGCTGATTGCAGATCACCATAACATATAATAATAATAAAGTTTGAAATAGTGTGGGAATTACCAAAATGTGACACAGAGATATGAAGTTACCACATGCTGTTGGAAAAATGGAGCTGATAGAGCCAGATGCATGGTTGCCACAAACCTTCAATTTGTAAAACAAAACAAAAACCCCCACAGTATCTGTGAGGTACAATAAAGCAAAGTGAAATAAAATGAGGTCTGTTTGTACCTCGTTGTCTTCTAGTTTTCACTGTTTCTATCAAGGAGGCAGTTGTAAGTCTTCCTCTGAATGCCTTTGTTTCTCTGACTGCTTTTAAATTGTTGCTATTTTGTCTGTGGTATTCAAGAGTTTTATTATGATGGGTCAAGGTGTAGTTATCTTTGGTTTATCTTTTTTTTTTTTTTTTTGAGACAGAGTCTCACTCTGTTGCTCAGGCTGGAGTGCAGTGGTACGATCTCGGCTCACTGCAAGCTCCACCTCCCGGGTTCACGCCATTCTCCTGCCTCAGCCTCCTGAGTAGCTGGGACTACAGGTGCCCGCCACCACACCCGGCTAATTTTTTTGTATTTTTAGTAGAGACAGGGTTTCACCATGTTAGCCAGGATGGTCTCGATCTCCTGACCTCATGATCCGCCTGCCTCAGCCTCCCAAAGGGCTAGGATTACAGGCATGAGCCACTGCGCCCAGCCTATCCTTTTTTTTTCAATTTTTTTTTTTTTTTTGTAATTTGGCCTTCTAGTCCTTTGTCCCCTCCTCATCACCACCACCACCTACCATGGGGAGTTTTGGGTGCAGGAACCTAAATCCCCACAAAGGTTCTATGTTGGGGGTATGTAATAACAAATAAGTCAATCAGATCAAATATTATTTTCCCACCAACTTGGAATTTGCTAAGCCCCATGAAAATGTGGTTCACCAGTTTTGAAAAACGTTTGGCCACTATCTCTTCAACTGTTGCTTCTGATTTGCTCTTTCTGTCTTCTTCTAAGATTAATTATACATATGTTAGACTTCTTGAGTATATCATGCATATCTCTTACGCTCTTTTTATTATTTTTCTCTCTATGCATTGGTTTTGATATTTTCTGTTAAACTACCTCCACATTTGCAAAACCTGTGGTCTGCTGTGTTTAATCAGCTGTTAACCCATCAGCTGAATTTTCACTTCAGCTATTATATTTTTCAGTTCTAGATTGTCTATTAGATTCCTTTTTATAGATTTCAATCCATTGTTGGTATTTTTTATCCTTTTACCTGTTTAGTTCATGTTTTTCTGCATCTTCTTGAGGGTATTAATCACAGTTATTTACAGTCTTAGTTTGCTAACTATAATTTCTTGATTACATGTGAGCTGCTTCCATATTCTGCTTTTTTCTCTTAATTATTAGCCATATTTTCTCGTCTCTGTGGTAAATTTTTAATTTTGCCAAACAATGTGTATGAGAGGACAATAGAGGCTTCGGCTAATGTTATTAATGATCAGGGAGTTTCTTCTTTTCTGTTCAGTAGATGCAATGAGGTATTGGTAAACTCAGTCCAACCAGAATTTTCCATTTTAGTAAAACACATTAGAACTTGGTTTACTTGTGTTTCTCAATTGAGACTTTTCTGGGCTTTTCATAGAGAGCCTTGTGAGTCTCTGTTGCCTTAGTTCCAAAAAAATTGTGGGAGAACCAGATATACCCTCCAGAGATTCACAGCCCAGCTCTCAAGTGATCAGTCTCATAGAGATGAAAAATCTGGCAAATGTTTTGATGGAAAACAGGTTATGTGCTTGAGGCAGGGCTTCTTCTAGTAGTTTTTTTTCTTTCTTTCTTTTAATCTATCAATCTTTAACAGCATCTTGGATAGCCTATGAGTGTATGTACTTGACAAACATTGCCTCTTTATGGTTCACAGTAGTTTCTAAAATACATTCACTTTATTGGCCATTATCCTTTGAAAGCTGATTTTGTAATCTTGATAAAGTGGAAGTGGATTTTATAGTCTTGAGAAAGTGGAAATTAACAAGGCAGCTTCATGGATAATGTATCCTTTTCTTCTTTCTGAAAATTATACATACTATTTTATATATTTATGGGGTACATGTGATATTTTGTTGCATTCATAGAATGTGTAATGATCAAGTCAGAGTATGTGGAGTATCTGCCATCTTGAGTATTTACCATTTTTATACGTTGGGAATATTTCAAGTTCTCTCTTGTAACTACTTTGAAATAGACAATACACTGTTGCTTACTATAGTCACCCTACCTTGCTCTCCAATAGAACATATGCTTTCTATCTAACTGTATGTTTTTACCCATTGACCAAGCTCTCTTTATCCCCGTCTTTTACCCACACAGCCTTCCCAGCCTCTACTATCTATTATTCTTCTCTCTACCTTCATGGGATTAACTTTTTAAGCTCCTATACAGAATAAGAACATGCAAAATTTGTCTTTCTGTGTCTGCCTTGTTCCACTTAATGTAATGACTTCCAGTTCCATTCATGTTGCTGCAAATGACATAAAATCATTACTTTTTAATGGCTGAATAGAAGGTTTTTGATATGTAATAACTTAAAGCTTCATGAGATTTTACTCTGCCATTTCCAAAGCTTCCACATCCATTTCCAGTTACCTACACTATCCCAGAACTCAGGAAATCCCTATTTTGCAAACTCATCATTTGTTTGAGACCCCCCTCAAGCTTCTGATTGTCAGAGTAGCCCCACATAACCATTAAAAGCTTTGCTGCTTTCTCTTTTTCCAGCAGAGGTCCTCTGTGTGGGTCAAGCCAAGTCTTCAGCTTGCAGCCAAAATTGGTAATGTTGGCAGAGGGGCGGGAGGCTGGCAATCATCAATTCTCATCTTAATCATTGTCATTGTCTCTTCTCTGAAAATTTTGTTTTTCCGCTCCTAGTCGTTTTCTTAGCTCTTTGATTCTTAAAAAAAATACAGCTTCTTCAATTTATCCATGTTTGTCCAATCATTGTAGCATTATCCAGAATATCCTTTATCAATTAAATCCTCCCAGGAAGCAGAAGGTCTTGAAACTCTTATTTTGATATTCATTTCCTGACCAACTATAGAAATCTATGTTTCTTAAGTGCTCTTTAAACCAATTCTTTTTGGGATTTTTCCCTATTCATTTCCTCATTAATGAGCTAAATAACACTCGGGCCTGTTCTAAACGTAACATTGAAAATTTTGCACGCCTCATATAAACTCCGAGAACAGGGCAAAGGGGAGCATGTTTATGACACTAATTCTTCTAGCAGTGAACTCTTGCTGAAAAGGTCTGGAATTTACTGGCAAAACAGGGATGGTGGGAGGGCAGCAAGAGAAGAAAGGATGGGGGTGGAGCCGTGTCCAAAGGAAGATGCTTTTCCGCTCTCTAGTTCCATGACTATGATTTTTTTTTTCAGCCAGAGTAAGTGCATCTTGTCTATAGAGGTTTACTCAGGATTGAATGAAATTTCGCCAAGATGTACTTAGAGAAGAAAACTCAGAGGCCAGAAAGAGAGATTGCTCTATACCTAAACCAAAACTACATATAGACATCTCCAAGACCTTGAGACTTGAAGGTGCTGATTAGCAGTTTTGGAATAAGTGGGTGATTATTAACTTGTTTCCACTTTTGTTCATTAAGAATTGATAAGAAAATAATAGTTGCCTTAGTGGAATTGCCTGTTATTCAAGTAACTCACGTAGAACGTTTCTGAGGATTTAAGTTCCTATGGCCAAAACTCCCCAAGGTAGTTAGTGGTTGAAGTTGGTGAAGGAGAAAAAAAAGGGGTGGAGAATCAAATGAAGAGCAGTCATTTTAAGGGACAGAAAAGAAAATGTCATCAATCTAGCTTATGTTATTGAGAAAGCTAGCAAAAGTCCTTTCCGGAAAACCCTTGTGAGTCTTCATTTCTTTGGGGTATTTTGAAGTAGAATGTCTAGATTAGATAACAGGTATATGTTTAACTTTTGGGGAAAATGTAAATTTGTTTCCCAAAGCAGCTGTACCATTTTACATTCCCTCCAGCAGTATTTGAGTTCCAGTTCATCCACATCCTCCCTTGCACTTGGAATGGTTCAAACTTTCCATAATAGCCATCCTAAGAGGTATATAGTGGTACCGCATTCTGGATTAATTTGCATTTCCCCAAGGACTAGTGATATTGAGCATTTTTTCGTGTGCTTATTTGCCATCCATATATATCTTCCTTGGTGAAGGATCTGTTTATATTTCTTGCCCATTTTTCAATTGGCTTATTTATTTTCTTGTATTGCTTTTTAAGAGTTCTTTACATATTCTGGATGCAAGTCCAGTGGTGTCAGCCGCCCCACTCCCCAGCACCTGGTCTGGCCCTACCTGCAGTGGGACCTCCGCGTGACCCTGGTCCCCACCTCCTCTGAGTGTCCGAGGAGACACGCGCGGGGCAGCAGGCTCCCGGCAGCTGCAGTGGGGCATCCCCGCGGGACCAGTCCTCCTGCAGCAGTGTGGGGTCCAGCCACGCCCGGTTCCAGAACCTGCCTCCGTCCTGAGCTTCACCTGCAGCAGAAATACACCATGATCTGCCCTGGGGAAAACAAAACAAAACAAAACCAACCAACCAACCAACCACACATATAAAACTTTAATAGGAAGTGGAATAGAAGTGACTACAAAATACTACCATTCAATTTCATCATGCAAGTACTTTAATATTTTCACTCACTGGCAAAATAAAGCACATGTAACTCTAAATGTGAAATAATTCTGAGTCTTTGACTAAGTCTTCTAAAGAAAGAATAAAATGCTGGTGAAAACGTGAAATTGTGTAGTGAGGGATTTATGACCTTGTTTATTATTTTTCTACAGATGTTAAGATGATCATGATTAATACCAATTGAAGCATTTACAGAATGCTATTTAGGCCCAATAGTGATGTTAAATTACAGTATCAGAGAACCTGATAGATATGGGGTCTGATTATAAAGAAACTTTATTCAAAATCATCTTTGTCAAAGTTTTAACACAGAAGCAAAAGTCAAATATGTTCCTACATGAGATACAAGCTATTCTTGCTAACAGTACAAATTCTGTCCTGTAAGTATTAGTATTTTCAGGTTTTTTCTTTTCTATGAAACGGTTGAAAGGAAAACTTTAGTACGCTATAACTCATAGGCTACTTTGTGTATTTATCATTTTATAAACAAATGTCTTGACAATTAAGTTGTGTATGAAGGCCATCATCAAGTCATTAACTCTTATATCAAAACCTATTATTATTCACTGATTTAGATAATTCAATTTATGTGTGCGTTACCAGGTTGCAGTCAGCCAACAGACACAGAACAGGTTAATAGAAATATATATATTTTTCTTATCAGGTTTTCTTTTATTGGAACAGGTTGCATATATATACACACATATACACATATATGTGCATATATGTATGTATATTTCCATTGATATAATATTCTAGAAAATGCAGACTAATCACTAGTAACAGAAAAGCAGATCAGTCATGGCCTGGGGAGGGGCAAGAGTGACGAATTACAAAGGGGCGTGAGAAAAATTTTAGGATGGTGGACATATTCACTATTTTGGTGGTGGTGATGGTTTCATGGGCTTATACATATGACAATACTTAACAGATACGCCACTTCACAGCTGTTTCCTAAGAGTTTAACCTTTCAGCTTTAGGCCCCTCCCCCAACACGGTGTCCTTTCTCATTGCCACATCATAAACCAGTCTTTCCCCTGAGTCACACACATGCAATCCTTGCACAGCAAGTCATGATGGTGCCCTGTGTGTATGTGATAGTGATGGGAAAAGGATAAAACAAAACACTCAACTTGTGTTATGGCAAAAAGAGATTGCAGTGATGATAAAGAATGCAGGAAAGGAAGCCAATTTATCTGTTAGGAAAAAACTTCCACTTGCTTATAAATTCTGTTTCCTCTGATGAAGTTTCATTATAAAGTGTTTTCTTTTTCTTTAAAAACAAGAAGATGAGAGGACATTGATTACTTAAAAATTTTTACATTAAAGAATACTGGAAAATTTCAGAGAATAAATGTAATGTATAAGGCCCATATAAGGCCTTAGGTTGAAAACAACATGCACCCATGAACTTGCTAAGTAATTTGAGAAATAGAACATAATTGGCATCTTTGAAGTTTTCTGTATACCTCTCTTTCTACCTCCCTGCTTCCCCCCAGAAATAGCTGCTCTTCTGAACGTCAGTGTTTCTGTAGTGTTAGCATTTATGTTTGCATATAAAAAATACATTATTTTACTTCATTTAAAGATTTTTAGGCCGGGCACGGTGGCTCACGCCTGAAATCCCAGCACTTTGGGAGGCCGAGGCGGGCGGATCATGAGGTTAGGAGATCGAGACCATCCTGGCCAACATGGTGAAACCCCATCTCTACTAAAAATAGAAAAATTAGCTGGGTGTGGTGGTACGTGCCTGTAATCCCAGCTACTCGGGAGGCCGAGGGAGGAGAATCACTTGAACCCGGGAGGCGGAGCTTGCAGTGAGCCGAGATCGTGCCACTGCACTCCAGCCTGGCGATATAGCCAGACTCTGTCTCAAAAAAAAAGAAAAAATTTTATAAAAATAATGCACTATTCTTCCTTTTTTCATTTTACGTTTTGTTTTTAAGCTGTATTCCTGTCAATATATGTAGCACAACTTAGTTTTCACACTGTGTCCTATTCAGCGTGTAAATATACTGTAATTGACGCATTCATTTTCCACTCAATGAATTTGGGGACTTTTACAGGATTTTTTGCTATTATGAAAAATGTTTCTCTGAGTGTTCCTCTACTCGCCTCATAGGGTGTGTACTCATGATATTCTTTAGACAAAGTTTAAGCTGAACCTTCAGATAGGCACGTGTTCAAACTGTTTTCCAAAGTGGTTGCAGTGATTTATATCACATCAAACAGAGTTTCTACTTGTTGCCAACATCTGGTTTGTTAGACTCTGAAAGTTGTTTGCCTACCTCGGAAATGTGAAATAGTTTCTCATTTGTGTTTCTAATTTCCTTGGGTTTTTAAGTTAGGTATCTTTTCATTTAGTTTATTGGCCTTTCAGGTTTTCTATTCTGTAAAATGCCTGTTTTTGTCTTTTTTTGCCTATTTAATATTTTTTTTTCTCTTCCTAACTGATTCTAGGCATTCTACATGTTTGTGTTACTAACTCTTTATAAGTTATTTGTGTTATAAATGTCTTCCTCTTCTGGCTTGTCTTTTATTTTTTTAAATGATGTCTTTTGGTGAGTGGAAGTTTTTAATAATAATGTAGGCAAATATATTAATCTTTATATATTTTAAAGCCTTTGAGTCTTTTTAAAACTTTTAATTTTACCATCCTGACATTCTCTTAGATAAATATATTCTTTTGTATTTTATTCTTAAAGATGGGAGATTTTGCCTTAGTATGAGATTCATCTGAAGTGGATCTTTTTTTTTTTTTTTTCTGCATGGGATGAAATAAGGAACCAATTCTGTTTCCTCAGCATATGCTTTGCCTGTTGTCCCAGAAGCTGTTATTGAACAACGTGCATTGCCACCTCTGTCATGTACTAACTTTCCATAAGTATTTGTCAGGATAGGAAATATTACAATGAAGTTGCAAAGCTTGAAATCTCAGTGACTTAGCACAACAAAAGTTTACGTCTCACAGTTGTTAAGTCTAAAGTTGGTCATTGGCTCTTTTTCGTGGTTCTTTTAGAATGGTGACTTTATCGGGGATCGGGGCTGCTTCCTTCCTGCAACCCTACAAGCTAGGAATTATTTTCTTTCATAGCTTCACATATAAGAGAAAGATAGGGATGATGGAAACTCACATGAGCTCTTAACTGCCCTGGACTAGTGGCTTGGTCCCAACCATAAACAAGGGAGGGTGTCAAATTTGGGGAGCATATATACATATTTAATGAACATTAATTGTCTGTACCATATCATCTAAGTGTGGACCTCTTTCTGTTTCCTCTATTCTGTTCCTGGTCTATTTGTATATCCTTGCAATAATCTCTTAATTGCTAAAGCTTTGTAATAAGTTTTGATATCTGCTTGTACAAGTCCCTCATCTAGAAATATTGATGAAAGAAAAAAGACTATAAAATATTAGGAATGAACAGGGATGTATAACTATGGACATGGCAATATTTAAAGATAAGAGAATACCAAGAGTGACTTTAAGCCAAAACATTTGAAATTTTAGATAAAAAAACAAATTCCAAGAAAAACATAATGTATCAAAATTGACTAAAGAAAAAATAAAAAAATCTGAATAGTCTCATATAATATTAAATATTTGATTCATATTATAACTATCCTACAAAGAATAGTTTGTATAAAGAAAATAGTATAGTTTCTACAAAGAAAATGTTTTACCTAAATGATATTTGAGTGAGTTCTACCAAATATTCAAGCAATAGATAATGTCAATCTTATACAAAATTTTTAGAGGATAAAAATTAAAAGAAACACATTCTAATATATTATATGAAGCTGGAATACCATTGACACCAAAACTAGAAAATCCCAGTATAAGAAAATAAAATCATATTTCAACTTAGAGGCACAAATCTTAAAATGAAATAAAATTATCAGTGTATAACCCGTGGAGATTTTAAAAAGATGAGAATCCATGACCGTGTTACGATTATACCAGAAATATAAAGATGGCTTAATCTCAGGCAATCTATTAATATTATATATCATATATAGAGTAAGGGAAAAACTGTTATTAATAGATGCAAAAATAGTTTTTCATAATATCCAATATCTATTCTTGATACTCTCTTGGGAAACCAGGAAGAGAGGAGGTCATTCTTAACCTGATAAATGATGTCTACTAAAAACCTAGAAGTAAATCTTGTACTCTATAAAACACTGGTTCTCTTTAAATCAGGAGCAATACAAGAATTACTATTATGAATTAGTTTATTTAATGTTTTGCTGGAGTTGCTGGCCAATGCAGCAAGATAAGAAAATAACAAAAGTAAAAAGCACTGTAATAAAATGAACAGAGCTATTATTATTTGAAGATAATATGACCTGTCCACATGGTAAACCAACAAAAAATGCTTGCTTTTTACTGTTGAGAAGCTGGGTCATATTCGACAGTCAAGAATTCTGGAATAAGTTGTGTTTCATCAAATCCCTATTTAATTGCATAGTACACTGCAGTGAAAGTATGATTATGAAAGCCATATAATAGCATAAAAACTATTTGTTAAGTCAAAAGAGATTACAAAGATGTATGTACATAGGAAAAAAAAGAGTAGGTGGGAATGTTGCTTAATGCTAAAGGGGGTTAGGTGGCAAGATCATGAATTAATTTTCCATCTATTCTTTATGTCCCATATCTTCTGTGCTGTGGCTATATTGTTTACAACAAAAGTATTTTTAAAATTTGTACTAATGAGAACCTTTGGAATCTTCCTGCAGATTTAGTGATGCTTGTTGATTTGTATCAGAGAGCTGTTGAAGACAATACAGTTTCACCTAACGTTTAACTGCACAATAAGTCAGATGCATTTATTGGGTTGTGACTCATACTTAGAACCTGACATATAATGAATACCAGTAAGACATCATCTTACCTTATTAAACACAATAACTTCCTTATTCACTAAAATAACTAAAAAAGGCACCGCGCCCAAAGTTCACAGAAATATACATCGAGGCATTGTGATAGAGTAAAAGAGAAGAAAAAGGAGTTAAACAAAGTCTGTAGATCCAAATCCTAGTCTTGGTTTTCCCATAGTAGGCTTGGTTTCCTATTTCAAAATGTGAATAGTGAGAAACTGCCCTGTTTATAACATTGATTTGTCATGAGGGCAAAACAAAGAACCCAAAATTAGAGGGCCTAGAAGAGATGGTAGAAGCAGTTTCCATTGGATGTTCGTACCCATCCAGTGGCCTTTGTTTGAGTTCTTCCAGGGATGGGGCAAACACTGTCTCTGCATTGCTGAGTGCTTAATCTATTGTTATGAAGATCTTTTTCACATTGGCCTCCTGGACGTCTATCCCATGGCCTTCGTTCCATCTCTGGGTTAGGGTACCATGGCTCCTAGCATGGTCTGGTGGCTACCAGGTGTACAGATATCAATCCTCTTAGTCTAAGGGCCTGTGGGAGAGCCTAGCTGGTCTTCTTCGGCCATGAACAGCCTTTGTTATTGTTTTCTCTGCATGCCATGACAAGAGCGTGTCTGAGGGCATTCTCCAGTGATGACCTCCTTTGTATCAGAAGGTACACTTCCACCAGGGCAACTACAGCCTCCTACCACACATCATTCACTGTGGACGTCTTAGTCAGTCAAGACTCTGGCATTTGTTTGGTTTTGTTTTCCACCAGTGCTTTGCTTTTTCATATGCCCTGTCCTGTACTTAACAATATGAGGTTAGGGAACTAAGAATGGGATTTTAGATTTGTCTGTGTTAAGTCTCACTATGTTAGATTTGGCCTATGGTTCTATCTTAATGGCGTCTTTTGGGACCCTGATTTGCTCTCTCAGTGAATTCACAGTTCATTTTAACTCCAGGACTCCCAGAATGTGGTAAGCTTGCCTGCTCTGCCCTTCTGCTGTAGAAACCTGTTCTGCACCTCCCAGCTCCCTCCCCAACCCCTGGCTTGGCCTCGAGGCATTCTCCTTTCCTGCATTCAAGGCCTCCAGGAATATTACCACACACCATCTGCACATCGTCGGGTTCTTTTGGCCAATGCCAATTTGATAAATTTTTTTGGCTTCAGTGTCCAGTTCTGCTTTCTAAACTTGTATTTGCTTCCTTTGGAAAATGTATTCCTTCTTTCTACCCTCCCTCCTTTCCTGCATTCCTCTGCTCTGTACTCTCCACAATTGAAGAGTGCCATGACCATGTCCATGCCCAGCCTGGCTGCCTCTTTTCTGGGAGGAGAGGTCAGCTCCACACCTGAGAGCCAGGATGGAACCAAATACCTGGAACTGAGCCTGAGGCTTTCCAGTAGAGCATACTCTTCTAATTGACTCATTTACCATTGAGTATGGGTGTTTATACATGTATCCAACTCTACTAACCATATTCTTTGTTTTGCTCACAAGACAGATGTTTGCAGATACTTACATGAAATTCTGATTCACTAAGTTCACAGCATTTAACTGTGGTAATCTCACCATCTAACAACCTCATCAAACAAAAGATTGCATGAGCTTCACCAGACCTGGCCTGTTTTTAGTCATTTCATGCTTTCTCTTGGTGATCGTGGCTTCCTTAAGTGCTGAAAGACTATCCCTGTAATCATTCATCTAGAATCTTTCCCATTCCTTCATCTGTGCTTGCAAAATCCCTTAAACTCAGTAATGGGTGTGGAAGCTGTCTGTCTGGAGGTATGAAGAATTAAGGGATGGCATTCTCCCCGGAGGTTTGATAGAAAGCTGGACACAGTGCGGTCTGGAAGAGTCATGGGGATGATACGAATTGTTCATGTATCATTGCCTGGAATAGGAGTATGATAAGCAGCCAGGCACTCAAGTCAGATCCTTAGGGCCTGACCACAAAGGTTACCAGTGGCCATCGGGGATGGCATGGTTAATTCTCTAGTGTAAAGAGACAAAGGTTAAACTAACAGAATGTGTCACACTGGAAAGCATTTTGGAGATCAGGTCAATTAGCACTCCCTGTGTTACTGTCCACACAAGTCACCCAGAAAGCTTAGTCAAATATAGATTTGAATTCAGTGGTTCTGGGGTGGGCCCTAATGTTCTGCATTTCCATCGTGCTCCTTGGTGATGCTCTTGGCTTATGGGCCACACTTTGTGTCCCAAGAGTTTAGACTATACTGTTTTGTTTTGTTTTTTCAGATGTAGAAACTGAGATCCAGTGAGATGAAGTGATTTTCCCAAAGATACATAGATGAAGTTGAAGCTTAGCTCTTTAACCCAGGTCTGCTGGCGTCCAGGTTGGTGTCTCTCTAATTATAGAATTGCTGGACTTAGGAAAGCAGAAGTCTCCTGCCCTCTCTTAATGACCCATAGCATGTTGAGGGGGAGCCAAGGTTAGATTCTAGGGTTGCACATACTTGCACAAACATGCACACACATACACACATGCTCATGCACACACATGCACACACATACTGTACGTGCTTCTTCCTATTCTCCTTTTTCAATTGGGAGGTATAAGAAACACATGGATTACAGCCACATTAAAGATATTCATAAATGCAAATCAATTCTGAATGTGTAAACTTTTCCATAAGAATATTCTGGGAAAATACTTGAGTTATTTCTGACCTTTTATGTATAAACACAGACATTCTGGAGTTTGTCAAAGACCATGTTACTGATAAAATTGTGTTAGAATGACGTCTTCTGATAGTTTAAATGTTAAAAGCTCTGGGCTCGGCTCAGGGAATTCTATACTTTAGCATTCATAAAGGACCCTAGAGTTTGAGAGATTATCCATTAACTTCTGATATTGAATTTTTGTTGCCAACTATGACTATTTGTTTTCCCTGAACTCTGTAGGGGAACAACACAGCTGACAAAACCCAGGCAAAAGCGTGTGTGTGGGTGCGTGTGGGTGCATGTGTGTGGCGTGTGTGTTCACACAGGTTAACTAAACAGTGCAGATTCCTCCAATTTTTCTCCTTTTTGAGAAGTAGGAAGGAGCAAGAGAGAAGAAATCATCTGGAGTGGAAAAGAGGGCTGGAAAAGTCCTTGAACTAATAATCTGCCAATTAATCCAGCTGCTTGGAAATAGCCTGGAATTGGAAGGTCTTTTGGGTGCTCTCTGGAAAGGGTACCAGGAAGTATGAGACAATGGCTGCTAGGAACTTGCACTGTTCCTGAGTAGATAAGACCTGTTGTCAAGTAAATTGCGGTGGATCCCTGGTAACACTTGAAGAGCAATGCAAGCCTGGGCTCCACCTGGGCTCTACCCCTGCCTGACTAAGGGAGCTTGGGGAAAGTATTTACATAATCTCAATCAGTTTTCTCACCTGTAAAATGGGCCTAAAGAATTTAAATTTCCATGCAAGTCAAAACCATAATGAGATATCATCTCACACCAGTCAAAATGGCTATTACTAAAAAGTCAAAAAATAAGAGATGCCAACAAGGTTGCAGTGAAAAGGGAATGCTTATATTCTGCTTGTGGGAATGTAAATTAGTTCAGCCACTATGAAAAGCAGTTTGGTGATTGCTCAAAGAACTTAAAACACAACTACCATTTGACTCAGCCATCCCATTGTTGGGTATATTCCCACAGGAATATTAATCATTCTACCATAAGACATGATGTTCATTACATCGCTATTCTCAATAGCAAAGACATGGAATCAACCTAAATGTTCATCAGTGGTAGACTGGATAAAGAAAATGTGGTACATGTACACCGCGGAATATTATGCAGCCATGAAAAAGAACAAGATCATGTCTTTTGCAGCAACATGGATACAACTGGAGGCCATTCTTCTGAGAACTAACACAGAAACAGAAAATCAAATACTGCATGGTCTCACTTATAAGTGAGAATTAAACACTGAGTTCATACGGACACAAAGAAAGGAAAAACAGACACCAGGACCTACTTGAGGATGGAGTGTGGGAGGAGGGTGAGGATTGAAACTACCTATAGGGTACCATACTTATTACCTAGGTTACAAAAAAATCTGTAGACCAAGCCGCCTGAATACACAATTTGCCTATATAACAGACCTGCACAAGTACCCCTGAAACTAAAATAAAATTAAAAATAAATAAGTAAATGAATATATAATTTAAATTTCCTTGAAGAATGCCTGGCACCTGTAAGTGCTCACTTCTGCTATCTCCGTTATCATCACAGAGAGAAGGCACAGGTTCAGAGTCGGGAAAATCACCCCAGGATGCTTGAGTGGGGTCTGCTTGAGCAAATGGCGGTGAAAACTGGAAAGAAGGGGAAGGAGCAAAGAGGAGGTGGGCTGTGTCGTGCTGAGTGGTGTCAATTGGCTAGGGTAAGGAGTGGCAGTGGCAGAATTGAGGCTGCAGAGCATTGAAGCAGAGGTTTGAGCAGTGCCTCTTAGGGTCAGCAGGCGGCCCATCCAGGTGAGCACAAAGCGCTCTTGGAAAGGGTAGCGGGAACAATGACAGGAAAGTGTGTGAGACCAGATGTCTGAAGACCTTGAATGCTAGAATTGGAGGCTTGACTCTTCCTCCCTACGATGCAGATTTTTGAGTAGCGTTGTGATAGGCTGGACTCTGTATCATGTTGAGAATGTTCATCGGAGTGCAGAGCACAGGAGGAGCTATGAGAGAAATAAAAGAGGCAGGCCAGGTGCGGTGGCTCATGCCTGTAACCCCAGCACTTTGGGAGGCCAAGGGGGTGGATCATCTGAGTTCAGGAGTTTGAGACCAGCCTGACCATCATGGTGAAACCCCATCTCTACTAAAATTACAAAAATTAGCCAGACATGGTGGCGGGCATCTATAATCCCAGCTACTCGGGCTGAGGCACGAGAATCACTTGAACCTGGGAAGCAGGGGTTGCTGTGAGCCGAGATTGTGACATTGCACTCCAGCCTGGGAGACAGAGCAAGACTGTCTCAGAAAAAAAAAAAAAAAAAAAAAAGAGGAGGCTTGGCAGCACCAGCTCTCCTAGGTGGATCTGGCTGCATTTGTGGAAGCCAGAGGCTCCAGCTTTCATCTCCCTGAGCTGAGGGGTGATCAGTGGCCATCCCACCTCCAGGGTGTGGTGAAGGGAGACTTCCAGAGTTCTCAGGGCACATGGCAGGAGTGGTGGCCACCATGAGAAGTGGGCCAGCATCTGGGACACGAGCAGACCTGAATAAAGAGTCCTGCAGCATTGCCTGGGCTGACTCTAGGGAGATTGCTCTAAGGATTGGGAGGTAGGCAGAGAGGGAAAGCTTAGGCCACCACAGGCCTGAGACTGACCAGTCAAGACTCTGATGATGGGAACATGATAATGAGCTGGATTCAGCCAGCAGGCTTGTCCAGGTTCAACACAAAGTCATGAGAGGAAAGCACCAGCTTCGGGAAACTTTAGAGGTTACCGTGCAGTGGCGGGTGTTGGTGTTTCTTAAGGGTCTGGCACGTTTGCTGAGTGATTCTGGCTGTCTGCCTGGCTCTGAGCTTCCTGTTCATAGTTCCCCAGATGTGTCACGGCCGAGGGATTAAAGCCCTAAGAGGCTGTGACACAGCCATCTCCAAAACCCCACTTTCTCCTTCCTTTGAGCCTCCGTACCAGCTGGGGCGTCCGGCAAGATGTGAGTTGTCACTCTGCTGCGGCACAGACCTGAATTAACAACTCTAGCTAGGGCTGACTTCAAAAAGCACTTTCGTTTTTTAATAACCAACATCAGCTCAGCAGGCTTCATTTGGGAAAAGAAACCTTGTCGGATTACCCCGACATTCTCCACCTCCTGGGAGGCCAGCCATTCCCAAATGCCCCAAGGATGAAGAACGGAGACGGTAAGATGATTAATTGCACTGCAGGTTTTTTGTTTCTGTATTTTTTTCCCTCCTTTTTTTGGGTTTACTTACACATTAATGAGGTATTTAGGAAAGACAAATGGAATCTGATAAAAGGTAACGTTATATTGTTTGTCGAAACAACATTTTAAGGATTTCTTGAAGTTATATGGCTCTGTAGGCATGTTTCACTTTAAGATGTGTTTCTGAGTCATATTAGGAGAACGACTGTGATTATCTATGGAAGATTAACTATGAAACATATGGGAAATATACTTTATAACTGTATATTACTTATAAACCATGAATAGTTACATGACTTTTGGTATGTGGTGAGAGATGTTAAGTGAAAGGTGTTGTAAATGAAGTCGTTTTATAAGACTGTTGTTACTGTAAGAATTGAGACTTATTTTATCACTTCCCATTAAGCTTCTACAGTGTTAGAGAGGCATAACCCAATGTTGACTGAAGGTGCTATGTTTTCTTTTTAATTTATTTTTTATTTTGTTTGAGATGGGGTCTCACTTTGTCACCCAGACTGGAGTACAATGGCATGATCTTGGCTCACTGCAACCTCCGCCTCCCAGGTTCAAGCGATTCTCCTGCCTCAGCCTCCCGAGTAGCTGGGACTATAGGCGCCTGCCACCATGCCCTGCTAACTTTTTGTATTTTTAGTAGAGATGGGTTTTCACTGTGTTAGCCAGGATGGTCTCGATCTCCTGACCTCGTGATCCACCTGCCTGGGCCTCCCAAAGTGCTGGGATTACAGGCATGAGCCACCACGCCTGGCCTGAATGTGCTATGTTATTAATGGCAGCCTCTATTGGTTTCATTTAAAGGTATAATGCATTGTATTGGCAAAACTTGTACACGCTTTCTTCAATAAGGACCTCAAAGGTAATCTTAAAAGCCTGATCATATTTTTCTCCCCCCTTCAGAAGCTTTGCCAATGTTGCACCTATAGCTATAGAGAAGACCATGCACTCTCAGAGGGGATTATAAACATTGCCTTGCATTTTTATCCTTGATCTCCATAATTTATCCTTGATCTCCATTTATCCTTGATCCTCATAATTCCTACTGATAGTGTTGTTGTGCATAAGAATGAGAAAATGGGACTGAACCTGAAAGATTAAGGAAAGAAAATAACAAAACAAAAAGGAAAACCTAATGAAGCTTATCATTCAATTCAATTTATAACTCCTTATTGCTCATGCAAAATGTGAATTTTTCGCTGTGTTGGTGAGGGTGTGAGGAGTGGATGGTGGGGAAGGATGCTTCAAAAAATACAGCTAAGGACCAACTGGTTTGGTGAGTCATGGCATTCACCCATGAGACAGCTGGAGAACAGTGACGTGTGTGTCTCTGTGTGTGTGTGTCTGTGTGTGTGTGCATTTGATGCCAGAGATTGGTGTTTACTATAAATGTGTTGATCTGTTAGGAAAAGGAAGAAGACAAAGTTGTCCAGAAAGAGCCAAGAAAACTTCTTGAGATGAATTTGATCTGCCTAATGGTAGTGATGAGTTTAAAAAGATTCTTATGGCCTTTCCTAACACTACATGCTATTGTTAATCATTGAACTGACAAACCCCGTTGAGCACAAGACTGTTAGTTTACTTAGGAGGAAAACTTGGCAGGAACGGTCAAAGAATAGCGAGGGTATACTTCTAAAATACGTCCTTGGAACATTTACACAAACAGCACAAGCTCATTGTCAAGAATAAAATTTTAAAAAATACATAGAGATAATAGTAAAAGACGAGAAGTAAAAACACACCACTGTGAGGTAAACACTGTTAACATTTTGGTAGGTGTATTTGTCTCTGAGTACATTTACATTTTGAAGAAATATATTTGTACTCTACATGCTTTTCGGTTATCTGCTTTTACCTCACAGCGATGGAGCATCTTGTTATGAGAATGAGTTTTCTTTTACAAAAGCTTTTCCATTTCATTGCATAGATAGTTTATTAAATCCTGTTGGCAGGTAGTTGATTGTTTTTCTCTTATTAACAGTACTACAACTATGTTCTTCTCTTATTAACAGTACTACAACTAACACCCTTGTAGCTAAACCTTTGCATCTCCTTGATGCAAAGGTTATCTCAACGAGTTTTCCTTGAGATAAATCCCCAGAGGTAGAATGGTAGGGGTCAAAGGGCATGGGCATTTTAAAAACTCTAGATCCCTGCTGCTAAATTAATCCTAGGAAAGTTTAATTAATTTATGTGCCCACCAGCACTGTATGAACATTTTCCAACTCTCTCATCAGCATTGGGTTTTATAATTTTTTGAAAAGTGTGCTACTCTGCATGCACACGTATGTTTATTGTGGCACTATTCACAATAGCAAAGACTTGGAACCAACCCAAATGTCCATCAGTGATAGACTGGATTAAGAAAATGTGGCACATATACACCATGGAATACTATGCAGCCATGAAAAAGGATGAGTTCATGTCCTTTGTAGGGACATGGATGAAGCTGGAAACCATCATCCTGAGCAAACTATCACAAGGACAGAAAACCAAACGCCGCATATTCTCACTCGTAGGTGGGAATTGAACAATGAGAACACTTGGACACAGGGTGGGGAACATCACACACCGGGGCCTGTTGTGGGGTGGGAGGAGGGGGGAGGGATAACATTAGGAGACATACCTAATGTAAATGACAAGTTAACAGGTGCAGCACACCAACATGGCACATGTATACATATGTAACAAACCTGCATGTTGTGCACATGTACCCTAGAACTTAAAGTATCACAATAAATAAAAGAAAAGTGTGCTACTCTGATAATAGGCAAAGGTATATTTTGTTGTCTTAATTTACCTTAAGGAAACCCTTTGCAAAATCTGCTGGTTTCCAGTTCTGCCCCTTTGGGTTCAGCCTCTCGTCTTTTTTGGTTACTCATTGCCAAAGCAGTCACCTCTTACAGTAACTTCTGCCAACCTAATTTCTGAGGACTTTGACCTCTTTTGATGTCTCTCAGAAAGTCTGCTGAGAGAGCGAGAGAACTGGATGCTTTTGCTCTGAATTTTTACCGATTGAGTAACCTGGGGTAAACCTCAGTCTTTGTGATTTTGTCTCCTTTTTAGCTATAAAATTTAGACAGAAGGCCTGTGCTAGCCACCTCACAAGATTGTACTGGGAATATAAAGAGGCAAGATAGAGGCAAGCTTTTTGAATAGAGGAAAAGCAAAAATGCAAAATGGTATTATTATTATTGTTGTTACTCTAAAGTTTAGTGATAAATCTAACCTTCTAAAATATATAGTTTCTGGAGAGCTGCATGCTGAAATTTTGTCGTCTTCTAATTCTAAACTTGGGAAGTGTGTGTGTGTGTGTATGTATGTGTGTGTGTGTGGGGGGGGGTGTGTATAACATATTTCTATGCTTCTTGGTTCTTAGATTCAGTAGCAGTGTTTAGTGTGTTACAGCAGTGCATGGATACATTTTAGATTAAAAAGATTTCCATTTTGTTGCTTATTTATTCCATTCTTGTACAGGAAAACCAGCCATCCTCCTCCTATTGCATTCTCATCATCCATGGGCTTTGCTCAGCTCCCCAGTGGACTGAGAGCTCCTCAAAGACGGGGTCCGGTTTCATGTGTATACCTCTCTCCAGGGCCTGCTTTGGGGTCTGACACCCAGAGGGCGGATCAATCAATGTTTCTCAAATGAGTCAATGTAAGGGAGGTAGAAAAATATTTACCCAGTTCTGTGGAGAAAAGAATATTCCAAAAAGGCACCCCAGAAGATTAAAAAAAAACCTAAATGGAGCTTTTCTAGGGGCAACTGGTTATTTATTTCGTTTAGTTTGGGTGAGTCTCAGTTTCTATTGAGTAAATATTTAAAGCTCTGAAAGGATATTAAACAAATGAATGCAAGCCAAGGATAGGACCAGGAAAATGGAGAACCCTGTCTTTATAGGTGCAAGTGTCATGGATTTGGCATGAATATCAAAAACTTTAAGGAGGCATCGATTTTCACTCTGACTCCCAGCTCAGTGCTGGGCTGCAAAAATCAGGACCAAACTGACATTTAGTAATGGTTTGAACTTGGTACTGAATAATAATAATAATAATAATAATAATAATAATAATAATAATAAAAGCTAATATGTAATACAGCACTTGCTAGGTAGGAGACCTGGTTTTAGGTACCGCTCATATAAAATAATCAGTACTATTATTTTATTTTGCAGATTAAGAAACGGAAGCACAGAGAGTGATTTGCTAGGGTTATACCAGTAGTTATTGCAGAGCTGGAATTATGACGCAGACAGGCTCACTCTGGAGCCTGTGGGTCAGTGAGGGTAGGTCGGACTGAACTTTGGAGACAATGTCTCATGGTTTTAGGCCACTGGTGATGTTTGTGCTGTTTATTTGGGTATATGACTACCATTTATTGAGTCACCTACTAAAGGAACATGCACTCTTCTGGGTTCTTTAAGTATAATATCTTGAATCTTTCTCGCAACCTTGAAACATTATTCCAACTCTAGGTCCAGACAAGCTGAGACCCTGAGAAGTTCAGTAAGTTTCCCAAAGCTGCAGGCTAGTGAGGAGAGATCCATCAGCCTGCACCAAGTCTGTCTGCCTTCTGAGTCCATGTGCCACACTGGCCTGGACAACTGAGTGCTGATGTATTTGGTTCTTCCATCCAAAGGTGCCAAGAGTCCAGTTCTACTGCATTTGGAGGTGTTGAACCTGGAAAACTCAGCCACAACAACCCCTCAACTTGGGGATCAGGCAGGGCTCAGCCTCAGCTTCTCTGAACCCACATGGGCCAATGTGAAATGGATTTGATTTTTCAGACCAGATCCTCCCTGGCAGGACCATCCAATTTATCACACCAACCTAGACTCGATGGGCGTTTAAAATATTGAGAGATATTTCCTTATATTTCCTCTCTATTGACCCCCCAAATCTGCACCAAGGAACTCCAGCGAATGAGATGGAGTATGGTGAGTGCTAGCTTGGGGGCCAAGGGCGGCTTCGTTTCTCCTGGGCGACTTATCTCCCTTTTCTTTGTTTAGTGTTTCCAGTTATAACATGAGGGAAAAGACTATAATTTAAAATGGAATTTTACTTTTTTTGGTTAAACTTTTCCATATGATTTTGAAACTCTTTAAATTTTTTTGAGTGAATGACACATGGTTTATTTGCTTTTGGAGTGGTAACACAATTTAAAAGGTGAAAGTCTTTTTCTCTTCCCTTTCTGCAGACGCTTCTTTCCCTCTTCCTCACCAATAGGCGAGTCTTGTTAATAGTTTCTAGTTTTTTCTTCCACCTCTTTTGCACTCATAGTGTGCACCATTCTATACCTTGATCCATAGCTGTATCAAAGGCGGTGCATTTTCTGCCTCTTAATGGACAGTTGGATTGTTTGCAATGTTTTGTTATTTCAGGCAATGTTGCGACCAGTGGCAGCCTGCCCTCGTAATTTTGCAGAAGTGTTTCCAAGTTGTTGGTTAAATTCCTGGAAGCAGAATTGTGGGGTCAGAGGCTGTGTACACTTGTGATTTTGATATATATTTCAGAATTACCCACCCCCCCACCCCACCAGGTCATACCAATTAACACCCCTACCAGGAATGTTTGAAAGAATGCCTCTCCATGTGCTCGTCAACAGTGCCTGCTAACAAGCTGGTTTTTATTAGACTTCGGCAGTCTCAAAGGAGAAAGCTGCAAACTTAGTAAGTTTTCTAAATTTTCCTATCTCGTATCATGACCATGCAGTGTCAGCCCCACTGTGGTCTCTCGTGGCAAATACAACAGTCTGACAGGTACTTTGTTGACTCAGGTTGGGCATCTATTCAATTGGCTTAAAACCATTTGCGATCACAACGTTTTTCATTTGGTGATTGTGTTTTGAGGCCTTGCTGTGTGTCCAGTCATGGGATGGCACAGGGATGCGTGGACCCTGCCAGGGTTGCATGAAACAGCTAGGCAGCCGCGGGAGTTGGCACATGTGTGCTGAGCACTGTGAAAGAAACACAGAGACAGAAGGCTGCAGAGACAGCGAGTAGGGAGCCACGGTCCGTGTTAGCCTGGTGATTGGGACGGCTCGAGGTGGAGTGATGAAGTCTGAGGCATGAGAAGGAGCCAGCCAGACAGAGGGCAGAGGAAGCAGAGCATAAAAACCCAGCATGAGAAGCAGAAAGCAGCTCTATGTATGGCCAATGAAGAGAGTGGAAGGGAGGCCAAGGTGAGCTGGAGACAGAGGCAGAGGCCAGAGCATGGTGGGTGTTTAGGGCTGTGGCAAGGAGTTTGGCTTTTATTGTGAGTTTCAGGTTGACTGTAGTCATGGGCTGGGGAAGATGGTGCCAAGGTCTGTAAACTCTTACCTTGTAGATGTAAATTCTCACCTGAATAACACCAGGGAGGCATGGTTCTATACACAAGCACCTGTCAGACTGTGTTGTATTTGCCACAAGAGATCACAGTGGGGCCGCTGCTGCACATAGGGCTGGCGACCAGAACACTGTATCTCTTGGCCAACCTTGTCCTCCGTGTGAGACAAGTGGAGACATTTTACAAAAATACGTTCTACGTCTCTCTGGAGTACAACTCAGTTTACAAAGGGCTTTCTCATTCATTATCTCATGCATTAATAAACTGACTGATAATTTTGACAGATTATTATTGCATGTCCAACCTGTGCTAAGCCCTGTGCTAGGTGCTGGGGATGATGAGAGGAAGAAGGAGTGGAAGGGGAAATAGAAAGATGAAGAAAATTCAGAGCAGCTTACAGTCCATCTGCGAGATAGAATCAAATGTCAACAATGAGAAGGAGAGCAGGAAGGGGACAGTGAAGAGGACCCGGCCACCTCTAGGTTCTGGACCAGAACACGGGTAACTCTGCCCCAGGGGCCTGCTTGGTGCCAGGGAGTCCTTCAGGGATGGGGTCTCAGGAGACAGCTGCAAGTAGGGCTTCTCTGACATCCTTTTCTCCAGGTGTAAGTAGGGTTATCTTTCTAACTTTAGAAAGATAGAGGTGACCAACTGAGAGCTTTCCTCAGGGCTTCTGAGTGGGCAAAGGGCAGAACTGGAACTTTTCCTCCCACCCCTGAAATCTGAGGCCATGGCTCTCTGTGCTCAGAATAGAACAAAATTCCTGAAGCCCAACCACCTGGGGAAGGCATTGAGGAGAGTGTCTCTATTATGCATCGTCTTTCATGCTGGCCACCCTGGTTCCATGATGATGAGGCTGCTTTGTTTATGAGTCTGTAGTGTTTTCAGGGCTCTGGAGAAGGGGTGGGCTCTCTACCAGTCTTAGGGTCTTGGTGGCTCTAAGCCCAGAGGTGCTTCCATTGTGTGAAGAAACACAGGAGACCGAGACAAAATATTGTTGATCAGACACTCAGGCCTATTTCGGCGGCAAAACTGTCCTAAGTGGTCATTTATGGCCAGCACAGAGTGGGGATTAACGTGTGTGTGTGTGTGTGTGTGTGTGTGAGTGTGAGTGTGTGTGTTGTGGGAGGTGTTTGGGGGAGGTCTCAGGAATTGCTGGCCCTGAGGTGATACTAATGGATCAGGTTTCCATGGACACAGGAACATCTGGGCAGGAAGTAGGAAGACTGCAAAGTCAGCTCACCCCCTTCAGTGAGCTTCACCTCCCAGTCCAGGGAAAGGAGGGCAGGGCTTGCTTCTGAGAAGGGACTCCTGGTGAATTCCAGGTACTCAACACAGAATTGCCCCAATCAGGTGTAACATGGGATGGGGGTTGTCAAGGCCTAATGCCAGGTAAAAGAGGAAGCAAAAGGTGTGTTTACCATAGAAAAGTCTAGAAATGTAGTCATAAAACTTGAAATGTGTCTGTGTTAAGTGTAATGGAAATAAATACTTTAATAGTTTTTTTTAGGCGTTGGGTTTTCCTTTGTCTGTGTACATAGATTGAATGTCTGTGTGTCCCCCAAGCCCACCACTAAATTCCTATGTTGAAACCCTAATTCCAGTGATGGTGTTAGGAGGTGGCATGCTTGGGAGATTGTTAGGTCATGAGGGTGGAGCCCTGATAAATGGGATTAGTGCCCCTGTAAGAAGAGGCCAGAGAACTAGCTAGCTCTCTTTCTACCATGTGAGGATACAATGAGAAGTCAGCTGTCTGCAAACCAGAAAGTGGGCCCTCACCAGACACCGGATCTGTCAGAACCGTGATCTTACACTTCCAGCCTCCAGAACTGTGAGACACAAATATTTGTTGTTTAAGCCACCCAATCTATGATAATTTGTTACAGCAGCCCAGGCTAAGACACTGCGTTCAATCAGCCTGTGACAATGGTATAACTATCTTTAAAGACTTTCAGTAAGGATTTTAGTAAGTTTCAGGTCTATTTCCTGAACTAATGAACAAGTGAATGAGCCATTGCTATAGAATAGGCTCAAAGCACATTTGTGTCTTTTGTGGAAATTTGCCTTCTTTTATCCTTTGGTGAGAAATTATTAGCGGTGAATGTACTTGTAAGTTATCCATCTTTTCTCCGAAAGTGCTGAACGTCTTAACCATGAGTCTCTTCTTGTCTGAGGGAGGCGGTGTTGCTTTTGGTGACCAGAGCTGCTCAGTCATGTATACCAATAACATATTCCAACATGGGTCACAAAACCAAAGCATTCCAAAGCCATGATTGTGCCCCCTGAATATTGATGTGGCTTCCCTCATTCTATTCCTGGAGTTAGTGAGAGGGTAGAACTTGACTGGAAATCCTGGAACAATTTTTTGGGACTTTTCATTACTTGCGATTTTATTTGCTGTCTCCTTGATCTTGCTTGCCCCGCTCTAGGCTGATTAGCAGCCAGTCTCGGAGGCTGCACCAATGACGCTCGGCCTCCTTGCCCTGGAGCCTGGGTACCCACCTCATCTGCTATTCTAGAACCGGCCAGGATCAGCAGCCATCCATCTCCTCCCCATGATGTCTGGGAGCTTTTCACATTGCCTCTGTTCCTTACACAGGCTTTATGATTTTTGATTTGTCTCTAAGGAAACTGAGGCTTAAAAATAGCAGGTGAGTTTCTTCAAGTCGCGGCAGATCGATAACAGAGTCAGAATTTGAACATGGGTCTGTTGGATTCTCTCAGCTCTGTACACATCATTATGCCAAAATAGTAAGGAACATGAGGAAGGGAAACACTAGTTTATGGAAGAGCTCTTTCTCACATGTCCTTCAGGCAGTCATATTTGGGCACTGGTTTTTGAGTCCATTCATATCAAGCATGCCATTCAGGCTCTCTTCTGCCACTTCTAAGAGTTATCCAAATTGGTGCATGGTACCCATAAACTAGTTTTTAAAAGAGATATGATTACTGAAATGATCAGTATGTAATATTGAAGCCCAAATCAATACAAATGAAATGCATATCATAATAAAGTACAAATTCAAGTAAAGTAGGGACTTGGTAGATGTTTCTCTGGAAAGGTTAAACACACTGCGTGGAATGCATGGGGAAACCTGGTTTCACAAATAGTATCAGCTGTCTGCTAAAGAATCTGTAAAACCACATGCGAAGGTTCACAGGGGTTCTTTCCTGTAGGGAAAATATGTGATTATTGTCAACAGTGAAGGAATGTGTACTGGAACTTAATTGATTTAAAAAGTCTCATGTGAACCTGCCATGACAACCTCTTTGAATAAGTTTCCCTCAAGGTTTAAGCATTTCTCGAGATTAACGTAGTGGGTTTCTGGGCTGACTCACAGGGAGAAGGGGAGGTTACATTTTTGCTATTGTGATAATGTGGGAAATTACACTCGGTATCACTCACTGTGCTTGAATCTTTATCATCAACCTCAAACTCTGGGATTTATGTAACCGCAAGATCAGAACTCTAAGCTTCTTTTTTTCTCCAGTTGAAATTTATTTTAAGTTGGTAAGGAAATATGACATATATCTATAGAACCTAGGCTCATAGGAAGGTAAAAAATGCTTTGGATTGGAAGTAGAGGCAGACCTTTACTTTAGTCTGGAACTGATGTCCTGATTGTAAATTGTTGTTCTAGGGAAACCCAGTGTGTGTGAATGTAAGCCCCTGGAGTTGAGTTCCCTTTCTTGGCTGGGCCCCAGTCTGCCACGTCAGTGCTGAAAATGGACATTGCTGCTGCCTCGGTGACATACAAATAGGGGAAATGTCTCCTGAATGGAATTACTCTTTGTCATCTAGGCCAGTAGTTGTCAACCCTGGCTGCATATTGGAATCACCTGGGAGCCTTTTAAACACTGATGCCTGGATCCTAACTCCAGAAGTTCTGATGTGATGGGAATGCATGCAGCCTGGCTTTTTAAAGTCCTCAGGTGATCATACTGTGCAGTTAGTGTAATGTGGGTTGAGAACCACTGACCCGAGAAGTAGACAGTTGCCGAGTCAGTAAATTACCCAAGTAAACAAGAAGCTGGTTAGACCAAGCCTGTCCATAGTGATTGCCAAATCCTGCCTGGTGGGGAAATTTAGGACCATTTCCTCAGAAAACTTTGTTACTGGAAGTTATCAAGGGCTCTCTACCTAGTAAGTGTGCTTTCAGTTTTTTAAGGCACTGTGGATATAAGTTGTGTAAACGTAGCCACTTTCATTTATTTGGCAAATATTTAAACATCTGCTCTGTTCAAGTTATACTCAATCTCAGCCTACTTTTAAGCTTATTAACTGAACAGCAGGGGAGAGAACTCAAGCAATGCAAAGTAGGGGCTGCAAAGTGCCATCAGAGAGGGGGAGATGAAAAACCTCAAGGTTTCAGAGCAGGGAGAGATAGTTGCCTGTTTCTCCTGGTCGGAGGGATGGGAAAACCCTAAAGAAGTGGTGCAGTATTTGGGATAGGCCTTGGAGGGGGGAGAAGGCGGAAGAAGAAGACTTGAGCTGGAGGAGAAAGAAGGGTTGTATTCTGGGTAGAGGAAACTGCACGAGCAAGAAAAGAGGTAGACATTAGGGAAACTTGCAAGGAAATGGGCACATAGTAAACATGGGTACATCAAGGGCGAGGAGAGGAACACATTCCAAAAGGTAGGATCAAGGGAGACTGAGGAGCATCTGGAATGCTATACTGAGTGGTCTGGGCTTTGTTTGGGAGGCAGTGGAGCCTTGCATGGCAGGTTTTGACATCCAACCTTGCAGCAAACGGCAAATAGGAGCTTGCTCAGCAGTATTTATATGGCGAATCTGGATTATTTAGAAGGAAATTGTGTTTCTGTCTCACTGTGTGGCCCATGTAGGTTGCATAGTTGCAGTATCTTCAACTTTGCATTGACAAGGTGGGTGCGTTGCACTGGGTCGAGATGGTTCAGATGTCCCCCAATGCATTGCTGCTTTCGACATCTCTCCATTTCTCTAGCTTCTAACACTTTGTTTGTCTCTCTTCAACCACCATGCTGAGAAAAAAGTTTAAGGGCTTTTCTTGTTCCCCCACGTAATCTTGGCAAGTAATAACAGTGAACCCTGGAGATGGAAAGAAGTGTGGATGTTAGGAGACTGGATTGCTAGCATGGCATTAACAATTTTTGGCTATGTTGACTCTCAAGTAAATATGGCAACTGCTTTTGCTTTTCCTTTTCAAAATACAAAGATAAAATTTAAGGGGAAGTGAGATTTTGGCATAAATGGCTGACTCTTCTGCAAATAGCATTTCTGGATTAATTTTATTACATCCAATTGCTCTTCCATGTATTCCGATAATTTTATTTGTAATAAAGTTCATAAGTGCTGTTGGTGATTAGCCAAAAAAAAGAGTAAAGGGAGGTCAACTTTTGTGTAGTTGAGATCACTTTTTCTAAGTCTGATTTTAAATTGGGTGGTTTGTACTGTGTTAGCAATGTTAGAGGATACAAACAACCATAACAACAAAACAGCAACAGCAGCAGGAAGGTCATCCACCCGTGCTGAAAACCTCCTTCCTCTTGGGTTCACTTTTCCTTCTAGTGGGGGAAATGGTGAAATCACGTTAGCACTTTCTACTCTTGGTCCTGGTGTCTTCTTTATGACCTCGTAACATTTTCCTAGATAAAATTTGCATGTCTCTAACTTCTGAGTTCCACTTCTTACTGTTCTCATGTTCATTCATTATTCCATTGTGACGTGTTTGGCTGAGTTTGAAAGACTCTAATGATAAGTGGAGAAGGAAAAAATGACTTTTATAATAAAAGGTAACACTTAATGACATGAATCTGAGACACATGACTAAGTAAGAAAATAAAATATTGACGTCTTGGTTTTAAATATTGGGCAACACCATCTCATGTTTATCCTTTTTCTCATCAAACCGCATGTCCAATTTTGGATTAGGAAGACATTCTTACTGTACTTATGGTACGCCTGCAATCATGGTGCCTCCTCTGTCTATTTTTGGGTTGACCAAATAACAACGCAAAGCACTGAGTGCCAACCACCACAACAAGGACTTGGTCTGTATTTGTCCATATGCTTGCACTTCCCCCAAGGTGGACACTGTCATCCCCATGAATGGATGAGGGAAGAGAAGCTGACAGAACACAGCTGGAAAGAGCAGGGTGAGAGGTCACTGTGGGCCTCTCCCATCAGTGATTTGGTGCTATTTGTGGCCTCTGCAGGCATGGACATATCCTGTTGACATTACAAAATAAAATGGATGCAAATATTATTGTTTAGTGTCTTCCAATTTCTTGGATCCTTAAATAGCTGCCAACATCGCTCTTCAGTTATTTATGTACACAAAGAGCTATTTCTGAATATCCGTCCTAATTTTCTTCTGGCCTGTTCCCTGCATATTAATGTATTCCAATGAATCCCACCCATTCCAAAGAGAACTGAAGCAAGCTTGTGGCTTGTTTAGATGTGGTCCAAGTCTGTGTGGTCCCCTCAGGGAGGTGTAGTAAGGATTTCTCAGAACCGGTGTTTGCGTGTGAGGGAAGCCTGCTGAGCAGAGAGCGTTTACATTGCCCAGTGTTCCGAGTGCTTGAGTTTCAATAGTTACCTTAGTTTATTAGGACCTTGGAAGAGTACCAAAGCTGTGAGTTCCTGGGAGTTTTCCGTCAAAATCAGTCCTCTGGCATGGTAAAGAATATGTTTGTAAAGGAACAAGAAAAAAATATATAATTTTTCTAAATATATATATAGGAAATGTATATATATATACACATATAATATATATATAGACAAAATAAAAATATATATTTGATCTCTGGCCCTGATTCCCAGCACAGAGCTCCTAACTTCTTGGAATTTCCTGGGTGATGGGAGTCTTTTGTTCTAATGAAGCTCCTGGGAGGAGAATGGTCACTAGAAAGAACAGATTAGAAGCTTGGGAATTTCAGTCCTACCCCCATCCTCTGGGAAGACCTGGAGGCTGGAGATTGAGTTAATGATCAGTGATGTTCAAGTAACAAAGTCTTGTAAGAATCCCAGAACTCTGGGGTTTGGGGAGCTCCAGGGCTGCTGAACATGTGGAGGGTAGCCCACCCGGAGAGGGCAAGGAAGCGCACTTCCCCTCCCATACACCTCGCCCTGCATATCTCTTCATCTGGCTGTCTTCTGTATCCTTTATTGTATTCTTTATTACATAGTAAGCTGGGAAATGTGTTTCCCTGAGGTCTGTGAGCCATCCCAGCAAATTATGAAATCCAAGGATGGGGTCGTAGGAACCCTGGTTTACAGCTGGTCAGTCAGACATATAGGTGACAACTTGGCACTTGTATTTGGTATCTGAAATGGGGGGCAGTCTTGTGGGACTGAACCCTTAACCTGAGGTCTGTGCTAACTCCAGTTAGTATCAGAATTGAATTGAATTGTGGGACACTCGGCTGGTGTCATTCAGCTGGTGTCAGAGTATTCCTTGACATCGCTTCAATCCCTGGTCACAGAAGTGTGTGGAGTGCAGGTATAGAAAAGGAAAAGTAGGGCCGGGTGTGGTGGCTCACGCCTGTAATCCCAGCACTTTGGGAGGCCAAGGTGGGAGGATCATGAGGTCAGGAGATCAAGACCATCCCGGCTAACATGGTGAAACCCTGTCTCTACTAAAAATAGGAAAAAATTAGCCAGGCGTGGTGGCAGGCACCTGTAGTCCCAGCTACTCGGGAGGCTGAGGCAGGAGAATGGTATGAACCTGGGAAGCAGAGCTTGCGGTGAGCCGAGATCGCTCCACTGCTCTCCAGCTTGGGCAACACAGTGAGACTGTGTCTCAAAAAAAAAAAAAAAAAAAAAAAGACAAGGAAAAATAGTTGTTTTTTATCTATCTCACGTTTATTTTAGATTACTCAAAATAAGCATATCTGAGCTTATATCTGCTGTGCAGAGCAACGAAAACATTTATGGGAGGGTAATGGCGGTAAACACTGTAACTTCATGCTGACGTTAGGTGGTAACTTCTCTTCGATAATTCAAGCTACCTAGTGATAATGTAAGTTCTTTATTGCACTTCAAAAGTATTTCTCTGTCCATGGAGGGCATTTCTTCTCAAAACACTTTGTACTTCCTTATGAAGTTGGAATATTTGCTATGGAAACCAAATTGTTCTTCCTTTGGCCTGCTGAAAATTAGAAAATAAATTTTGTGTGGTCAGTAGGTTATTGTTTTAAACTTAACTACATGAGATTAACTTCTGGAACTGAGATGCCAATGATGCAATTTCAGAATGCAGTTGTTGCACTCATTAAACACCACAGTTTGGGAAGGATCCCTGATCCACTTGGTGCTCAGTGGCTTTCTCAGCCTAACAGGGACATAGTTTGAAGAGTCTTAAACAAAAGTTACATAAGAACCGCAGATGACTAGCTGTTGGTTCCATAGGTAGATTTTCTTTTATTATCTTAGTTTTCAGCTTTATTGAGGTACAACTGACAAACAATAATTGTGTATATTTAAGGTATACAACATGAGGATTTGTTGTATGTACACATTATGGAATGATCACCACAATCAAGCTAACACATTCATCACCTTACATAGTTACCTGTTTTGTGTATGCATGGTGAGAACAGCTAAAATCAACTCTCTTAGCAAACTTCAAGTGTACGATACAGTATTACTCACTATAGTCACCACGTTGTCCATTAGGCCCTTCAGAACTTATTCATTTCATGATGAAAAATGTATATATTTTGATACCATTTCCCCCTTCCCTCCTTGGCAGCCACCACTCTACTCTCTGTAAATCATTCTTCTTGTCATTAGTCCCCTGTCAGAACTCTGTCGTGGCCCCTTCCAAACCTCCCCCTGAGCTATCAAAGCTTTCATTTACTGCCTCGGTATAATTAATTTTCAGTGCTTATTTGGCCAGATCGGACCTACAGCCCTCAGTGGTCTTTAAAGTGAAAAAAGTGAAAAGTCTTTAGCATGAAACCTTTGATGTGCATGTTGTGTGAGCGTATGTGTTTGAGTGTGTGGGTGTTCATGTGTAGTTTCATGAACGTGTGTGTGGGTTTTCATGTGTGTTGAGTCAGTGTGTATCATATGTTGTATATGGGTGTTATATGTATGGTGTGAATGTACGTGTTTGTTGTGTGTGTTTTGTGTGTGTTGCATGTGCTCTGTGGCTGTGTGTTGCATGAATGTGTGTCGTGTGTGCATTGTGTGCACGTGCCAAGTACCTGGCATGTATTTTACTAGGTGCTTAGTAAACATTTGTCACATGCAGGAAAGGCACAATTCCTGCCTCCATGAAGCTCACTGTGTAAACTCACAGGTGAATTGTCAATTCCTTAGGCACAGGGTCTGCGTTGTGTTCATTTTTCTGTCCTTCAGTGTCACACAGAGGCAGGCAACTCCGGCATAAAATGTGGGGCTCAGATGGGAAACAGGTATTGTATAATGAAACACAAATTTGCTCTCAATTCAGGTTTCCTGAAGCAGAAGCTTGTTTTCTTCAATTCACCTTTGCACACACTACACAATCCCATTCACTATTATGTTTGTCATGTATTATCCCTCCACGCTCTGCAGGTGGGTAGGGATTTGTTGGATTTGTTCCTAGATACACCTCAAGTACCTGGAACACTGCCTAGTACATGGTGTGCGCACAATAAAAAATTGGTTTAATGATCAAATGTAAGAGTAAATGAGTTCCGGCACATGTGGTCCACATCCGGGTTTTTAGCAGAACATAGGTATTATGATGTCTGTCACAGTTCACTCTAAATCTCAGCTGGTCTTGGCAAGCAGCTGCTTGGGGACTCTTCCTCTTGCTCCTGTCAGGCCCTAGTGTTAATCTGCATCCTGCAGGGTTTCCCTCTTAGGCTGTCATCATGGAGCTGGCCCCCGGGAGATGGCTCATCCTGCTTGGTCAATGGCCACGCTGTGCCCTTGGGTCCTTGCTGCAGCCTGTGCACTGTATGCCATTGACCCAGGGGTCTGGGACATCCAGCCACCCGGTGCTGACCACCATGGACTTTGCTGTTGCCTGCAGATGTCCGCCCCCCAACCCCCTGGTTTCTCTCCAGGCATCTTCTGTTCCTCTGGTTTCTCTCGCAACTTCTATCCCCCTCCTCGGTGCCTAGGAATTCTTGTCAGCTTCCTCCGCTTTGCCAGAGGCAGCCCTTGCAGCTGTGGAGCCACGTGTCACTGAGCACTGCCTTCTGGAAAGAGACTGCCATTTCCAGGCTGCTCCTCCACCAGCCCGGTGACTCAGTTTCTACTCCTTCTTCTGGAGTTGACCATCAGAGCTGAGCTCTTGCCTTCCTTCTTTCTCCTTCTGCAGATCTTCCCTCTAGCTCTACAGGAAGGGCCTCCCTGGCTGTGTGGTCAGAAGGTCTCCACTGTCCAAGTCCAGCCTGGCTTACTCTAGGGTTTATGGGTCCAGTCTTCCTCCATGACTCTTGAGATGTCAAGCCCAGTTTGGGGAGTTCAAAAATACCATTTTCTCTCTCTCAACAAAGCCTAGCACATTTTTTAAAACCACATTTTAACATTTCTGAAATTAGGATGCATCTTGCAATGGATAGTAGGTCCTAGTTATTTGGCAGCATTTTTTTTCTTATTGTACATATTACAGCTAACGATATTTTTGCTTAGGCTGTTGTCTTGCTATGGATTTAAACTCTATACTGGAGTTTAAAGCCATGCAACACTTTTTTGTTCTCAGCCTTCATCTTCCTCACCTCAAGGTAATAGATGCCTCTCCTTTAAAAATGTGAAGCTGCCAGGCAACCAGAATCAAGAAAAGGGCAGCCCTGGAAGATATACGTTTGTTTCATACATTCAAAAATAGGATTCCCAGTACCTAAGATCACCCTTTGAATCAATACACATGGGGCTGGACCACCTTAAGGCCATGGACTGGTTTCCATGCTATACTTTTAAATAAGGTCAAAGAAAAAATGTGTCCATCTCACAGGGGCCTGGCCTTCCTGGAAGAAGAAAACATACTGGTCAGTAAATAAGAATAGCTGGGCCCTTTGGCAGTTATAGATGTAATTTTCCACGAATAAGGCAGAATTGCATTCCACGCCTCTGTCTCATGAGAACATAATGAGTGTGAGACATGGAGAGACTGCATTTCTGAGTCAGGCCTGCTGAGATACAGGCCTAAAACTTTTATACTGAAGTCAGAGTTTTCTGTGTCAGTTCTCTCTCTCTCCCTGTCTCCTATGCACACATGCGCACAGAATAATGAGTGAGTGGACATGAAATAGAGAAGTGCTGTACCTGGCAATAGCAACTGAATCTAAAAAAAACAGTTTACTAACAGGCGTGAGTGAGGGGCGCTCAGTTATGAGTTGGTGATTTTAAGTATCAGGATCAGGTATGGGCCAGGTTTGTTCAAGCGAAAAATTGTAGTTAATATTCAGAAGGGCCTCGTGAAACCCAAGAGCAAGGACATAGCCATGTTTCTGGAAGAACTGGGACCAGCCAGGGAGGTTGTCTGCCAGGGTCTGAAGGAATCATTCTTCATTTCTTGTCTCCATTCCTTGCTTTTCTCTCTCTCTCTTTGAAAACTGGCTTTCCTTGTTTTCAGAAAACACAGTCACTCTGCATCTCCCAAGTGATGTTCAGAGCTAAACACTTTGTTTTGACTCCATCTATAACACATATGCATTAACTCCATGTATTTCAATGTAAAATTCTTGGGGAGAGCATGTGAATGCTGTAGCTTTGGGTCTAGCAAATATTCTTGGCCCCACCAGTCATGGCCAAGGTGTCTTTTAGGCTCATGCCTGTAGACTGAAAGCAGGGATCAGGGAAATTGGTTTACTTTAGTAAGAAATATAGGCATGCTGAGCAAATATCAACTGAGTAAACATCAACTGAAATACATAGAAATCATGAAAGATGGAATGCAGTATACTCACTCTATTTCCTTAAGGTACTTCTGCATTCCGATGCAATGTTTGTTGATTCAAAGGATAATGTAATAAAATGCCAAAGTTTTATCAATCAGAGACATTTGACTGCACATGTAATAATTCCATGCTATCTTTATTATCTGTGAAATTGTGTTTGTGTCTTATGGGACAAGTGTCATGAAACTCATTTTGAGAAGCAAGCTGAGATTTTGTAATAAATACATTTAGCTTTTTTTTGGAATGAGGCATACCCAGAGGTCCATGTTTAAAACAAATTAGAGTAAATCAAAGTAGCATTTACCATAAATATTAACGGTAAATGAAAAGGCTAGGGGAAATCTTTTTAAATTGTATCAAAATAATACTTTGTTTATACATAGGACAGCCACAGTGGCTCACACTTGTAATCCCAGCACTTTGGGAGGCCAAGGCAGACAGATCACCTGAGGTCAGGAGTTCCAGACCAGCCTGGCCAACATGGCGAAACCCCACCTCTACTAAAAATACAAAAATGTTAGCTGGTCATGGTGGCGTGCACCTATAATCCCAGCTACTTGGGAGGCTGAGGCAGGAGAATCTCTTGAGCCCTAGAGGTGGAGTTTGCAGTTAGCCGAGATCACGCCATTGCACTCCAGCCTGGGTGACAGAGTGAGACTGTGTCTTAATAAAATAAAATAAAATAAAATAAAATAAAATAAAATAATGTAACATGAATTCAATGTAAAAAAATTTAGAAATATGCCTACAGTGCCTCATATGGGTCTTTCTTGGTTGATAGGAATGAGACTTGGCAGAGATTAGGAAGGAGATGGTGAACAAGAGGGAGAAGGAGAGAGGTGAAAGGGATGGAAAGGGGAAGAGGGAAAGAGAAAGGGGTTTATCTTGTGAGATCACCTAAGTAAAGTACTCACACACTACCTCCTCTATTCTTGAGGCAGGGAAAGGTTAGACAAGGGTGCTGTGGGAGCTGGCAGGGTGGACACCTGTATTAGTCTGTTTCTGCACTGCTGTAAAGAAATACCCGAGACTGGGCACAGTGGCTCATACCTGTGGTCTCAGCATTTTGGGAGGCTGAGGTGGGCAGATTGCCCAAGGTCAGGAGTTCAAGACCAGCCTGGGCAACATGGTGAAACTCCATCTCTACTAAAAATAGAAAAATTAGCCAAGCATGGTGGTGCGCCTGTAATCCCAGCTACTCGGGAGGCTGAGGCAGGAGAATCGCTTGAACCCAGGAGGTGGAGGATGCAGTGAGCTGAGATTGCGCCACTGCACTCCAGCCTGGGTGACAGAGCAAGACTCCATCTCCCCCCCACCACTGCCCCCCCAAAAAAGAAATACTTGAGACTGGGTAATTTATAAGGAAAAGAGGTATAATTGGCTCACAATTCCACATGGCTGGGGAAGCCTCGGGAAACTTATAATCATTGTGGAAGGGGAAGCAAGTGCATCTGACATGGTGGCAGGCGGGAGAAGTGAAGTGAGAGCACAGGAAAAACTGCCACTTTTAAAACCATCAGATCTGGCCGGATGTGGTGGCTCATGCCTGTAATCCCAGCACTTTGAGAGGCCGAGGCAGGTGAATCACTTAAGGTCAGGAGTTTGGGACCAGCCTGGCCAACATGGTAAAACCCTGTCTCTATTAAATACAAAAATTAGCTGGGTGTGGTGGCTGGCACTTGTAATCCCAGCTACTCGGGAAGCTGAGGCAGGAGAATCACTTGAACCTGGGAGGCGGGGGTTGCAGTGAGCTGAGATTGTGCCATTGCACTCTAGCCTGGGTAACAGAGCAAGACTCTGTCTCAAAAAATAAAAAAAAATAAGACCTCCTGAGACTCACCCACTATCACGAGAACAGCATGGGGGAACCACCGCCATAATCCAATCACCTCCCATCAGGTTCCTCCCTTGACACATGGAGATTACAATCCAAGATGAGATTTGGGTGGGGACACAGAGCCAAACCATATCCTCACCCTTGCGGCTTGCCAGGCTGATGGCAGGGAACCTCTCATGGTGGCTCTTCCTCGGCTACCACACAACCGTCTAGAGTCCATTGATTGTTTAGCACATGCTGCCTTTACTCTGTAGAGTGTCTTGCTAGGAAAACCACAGGAGAGAACACATGCTTGCAACTCCCTTCATCATCTTTGCATCAAGAATAATTCTTGTCTCAACAACAAACAAACAAACGAAACCAATAACGAAAATTCTTCATCATATTTGCATCAAGAGTAATTCTAGCTTGGATTTAGACTGGCACAAACAATGTCTCCTGTTCTTCTTGGTCGTAGCTCTTGATAAACTTATTATTGTTTCATGGACTGGGAGCTTCCTGGGGAAGTGAAGGGGAGAGTTTCTGGCATGGGTTGAGGACAGTCATGAAGGTATGTTCAGAATGAAGTCACATGTAGCAGTCAGGATAGATAGGCAAGATACAAGGAAGAAGTGGGGTATCTAAAAGGGAGAAAGAAACACAGAAAGTTGGGCCTTGTTAGGCCCTTCCAGCCCCACTGTGGCACTCACTGCTGGGGTATCAGCTGACATGGTTAGGTGAAGTCCTCCTGGTGGTCTTGGGTGTAATATTTCAAAGCAGTGCTCACATTAATAAAAACAAGGTCTAATTAGTTGTCTGTGCTTCTAAAGGAAGACTGAGGAATGCGAAGAGGGTCTGTAATACACAGTTTCCCAGGGGCCCATCCATGAACAAAACTCTTTTGTGATGCCTGGGATGCAATAAGACACGGAATTTGAAATGGTTCTTCCCAGAAGACTTATTGCTGAGTAGGTCACAAACCATTGACGAGGAGTGGAATACAGTCAAGAGTGAATGAGTAGACAATCAGGAAAAATCAAAGAAGAAAATAGTGTCTTCAGCTCCAACCATTACCTTTTTTGAGGGACTGATTAGAAGGTTTAGATCAGTGGTTCTTAACTTCAACAGCCTTATAATGCTCTTTTTCTTAATAACTATTTCATAATATCCCCTAAGTGAAATTCATTGACAACATAACCTACTTAAGCATGATATTAAAAATTTAAATGTATTACCTTAGCTATAATGTAAAGAAGATATAAAAGGTAGTCCATATTCAGTTTCATACATACATGTGTAGACACGACTGAGCTAGAAGACAGAAAGGAGTTGTCAGATGCTTGAGCTATACACAGAGAAGTCTTTAATGCAGCAGCTGCAAATGCAGGCTGAAACAGCTTGTGCCTCGCTGGAGAGCCAAATAACATGAGTGGCATTGCTGTTGGGGATGTGGTTTTCTTCCTCCCATGGTGAAAGATCTTTTATAAACTTACAGAAGAAAATCAAGTTTAACTTGTCCTCAATTGACATGGTAGCTGCTTTTCTGGAAAATTTATACGTATTAAAACTGTGCGAAAAATACTTTGTGTTTATATGACAAACAGAGCTAGGCTTCAGACTCAGATTTTTATCTCCATTGAGGTCTGGTGAGATGTTTGAAAGGTTTTTTTTTTTTTTTAAGGATAGAGGACAATTTGTTGTGCTGTGCTGTTCTAGGTGTTGCAAAATGTCTAGTAGCCCCAACTTCTGCCTGGTAGATGCACACCCAACCAAAAATACTCCCGCTTGTATTTAAAACTCACTTAGGTTATAGCTAATTCCCAGGCACTGTCTGTAGAGATTCTGCTCAGGTAGGGCTCTAGAATGTCCAAGAGGCTGCACAGCTAGGCATGGGAACCACGGATTCAAGCCATCCCTCTCTCTGACTCACCAGATCCCTCTGACATATCTTGGGCCAGTGGCTGTCCAGCCTGGGTTTTAAGGAGCTGGGTTTCAGTGAAGAATGTCAGTAGGTTCAGTTCTCTTCCCAGCCCTTTTAATGCAGAGGCCCCCTTGTCAGCCTAGAAGGCTGTTCTAAGCTCCTGTGCAAACCCCTCTTGTGAACCCTTGGGTGTGGCCATCCTGGAGATGGTTGACTGGTGATCCAGATTTCAGCCTCTCCCTTCTCTGCTTTGCCCAGTGTCATGTTCAGGCCCCCGGCTTTGTCAAAAGAGAGAAACACTTTTCCCTGGGTCTCAATCCTTTGAAGTTCCATTGGGTGAGTCAGCTCCCCACTTAGCTTCAGAAGGATCCAGGACAGGTTGTCCTAAAATTAATACCTGCACATTCATGGACAGTGCATGGTGAGAGGAGGCAAAGATGGCAGAGACAACTATAACTGGTTGTGGAAAAGAGTTGAGGGAGAGAAGAGAAAATATTATTAAATGGAAGAGATTGAAAAATACTGAAATCAAGTGCAAGAACCTTTAATGGGCAGAGTTAAATGACACATTTATTCATCCAATAAATATATAAAATGCATCTACCACCTACTAGGCTTCATTCAAGACAATGATAATACGGCAGTGTATAAAACAGACCAAAACCTACCCTCATGAAGCTTACATTCTAGAGGGGGTAGACAGTTAATTAACAAGAACAAGAAGTAATATATATAGTAAGTCAGATGGTGACACATGCTAGGAAACCCCAGTAGGGACTTCAGGTAAGACAGAGATGTGTGTGTGTGACTGTGTGTGTGTGTGTGTGTGTGTGTGTGTGTGTGTGTGTATCCATGCAACATCCAATGATCTGGGATACCTATTTGGCAACAAGAGAGGAAAATCTCTTTGGCAATAGTGATTTGGATGTTAGTAGTGTAGGAGGAATGAGAAAGCCATACTGCAATTATCAGGACAGGAAATGATTCAAGTTTGGATAGAACTTTTTAACAATGAAAAATGAAGAGAAACAAAACCACTTTCACATGGCAATAATTAAATTTCTGAGTTTACGTAAAGAATCTTATGAAACTTCTCATTCCAACCTTTTGTTTCCTTTAAGTTCTTTATTATCTTTGAGTGTTTAGATTTCAATTCTCGACAGTTCTTCACATATTGAATGAGTTTGCTCTCCTATCACACAGAGATCAAGTTATCTATGCATTTTACACTTGGTTACTTTAGACTTGAGTATTTGTGTCGAAATACCCTCCTTTTTAAATGTGGTTTTGGTTGATGCTTTTGGAATGAGGAATTTATCAGCTGTGGTGACTCGTATATACTCTGTTAGCCAGAAATACTAGCTTACTCTTTACCCGAAAACTCCCTATTCCAAAATGACATCACACTATGAGTTTATGCCTAATGAAGCTCCAGTAACATTTGCTTATTTGCATAGTAGAAATACTGTCAGGTACACGAATTTTCAGTAATTTTCTCAATACCTCTATGGTATTACTGAATAGGTATATCATGCTCATTTTATACGTTCAAAGAGGCTGAGTATATAAATACCCAAATATAATGAATGTTTGGCAGGTAATGATCATCTCTATCATTGACTATGTTTAAATACTTTTTATGTATTAACTTATTCTCTCAACAACCCAATAAGCTGGGGACTATTGATAACATTATTTTGCCATCAAGGGAATTGAGGCATAAGAGAAGTTAAGTAACTTGCTTAGTGCCACACAGATAGTATATTGTAGAGCTGGGATACATTTGGGGCAGTTGGGCTCCATTGCCTATGCTAGTAACCATCATTCTGCACTTCCTCTAGTTCTAAAGAGCAAATCTCAAACTCCTACATGTTTTAGGGTGATTTTTAACTTTACACACAATGGCAGTGGTCAGTGGTAGAACAGTAAAAGGCAGCAATGTGAAGGGGGAAAACGATCAGTTTTGGAGAGTGTGTTGGATCCCGGTTCAGTTATTTTACTCATTGGGTAATCTTGGGCAAGTTCCTTAACTTCTCTAGGATGTCTGTTGCTGTCTACAAAACAAGAGTAGTAGCCAGTGTGGTGGCTCACTCCTGTAATCCCATAGTTTTGGGAGGCTGATACAGGAAGATCACTTGAGGCTGAGAGTTTGTGCCCAGCTTGGGCCACATAGCAAGACCCTGTCTCTAAAGAATAAAAAAGTAAACAATAAATAAGCTGGGTGTGGTGGTCCAGGCCTGTAGTCCCAGCTACTTGGGAGGCTGAGGTGAGAGGAATACTTGAGCCCAGGAGATTGAGGCTGCAGTGAGCCAAGATGGTGCTACTGCACTCCAGCCTGGGTGACAGAGTGAGACCTTGTCTCAACAACAAACAAACAAAAGAAATCAACAATGAAACCCCAAAAACCTACAACAACAACAACAACAACAACAACAACAACAACAACAAAACCAAAACAAGAACTCCTTCCCAAAGAAAAGTAGTAAACCATTCATGGTTATAAGCATTAAATGTGATGTCCTATTAAAGTGTCTAAATCATGGTCAGGAACCCGATAGGTGCTTGAAATCTAGAAATTTCATTCCTACATAAGGGCCAATTATTGAGCATAGGTCAGATGACCAGTTAAGAAAGCTGCGGTGCAGTAAATTGGAAAGGGAATTGGTGATGTTGGGGAATTCAGGGCAGGATTTGTACCCCCTAAAGGAGCAGTTCAAATCTCAATGATGACTTAGGATGTAGGTCCTTATGGTGAACCTGACAGGGGCTGCTGTGCTGTGAAGTATTGCTTTGAAATCGGGGTCAGGGGTGAAGCAGCTGTTGACGAGGGTGCCCCTCTCTTCTGACCTCTTGGCCTGCCCTTTCTTCTTGCTCCTATGTAGACACTTTCATGAACTACACAGTGGTCTCAGAGGGCTGCAGAAGCTTTATGTAGAGCAGACGTTCTTGAACTTTCGGTCTAAAGACACCTTCGTACTCTTAAAAACTCTCAGAACTTTAAAGAGCTTCTGTCTACCTGGTTAATTCTATTGATATTAAGCACATTAGACATGAAAACTGAGAAATTAAAAAAATAAATTTTTAACAATTATTTAAAAATGCCGATAAACTCATTGCCTGTTAACATAAATCTCTTTTATAAAAACAATTATTTTTAAAAAACGAAAGTATCAAAAAGAATTACCTTTTTTTACTTTGTTTACATTGTTCTGGAAATCTCTTTAATGCATTGCTCAACAGAATACAGATAAGTTCTCATATCTGCTTCTGCATTCAATGTTGGAGAAGTTCTGCATCATGCGGTCTCTGGAAAAGTCCACTGTACGTGTGTATGAAAAAGACACATACCATGTTTGAATTATTATGAAAGTAGTTTTGACCTTGAAGACTCTGAAAGGATCTCAGGAACCTTTGAGAACTGATAATATAACGTATCTTTTTCTTGGTAATAATGTTTTTGAACATTCTCAGTATTCCCTCTCAGCTTCCTCCTGGTGCCTGTGTTCAAGCAATCACAATTGCTAATGATTCTTCTTGCAAAATTCTTAGGTTTGGCAACCCTGGAAATAGTAGATTTGATCTTTAGCTGTCTCCCTCACTCTTATCTTTCCTCTTTCCTTGACAGCTGTTCTTTCCTTTTCACTCTTGGTGGCACAAGCTTGGGAGGTTTTCCATCCAGGCTGGTGCCTCTTAACTTCTCTCTCTGCCTCTAGGGCCTGACAGCTGCCAGGCTGTCCTTTATCTGACATTGTTCACAGTTTACTTCCTTCCCCCAAAGTCTTGGTTTTGACTAAAATGTATTAATTCTTGGTTATGTTTTATAAAGATATCAAAAACTTTTTCAACCAAAGTTTAAAAAAGAATTTGCAGGGTGGGGGTGGGCATGTGTAAAGAATCTCAGGCATCTTCACTGATGAACTTCAGAAACTGTGTCAGTAGATTTCTGATGCCAGCCAGGATTGAGTAATAGGCCCTAGATTTACTTTCTCATAAGAAACAACTAAATTACTCTACAAAATATGCAAAACCAGGGTTTTTAAGAATTGGACATCAGCTAAGGAAGGATAGTGATCCCTGAGAGGCAGAAAACAAAGCCCTGTGACTTCTCCTGCTTACTGATGTGAGAGTTTCCAGGCCATGGCACAGGGAAGCGTGACCCAGGCAGAGTCAGTGAGAAGACTACCCAAAGTCAGAAAAAGCGCCTCCCTAAAAGATTAGATGAAATAGTGGACAGGAGGAGGAATAATTCCTATTCTCACCAGCCAGACTGGAAAGTCTCGTAATTCATAGGGATTTGTTAGAGGACTCAGAAGCATCAAGCTTCAGAAGTGGGATAAAATGAGTCCTAGAGTGAATGGTGCTGTGGTCCTGTCTGCCGAGTCTTAAAAGCAAGATCCAAAAGAATCAAACTATTCTCAATAACTCAAATGCATCCTAAGACACAAAAATATTCAGCATCTAACAAGTTAAAATCCACAATGTTTGGCATTCAACCAAAAAATTACCAGGTATGCAAATAAGGATGATAATAATGCAGAGGAAAATGAGTCAAAACCAACCAAGAACTAATAGAGATGTTAGAATTAGCAGACAAGGACATGGAAACAGTTTTTATAACTGTATTCCATAAACACAGAGGTAAGTAGAGAAACAAAAGACGTGAAAATGCCTGCGTCTAACTTCTAGAGATAACAACTACAATTTCTGAGGTAAAAAAAATGACTGGATGAGATTAATAGCAGATTAGATATTGCAGAAGAATAGATCAGTGAATCGAAAGACATAACAATAGAAACTATAAAAAAAAACCACAGAGGAGGAAAAACAAACAAGTAAAGAACAGAGCATCACGAAACGGTGGGAAAATTTCAAGTCACCAAATACACATGTAATTGGAGTCACTCAAGGGAAAAAGGGAGTGACAGGAAAAATATTTGAAGAAATAATGGCCAGGAGTTCTCCAAGCTGAACTGAAAATTACAAACCCACATACCCAAGAAGTTCAGTGAACCTTAAGAAACTTGAGGACAAACACATCATTTCATCATAATTAAATTTCTTAAAATCAGCGATAAAGAAAAAATCTTAGAAGCCTGAGGGAAAAAATACGCCTACCAAGAAACAGCAGTGACACAGATGGTAGCAGATTCCTCATAGAAACAATGCAAGCTAGAAGAGTTTGGAGCATGATCTCTAACATACTAAAGGAAAAAATTGTCAACCAAGAATTTTATACACAGTGAAAATATCTTTCAAAAACAAAGACACAATAAAGCCATTTCAGATATATAAAAGCTGAATTAATCACTAACAGACCTGCACTACAAAAATGTTAGAGGAAATCCTTCAGACAGAAGGAAAAGGATACTAGATGGAGATCTGGATCTATCCAAAGGATAGAGCACCAGAAATGCCAAATTATTATTTAAATGACTTTAAATGAAAATTATTTAAACAGAAGTAATAATGATGTAGTGTGAGGTTTATAGGATATGTAAAAGTAAAATGAATGACAAAATAGCACAAAAGTCACGCAAGGGAAAATGAAACTATACTATTTTAGGGTTCCTGTATGTAGGGTGATACAGTATCATTTATAGGAACAGTTTTAGCACTAAATACCTGTTTTAAAAAGAAGAAAATTGTCAAATTGGTGACCATAGCCTCCACCTTAAGTAACTAGAAAAAGGAATAAATTACACACCAAACAAGCAAAAGATAAGACATAATAAAGATCAAAGCAGAAAGCAACTAAATAGAAAACAGAAATACAATCAAGGACATCAATGACACCAAAGCTTTGATGTCATTTGATGACACCTTTGAGAAGATCAATAAAATTGATAAACCTTTAGCTGGATTGACTGTGGATTAAAAAGAGAAGACAGAACAATCAATGGTAGGAACTAGGTAATATCACTATACTACACCACAAATAGTAAAAGAATAATAAGGGAATACTAGGAACAAAATTAGGCATAAAACATATACTTTTAGATGAAATAGATAAATTCTTTGAAGGACCCAAGCTACCAGCTTCATTCAAAAAGAAATAGATGACTTGACTAGCCCTCTATCTACTAAAGAAATTGAATTTGTAGTTAAAAATCTTCCCACAAGGCGCAGTGGCTCACACCTGTAATCCTAGCACTTTGGGAGGCTGAAGCAGGAAGATCACGAGGTCAGGAGATCAAGACCATCCTGGCTAACACGGTGAAACCCCATCGCTACTAAAAATACAAAAAATTAGCTGGACATGGTGGCGGGCACCTGTAGTCCCAGCTACTAGGGAGGCTGAGGCAAGAGAATGGCATGAACCCAGGAGGCGGAGCTTGCAGTGAGCCCATATCGTGCCACTGCACTCCAGCCTGGGCGACAGAGCAAGACTCTGTCTCAAAAAAAAAAAAAAAAAAATCTTCCCACAAGGCAAATTCCAGGCCCAGATAACACGTCTTGTGAATTCTACCAAACATTTAAAGAAAATATAATAGTAATTCTACTCAAACTCTTCCAGAAAATTGAATAGGAGTAAATGCTTCTCAACTCATGAGTTCTCCCCAACTCTGTGAGGCTAATATTACCCAGATATCAAAACCAAACAGGACATTACATGGAAAGTACAGACCAGTATTCCTCATGAGCATAGATATAAAATTCTAAACAAAATAGTAGTAAATCAAATCCAACAGTATATAAAAAAGCTAATGCATCGTGACCAAGTAGGTATTATCCCAAGAATGTAAGATTGGCTTAGCATTGGAAAAATCCATAAATGTAATTCACTATATTAGTGAAACTAAAAAAAGAAAAACAATCATATAATTGTCTCAACAGATGCAGAAAAAGCACTTGGCAAAATCCAACATCTATTCCTGGTGAAAACTCTTAGCAAACTGAGAAGGAAACTTCTTCAATCCAATAAGGGATGTGTACGAAAGGTCTATAGCTAACATCATACTTAATGAAAGCTATCCTCCTAGGATCAGGAACAAGGCAAGAACATCCACTTTCCCCACTTCTATTTAACAGTGTATTAAGGGATCTAGCTGGTGCAAAAAAAAAAAAATCAAGATATGAAATAAAAGGTATCCAGATTGGAAAAGAAAAGAAATTCTATTTGTAGACAACATAGTGGTCTATGTAGGAAACACTATGGAATCTATTAAAAATCTACTAGAACTAATAAATGAGTTTTGGAGGTTATAAGATCAATATACAAAAATCAGTTGTATACTAGCAATGAGCATTCAGGAATTGAAATTTAAAAACAATAGCCTTCACAATAGCATCCAGTAATTTGAAAAACAGGAATAAATCTGGCCAAAGATATGCAAGATCTGTACGTGAAGCGGTGTTGATGGCAGAGACTATTCTGCCCCTGAGCCCACGATGTGCCTGGCACTGTTCTTGTCGGTGCACTCAACCCTTCCTGTCTTAGGCTGCTCTCTCTGCAGTCTGTTCAGGGTCTTTCCAAATTACCAGCTTTTTCTGGGTACTTCAGATACCTGCATCACTACTTTCTTTCTTTTCTTTCTTTTTTTTTTTTGAGACAGAATTTCGCTCTTGTTGACCAGGCTGGAGCGCAATGGCACAGATTTCGGCTCACCGCAACCTCCGCCTCCTGGGTTCAAGTGATTCTTCTGCCTCAGCCTTCCGAGTAGCTGGGATTACAGGCATGTGCCACCACGCCCAGCTAATTTTGTATTTTTAGTAGAGACGGGTTTTCTCCATGTTGGTCAGGCTGGTCTCGAGCTCCCGAGCTTAGGTGATCCGTCCACCTCGGCCTCCAAAAGTGCTAGGATTACAGGCATGAGCCACCATGCCCGGCCTGCATCACTACTTTCAAGAAGATAGCAGAGAAAACAGAAAAAGCAATCAATACTTTCTCAATCACCATGTTCTTCCTGAGGGTCTCTCCTTCTCTTGAGACTGCAGAAGGAAGAAACTCTCATCCTAGTAAACTTGTGGCTTTCCTCTTCTTTTAAACTTTTACATGCTGGGACTCATTCTTCGTGTTCTTAGGAAAACCTGGGTTCTGGGTGCATACCTACACCTGTTTTTCACGGGCATCTTCTAATTTAGAGACTGTTTCCCTGTGTCATTATTTTCATGCCCAGATTTAGCTGGGATATTGCTAGGTTATTTACAAGCACACAGCTAATATGTCAAAGGAACAAGGCAGAGGACCATAACTCATTTTTTTTTCTTGGAGAATAAACAAAAAGGAATGACAAAAATGTAGAACATGGTAAGATTTTACAATTTTATTGGCTAATATAATGCTATCTAAAATCTGTTTTTTTTAAAATCAAAAGGTAATAAACACTCTGTTGCTGATTTTATGAACCTATGCCTGGGAACCACAGTGTTGCCTCTGCTGGATATCACTGTGGGGGCAGCAGAACTTTGTGGGCGGTACCTACAATAAAAAATGCTTTACGCTGTTCTTTGTAGCTGACTGCTTCTGACATTCTGAGCATTGATCGAGTTGCCTATGAATGTTTTGGGACAGGGGATGAAGACACTCCTCACCCCTACAAAGTACATGCATTCCTATCTCTGAAGCTCTTATATTTATTTTTACTAAAAAATTAGAATATAGGCATGAATCCATGTATTTACAAAGTATTATGTTAATGAATGTAACAATTATAATGTTATTCAAACTGAGAATCTAATATACAGAGGATATGTGAGAGCAGGTAGGATTTGATCAAGCAATGAAATACAGAACGAATGATCACCTGGTTGATCAAAAGGAAAGAGGAAGAGTGTGAAGAAGATTCTTGCTCGAGTACGGATTTAAAACGACCAGATTGTCCATTTTGGATGAAGACTGGCTTTCTAGAGAAGGACTTTTGTTCTAGAGTCCCTGAATTATCTAAACCTTAAGCAGCTATGTCCAATGAACATTTTGCGGTGAAGGAATGTCCTATATCTGTTCTGTCTAATATGATAGCCTCTAGCAATGTGTGGGTATTGAGCTCTTGAAATGTGGCTAGTGCAACTGAGGGATTACATTTTTTATTTCATTTAATTTAAAATAATTTAAATAGTCATGTTTCCAGAGGCTACATGAATTGCACAGCACAGATCTGGAGGAATAAAAGGGAATCCAGTAGCCACCTTCTGAGACTCCATGCCTAAGTCACACTCAGGGGAACTCTGCCCAAAATCTTGTCCAGTTCTGGGTCCTAAGTCTTTCATGCCATTACTGGGGAATTCACTTGATAGGCTTCTATTATTCTCTGTCTCAGGAGGACTCAAGATCAGTGGCTTTGGCCTCTGAGGACAAACAAGCTTATATTCTAAATGGTATGCTGAGCTTTTCAGCAGGTCTAACTATCCCAGAGTAGGAACAACTCAGCACTGCCATCCAGGCTCTTAACACAGTAATCTACCCGTGATAGGGCAAGAAACAAAGAAGGAATCAGTGGTCCTATCGCCTCTTCTCCCAACCCCTGGGCCCGAGGCAGAGAACTTTCCTAGCTCCCATTGTCCCTCAGGGCAATCATGGATAACAGTATTTTTTTTTTTTTTTTTTTTGAGACGGAGTCTCACTCTGTCACCCAGGCTAGAGTGCAGTGGCACGATCTTGGCTCATTGCAGCCTCTGCCTCCTGGGTTCAAGCGATTCTCTTGCCCCAGCCTCCCAAGTAGCTGGGATTACAGGTGTGCACCACCATGCCAAGCTAATTTTTTGTATCTTTAGTAGAGACGGGGTTTCCCCATGTTGGCCAGGCTGGTCTCGAACCCCTGACCTCGTGATCTACCCTCCTCGGCCTCCCAAAGTGCTGGGATTACAGGTGTGAGCCACCGTGCCCGGCTGGATAACAGTAATTCTTGATGGAAAGCCATTCACCTATTGCTGAGCTGTTGCCAAGTTGTTTGTTCTGAAGAAATACAAGAGGAATGGTTGGGTGTGAATGTAATAGTTGGACATTAGGGAAATGATTAAGCAAATATGGCACTCCTGCATCTGACCAGATTTTTCTTCTTCCTTTGCTGATAGTGGCCTGCTCTTCACTCTTCCAAGTATCTTTACTAGTGGAGACTTACCTCTCATGGGCTCTGTTAGTTCCCAGAAAATCACTGAATGACAACACTAGAAACAAAATCATTCTAGTTAACATTTCCTCAAAAGTACATAGTTATAGCTACTTCTTTTACTCAAAATAGTATATTCAAAACTAAACCTATTTGACCATCTCATAGCTCTCAGCTTTTGTTTGCTGGTCATAATAATAATCTTAAGGAAGCCCTTTGTAATTGGACATTGCTCAGAGGTGATGCTGGAGAAGGGAGGATAGGTGTTGTTTAATTCTGAGACACCTTGCATGCTAGACTGAAGTTATACGGTACAAGATAAGCCATGGAGAACTGTGACACATTCCTGAGTACAGTCATTGTTTTGATGATCTATTATTTTGCTAGAATCTACCCTGAAACTTGATGACTCAAAACAACAGTGTATTATTATCTCTCATGATTTTGTGGGTTGATGAGGCTCAGCTAGGTGGTTCTCATTTGGGGCCTGTCATGCAGTTGTAGCCAGACAGCCACTAACTAGAATTGACTGGCCTAACATCCAAGATGGTGCACTGCCATGGCTGGAATGTACTTTGGCTGACAGCTGGGGCTGTGGACTGGAGCACCTGTACATGGTATACATGTGGCTCGAGCTTCCTAACACTATGGTGGTCTCGGGACAGTCATGGTCCTTACCTGGCAAGCTCTGGGCATCAAGACTGAGTGTTCTAAGAGTCCCAGGAAGAACCTGAAAGGCTTTTTATGATTGAGCTCAGAAATCCCAGAAAGTCAATTCCACCATATTCTATTGGTTGAAATTGTTTGAACAAGTCAATAAGCCAGTCCAGATTCAAGAGGAGGAAAATTAGACTTTACCTCTAAATTAGATGAGAAGCAAAGAATTTGCAGTTATCTTTAGTTTACCACATTGATCTTATTAAAAGGAAGCCACCTAGAGAAAATACATTGACAGTTATATTCAGAAAGATTAAAAGGTTGAAAGGCTCCAACACAAAAATCTAGATTTTGGAAATTGCTTGTGTAAAAGGAAAAGTGACAAAACTTAGAGATCAATTACAAAAAATTGCAGAAAACCAAAGATGGTGGGACTGTGTGGAATTACAAGGGAAAGAGTATTACATTTAAGAATAAGTTTAAAAAGGGTTGTATTCTTCCTACATGTCTGGCATATGATGGAGAACAGAGGTTAGAACAGGCACTTCTTGGATGATGGGAAGGGCTGCCTTTTGGGTGACCATAGACAGTTCAGTTCCTGGTGCTTCAAATTTTATGTGTTAAAGCAATCAGAAGCCAGTGGCATGAGAGACAGAGGCCACTAATCTGGTTCTGTTAGGTGTAACAGTACTTGGATGTCGCCAAGTCTATTGGCCTCTGGAACTTGCTGTGCTATATCTATTAACATGGGAAAAACCAGGTGCAAGAAGCCTCTTTCACTCATTTGCCTTCACTGAGCAAGATTCAAGCTGCAATTAGCACAAACAGTTGGCTGGTTTGCCTGTCACTTATGTCTTATCTTCCTCCTCTTATTAAGGAGGTTAAGAAATGGTTTATTGCCTATGACCGTCTTATGAAATATGTCACACTTTCTCATCAGCTCTTATTTCCTGTTCACATGTGGCTTTCTGGTTGGTAAAGGTTTTATTAAATCAGAGGAATTTGAACGGAAAGATAATCATAGTAGCCCACCACCAATTGCCTAGGGAAAGGGAGAGTGTTGAGTAGATTGAAATTGAGAAGTTGTAGTGAGAAAAAGTAAGGCGAAATGTAGATAAGAAAATAGTTACTTGAAAGTCAGCAGATGGAAAATGTATGAGAGGAGCGATAAAAAACCTAGGCTGTAGAAGGAAGTCCATCTAGGACAGTGGTTTCCAATCTTTGTTGTGGTTCTGTGAGAGTTTACTGGCAGTGCCATAAATAACAAAAATATGTGTAGCAAATTAAGAATCACAGAGGCCCTCTGTGCAAAAATGTAATTTTCTTTATTTCTTTACAATTGAAGCCAACTAGACTTAGGAATTCTCATTTCCACCTGATGGTAGAAAAAGATCTCACTAATTTAGAGTTGTTTTGTCCCCACTGGTTCAAGACTCAGTCTCTCTGGGGGTAGTAACACAATCTCTTCAGAATTCTTTCCTTCCAAACCCTGCATTTGTTTTTTCTGAAGGATCAATGGAGTTCTTTGGGGGTGGTGGGGCTAAAGTGGACCGAGCTGAAGAATGGTTGTCCTGGTGTCCCGGGAGGGGTTCTGGTCCATGAGTTATCCTCTGTTCTTGAAAACTTCAGCTAGGACCATGCTTGTCCCATCAGACTAGGTCCAAGGGCTCTTTGGTCTTCTTAGCTTCTGCACTGCCCCCTTTGAGTGTCTGGGGACTCTCAGCTGCTTTACTTGAACACTCTGGGATGCACTGGACTTTTCTCAAGGCAGCCTGTCCTCAGGCCCAGGCATATCTGCTGCCAGGCCTGCTGTTTGGCTCAGGCCATGTTGGACACGGGGGCTTTGCTATGACCCTGGTGGTGTCCAGAACTAGGCTGGGAAGCCAAATGGCATCCCTCTCTTCCAGTCTTCTCCATCAACCTCTTCAGTCAGGAGGAGGCCAGGTGATGCAGTTTGGATATTTGTCCCTGCCCAAATCTCATGTTAAAATGTAATCCCCAATGTTGGAGGTGGGGGCTGGTGGGAGTTGTTTGGATCATGGGGGTAGATCCCTCATGAATGGCTTGGGCCATCCCCTTGGTGATAAGCGAGCTTTTGCTCTGAGTTCACATGAGATCTGGTCATTTAAAAGTGAGTGGCACCTCCCGCACCTCTCTCTCGCTTCCTCCTGCTCTGGCCACGTGACGTACCTGCACCTCCTTCACCTTCTGTCATGATTGTTAGTTTCCTGAGGCCTCCTCAGAAGCCCAACAGATGGCAGTGCCATGCTTCCTGTATAGCCTACAGAACCATGAGAGAATTAAATCTCTTTTCTTATAAATTTCCCAGTTTCAGGTATTTTTTTATAGCAATGTAGGAATGGCCTAACACACCAGGATTTCTCTTATTAGGTGGTGCTGAAGAGTGGAAGCTCTGAGTCACTCCTCAGAAACCTTTCAGGGTCTAGTAAAGAGCAGCTCCCTCCCTCTGCTTCTCCCCTTCCCACCTGCTGGTCAACTCTGTTCCTTGGAGTGGGAACAAAAACAAATAGCTTTACATTACCATACATTCTTCTGTACTCCGTGGTTTATGATGTAAACCTTATGGTCTAAGTTGTCCAATACTTTGGCTTTGGAGGTTCAAGGAAAAAAAACATAAAATACTTCTTCTTTCAAGCCTAGCCTTAATGTTTATAATGGACAGTCTTTCAAAATGTCCTGCCACATGGGCCATAGGAGATGCTTTATTTTTCAGGCATTGGATTATGTTGTGTTGGTCAATATGATTTTGTTTCATGTGCATTATCAGAAACTCTTCCCAAAGAGGGTCCTGGGATCTGATCAGCTAGACAAGTGGAGGAGAAACTGAAAACCCTCAGGGGACAGGGTCTCAGTTAAGTCTCCTGAATGATAAGCATTTCAGAGGTGGGAGGGAGACACCCCGGAAGGTGTCCAGAGGCTAACAATGCTATTTCTGTTTCTTGTAAGTTTTTGTCCAAGATGTGGGCCATTGGATTGCATCACTAGCATACAATGTCAGTGTAAGCAGTAGGCTTTACACTAAAGCATGTTGATGTGCTCAGAGCATTTTTGTGGTGCTGAGACCAGAGCAGATAGGGATACAGGGATGACAGTCTCCACCTTACGGAAGCCTCCTACCCAGGGGATGGAGTGAGACAGGCAGGCACACCAGTTATCCAAGGAAAGGAAATAAAGGGAAGGAGAAAGTCAGTGAAAGTGGTCAGGATGGCTGAGTGAGGGAGAAGGTGACTTGAAGGTCCCAGATAGAACAGTGGTAATAAGGTGAGAAAGAGGAGGTCTTCCAATTCCATTTCTGTGTTGGGCGGGTGTTTGAGAGTCCCACCTGGGTCTAGAGGCCTGCATGTCTAGCAGGACACTGGGTAGGAGTGGCTGAACGGGGACAACACTTAAAAAAGACAAAAATTACGGATTTTATTTCTACATGGTTGCACAAATCAATTTCACTTTCTACTTGTAAACTGCTTAAAAACCTTCATTATGAAAATGGAAGGACGAATTTATGTTCACCATCATAGTGCTTCTGGGCTGGTTCCACAGCATGGAGCCAGGCCCACCTGCTGTAGCTTTCAGAACTGCCATTTGGACACGTGGTTGAAGCAGCCTTCAGTTGGAGGATTCACAGTAATGGCATCACTGTGGGAGCTTAGAGGAACAACTGCTTGCAACCCCAGCTGCACTGGAATTACCTGGGAGCTTTAAAAACACTGCCTTTTGGGCCTCAGCCCCAGAGACTCTGACGTGACTGATCTGAACACAGGAGTGTCATGTCCTCCGGTGATTCTGAGTGGAGTCAAGGCTGTGAGACCTTCTGCTGTATAAAGGAATATTGAGAGCTGGGATTGTTAAGGAATTCTCTTAATGCTACGTCACTGGCCTCTGATGTAAGCCTGCTTTCTCGAGGAAAAGGAACCATAAAAGCTTCTGGAAACAGATTGTTTAAGAATGAGAAATTGTCATCATGCCAGGTTGCAAGACAGCTTTTAGGGCAGATGAGCTTCTGCTGCTCATTCCTTCATCTTTTCCTCCAGCCTGGATTTGTCCGGGGGCAGCTGAGGCTCAGGTTACCTCAATTCTTGAGTTTCTGAAGAGGCATATCCAGGGGTGGGTTACGAGAACAAGAGCCTGCCCAGTCTGAAAGGGATGCAGGAAGGGGCGGTGTGTACTAGAAGGAAGGAAGCTATCATCATTTATTAAAACTCTTCTTGGAGGATGGCCCATGAAGACCTCCAAACAAGCTGGAGGGGCCAGTCACTTGCTGAAGACTAGCGAAGTGGAGGGGGAAAGCCCGAGGGAGCTGCAGACTCGACCACTGCGCCCTCCCCTCCTCTCCCTGCAAGGAGCCCAAGGTGTGATCCTGCCAGGCGTTCGTTCGCTGCATGACCTTGGCCATCCTTCCATTCCCCTGGGTGTGAATTCTCATTGGCAAAGTGAGCTGGTGGGCATAAGTGGGTTTTAAGTTTAAAAATTTAAAAACCCTGTCTGCCCCCAAGTGTGGTATCAAGATTTTATAGTATGACACTTAAATTGCTTTTTTCATCCGGGCGCGTAACAGCAACAATGAAACCAGCAGATAACGCGTGAGTAGTATCAGCTCTGGGCCTGGCACTATTTTATATGTATTAGCTCATTTTTTTTAAAAAACTGTTTTCAACCACTCCATGAGATGAGTGCTCTTATGATCCCTTTTTCACAGAAGAGGAAACGGAGGTACAAAGAAATTAGTGCACAAAGCCAGTCGGAGAGAGCCCCTGGCCAGGCACCAAGCTCCAGAGGTCGCTCTGGCGAGCGTTTGCTTCGGGATCTGATGCCCTGGAGTCGCCAACTCAATTCGCGGGTCGCAGCCAGGCTCCATGGGGGTAGTAGAGCCAGGTCGTAGTGGCTAGGTGAGTTGTCTCAACTAACTCTAGTGGAGCCGCCGCAGCCCTGGAGGAGCCGGGCCGCGACTCGAGAGCGCCCGGCAGCTCTCCAATGCTTTGGAACCGGCGGGACCCCTGCGGGCTACCCGGGGCAGGGCGGTGTCCGCAGGGGTCTGTCCAGCCGCGCCTGCTCCTCCGGGTGGAGAGTTGGGACACCCGGCCAGCTCGCTCGCAGCCCGCGGACTGGCCCAGCCGAGCCGTCTCCGCCCGTTCCCCGCCCCCGCAGCGGCGGGGCTAGAGCCAGAGCCGCGCCCGGCAGTTCCCGGCCGCGAGGGCGGGCGCAGCTTGTGGCCGGCGGCCGGAGCCGACTCGGAGCGCGCGGCGCCGGCCGGGAGGAGCCGGAGAGCGGCCGGGCCGGGCGGTGGGGGCGCCGGCCTGCCCCGCGCGCCCCAGGGAGCGGCAGGAATGTGACAATCGCGCGCCCGCGCACCGAAGCACTCCTCGCTCGGCTCCTAGGGCTCTCGCCCCTCTGAGCTGAGCCGGGTTCCGCCCGGGGCTGGGATCCCATCACCCTCCACGGCCGTCCGTCCAGGTACGGGGAAGCTGGAGCATCCGGGGACTAGGTAGGGGTGAGACGGACCACAGCCTTGACACCTTCGAGTCCCCCGCTCTGCAGGACGCCGTGAGCGTCCTCCCTAAGTTGCACTTGGTTGTCAGAGTGTGTTGTGTAAGAAGGGGATGGCGGTGAGGTCTGCGTGTGTGTGTTTCTTGTGTGGAGCAAGAGTTAACGTTGTTCAGGTCGTTTGAAGGAACTTGCCAGTTGTTCTGGAGGGGGGTTCTAGGTAGGTGTGTGACTTCCCGTGTGAATGGCTTTCAGGTTTTCTATCCGGCTACGTTCTACAGGTTCAGGAGCGTCCCTCTTAGAGGTTAGGCTCAGGACCGTCAGTCTCCTTAACAAGGTAAGGGCTGAGGCCTTAACCACACTGGGGAGGGTAACTTGTTGCCCCTCCAGATAAAGGATGGTGCTAGGGAATGTAGCTACAAGCAAGTAGGCGCTGAGAAGACACTCATTATTTACAACAGTCATGCCCAGCACTTTACAGTTTATAAGCCCTTGACAGCAACTGGTCTTTTACCCTCCCTACAGTCTTGTGAGGAGGGTGCTGTCATCACCCCTGTTTTACAGCGGGGGAAGCAGAAGTTTAGGTGACCAACTTGTTGGAGGATGATGTCCTGAAGGAGGGTAAGACCTCTGCATGCAGCCCCCCTCTGTCTTCCCTCCCACTCGTCCTGCCTGCCAGGGCTTTCTCCTCTGCACTGCCGGGAGGAAGGAAGGCCGCTGGGAAGGCACGCAGATGCTGGCTCCTGCTGGGCTGTCTCTCCACTGCCTTATCTTTGGGGCAGGGTAGCTTCTCAGATGGCCACATTCCTGTGATTTAGCTTTACATTCTAGGAACTGAGGCAAGGGACACCATGAACTTGGGCTCTTGAGGTCATGGAGCAAGGGTCCATTCGTCACGGGAATGTGATGGATGTCTCAGTCGCTGCGGTTTGGTGCCAGGCTTCTGGACATTGAATGTATGAAACAGAACTCCATGACTATTGATGAGCTGAGGAAAGCCAGAGGTGGCATGGGGACGTTCACTGTCCTTTTTGCCATCCAGTTTACCAAGCGGCTATTGGCATTGTTTTCTTTCTCAATCCCTTCTAATTTATTGTGTGATATCTCATTTGATATTTCATTTAATATTCTGTATTCATATCCGATGTTAACGTTTATGCTAGACAGAAAGGTAGAGCCTTTGAGAATGGGGTTTGCTGGGGCAGGGGTGTGGAACTCTGATTTATTTTCAGTCTCTGGCTAGCTGCCAAGCTGCTGTGTGTGAAGCGTCTCCTGCACCCGTCCACTCTCATGTGGCCTCCATGCTGTTCAGGAAAGGATATTTGATCTGAATTCTCACATGACCTTGGCAGGCCCAGAGCAGCACCCCCATTTCTAATAGGCCCTGCTTGTATGTCATAATGTGACATCAAGTTTTTTTTTTATGGTTCTGAAACCTGTGACATCTTTTGAGTCAACCTCTCACCATTGTTGAAACACTGCTTAATAGTAGATTCACTAATTTATTAAAGATTTATTGACTATCTACTATGTGCCAGGCACTGTGGTGAGTGGTGGGGAGACAGCGGTGAATACGACAAGTGAAAACCTCTGTCCCCTTATGGACATGAGTCTTCTTGGTAAGACATAGGATGTCAGCAGTCTCTCTTCAAAAGGGGGGTCTTTGAAATCCGCCCCTTTGTACAAGGGTGTGGATGCACTGGCTACCTAGAGGACACCACTCAGCAGCCCCAATGGAGAGGACGAGGAGATGATGGGCACAGATGTAGCTCTGTGGTTCCCTAGAGAATCGCAGGGCTGCTATTCTCCAAGTTTGTGGTGTCCCTTGCCTCAGTTCCTAGGATGTGGAGCTCTAGGAGGTGGAGCTACACTCTGTGGCTTGGCCATGCACAGGGACCAGGGCAGATGGAAACCCTGTGGCTGGGATGCATCAGTGCGAGCTGAGTGTCCACCTGCAAGCTGGGACATTATGGAGAAGACATCTCAGTAATAAGAGAGGCAAAGCTGGACAATTGCGGTGAAACTACCATAGCATAGTGGGTGGAGAAGTACAGAGATCCTTATATTCTTATGCTACATAATGGATATACTAGGTTCTTGCCATTTTAAAAGAAGTTGTCAGGGGCACCTGTGGCTCACCTGCCATGGCACAGCTCCAGGATGCTACCCATCTGTTGCCGTGAATGGGTGCTTGGTTTGCATTTTCTTCTTCTTGAGGTTGTGAGGTGGGCTGGTGGCACAAGACAAGGATCTGCACTGTCAGCAGCCTTTTTCTCCTCTGGTTGTCTGCTGTGGGTCCAGGAAATGCTGCTGGAGCCTCCCGGCCATGCCTAGTGCAGGGAGCATGTGGGAAGCCCTGGCCCCGAGTTATCTCACCAGGTACTGAAAGGGGCTGGAGCTCTTTAAGGTCCCAGTCGCCTGCATGTTGGATTCTGTGCTGTCTCCTCTTCATGCACATCCAGGAGCTCACACATGGCGGCACGATGGAGACACCTATCACTTCCCAAGAGGACTCATGCCCACGAGCGGACAGGGGGTCTCATAAATTAAAAGTAGGGTAAAAGGAAAACAAGAGCGGAGATGAAGTGGAGTCTGAAATGAGGCTTGACATGTGCAGTGTAAACCCTGATGACCTAGATGCTGCTAAAGTTACTCAAGTGGGGCCGTGAATGTGGAGGGAAGCCTGAGTCTTAGCTCTGCCTGCACCTTAGCACTGCCTGAAGCACTCAGGGAAATGCCAGGACTGGATGCAGAGCAAACAAACTAGCATCTCTGGAGGCGTGCTGGGCACGGGTATTTTCAAAGCCCCCCAGGTAGCCAAGGTTGACAACATAAATACATAAATACTCTTTCCTGTAGGCAGTGGGAAAGAGGAAACCCTGCAGGGCACAGCCAGCAGTGTCTTCAAGATGAAAGCAAAGTGCTCAGGAAAAAAAGCATTCTTGGCACAGAGAGAAGTGGGAAGTTTCTTTTAAAGATCCCTGAAAAAGAGGTGAGAATAGTGAGTTTTCGGTGGTCTCTTGAAATGACCCTCCCTGTAAGCACAGTTCGGTAATCATGGTTCAGCGAGCTGTGAACAGGAAGAGTCTAGCCATGCTGGTCTCTGCACATTTGGCGTCCCAAATGTGAGAACTCATAGATCCCTGAAAATACAGCCAATGACTAATGACTAAGAGTTAAATGAAAAGTTAGATGGTGTCACTTTCCATCAGTGGGTCTCACCTCATTAAAACCCAACACCCCCCTTAATGCAAATATTTTAAAACACCCCTTTTATAATTTTGAAACGATATAATAAAACTTATCTACAACATAAGTTTAAAAAATCAATGTAATACTTAGATGTTAAGGAGAAATAAAAGCAATTTGTATTAAAATTATGCATTTCAGTGTGCAGATGCTTGAGCTAAGCTGAACTACAACCTAGTGAGGTGAGCCATTGCTTTCTATAGTCTGCAGGACAGCTGGCATGGGGTGGGAACAGGTGAGTCTCAGTGGCCATCCAAATGCCACTGAAGGATGAATGACTCTCGGTTAAGGTCTTGATGGTAGCCAAAGGCCATTCTTCTCTCAATTTTCACAGTGATTGCATTCCTGAAAAATTTAGTGTGTATAAACTTGTGCCAACAATATATGTATTTCATATGAATGTAGAAGGGAGTTGGGGGGCTAGGCTTCAAACATTGTAAATATGTTTCCGTCAGTATGAACGTCTGTGAGACCTCTGGAGGTCATGCAGGACAAGTCTTTTCTGAGCAGAACTGCCTGTGTTGTTCCGGATGTCAAGCATCGATGGCCTCCAATGCTAAATGCATCCTGATCACCCAGGGTCCCCTTCCCCACAGGTTCCGAAATGCTCCCTCAAGGGCCATACCCACTCCACTGAGAACCACTGCTTTCCCTGCATTGCTGGGTAGTGAGTGATTAAAGTGCCATTGCAGGCGTGGGTGCCGAGATAGCAGGGCACCGGACATGTCTAAGCCAGCCATCAGGAATGCACTTCCGTTGCTTGCTGTAGGATGGTAGAGGTCGAGTTAGAAATCAGAAAGGTTGGTGCTTTGTGTGTGGGGGTGAAGGGCCACAAGGGAACTTTGAGGGGTGGCAGAAATGGTCTACATCCTGAAGTATTCCTGGTGCACACAGTTGTTGCAATTTATGGAACTGTCCACGTAAGTTTTGTGTGTTTCACCATGAGCAATATGGTGAAAAATATTTACCCCAATAAAAAAATTATAGAAGTGAAAACAATGTAACGATTCTTGTAGAGAAGGCTTAGTCCTCTGAAACTGTCTGTGGATCCCAATCTGAGAAACAGCTGTTCTTGCCTGACTGGGAGGCAGTGCTCCAGGGAGAAAGGTCTCTGGTTCTCAGTCAACTTTTTGACAAGTCCAGTGCAATAGTGGCCTTGGCATCGTAGACCCTGGTGGCTGGAGAGGAGATGTGTTGGAGTTATAGGGGAGGCTGGGAAGCACAAGGCAGGGCATTTAGAAAGGGGACAAAGGACAAGAGATGAGGCCCATCCCTGTCTCTGGGTTCTGGTTCTGTTGTCCAGGAGCCCTAGAAGGTTTGTAGGGGTGAGATGGAAAAGTCAGACTTCAACCTAGAACCTAGTGGTCAAGAGGCTTGGGGTAGGTCCATCCCCATCTGTGGCATCTGGTGACGGTGATCCTGTCTTTCTGTGTCTCATTGCCACTTTTGCCCTTAAAATCCACATGCCTTAGTTGAAACCACCAATCTTGTGGCTTTTCGCCTTGTATTAGCTGAATAATTGAGATTTCATAGCGACACTTGAAACCTCTTGGGAAATTTTTACTTTATCTTCATATCCTTGTGCATCCTCAATGATAAAAATAAAACTTTCCTTCTCCCATTTACATGGGTAAATAAGCCATTGATAACTATGAACAAGGCTTTAGGATTCCTCTACTGATAGGAGCATTGCCAGGCTTGGTGTTTCCTGGGCTTTCTGAGATGGTGAGTGAGCTTCTGTTTCCCTGCTGTGGGAGTGTTTACTCATAGTTTGGTAGAGCTGTTTCTCTGGGGGAAAATCAGAGGTGACCACATTGAACACACAGTTGGGTTTTTGGGTTGTGTGCACATGATAGAGCGTGGGTGACTAATCTCCACGAGATGGAAACCATTGTGTCACCTTTGGAACACACTACAGTGGTCCCCAGCACGCTCTGTGGTTATTTCCACACTTTCCTGCTCTAGCTTGGGTAGGGAAGTTCCTGGGTGGGCTCTGTGATCATTAGGGGTAGGTCACTCCCTCTAATTTGCCCCACAGGTATGAGTGTGTGGGGCTCTGATGCTTCCATTTCTCATCAGAATTGCATAGAGATTATTATGGACATTTACTTAGGACAGTGCCTCTCGGATTTTACCTCCCAGGGATTCCTTCTGGGAAATAAAAAGCAAAGGCTCAACCTAGCACTCCAAAGCAGCCCACTGCAAGTGATGCTTCTTTGAAGCCTCATGTTTTGTCTTAGATCGTGGAGATTTTTCTTTCTGCTTCATAATATAGCCGTGTTTGCTCTAATAGAAAAATAATAACTCCCCTGAGAAAATCTTTGGATGAAATTAGTAACCTAGGGAGATAGACTTCAGGCTCTCTGGCTGTCTGTAGCTTCTCCCTGGGAATTTGTGGATTCTAAGCCAGGGCTTGTGTGAGTATGGAGGTCTAAAGTTTTTTCCATAAGTGTGTGGTTCTATGGCTTTGTAAGTCCCTTTTACCTTCTTTTTCAAACTGACATTTTTGTTTTTAACAATGATGGGGACTTTTTAATAGCTGTATGAATCTTATAACAAAGGAATAACACAGGAGGTCAAGGCTGCAGTGAGCTGTAATCACACCACTGCACTGCAGTCTGGGTAACAGAGCAAGACTCTGTCTCAAAACAAACAAACAAACAAACAAACAAACAAACAAACGGGTAACAGGAAGACATCATAATTATGGGCTTGGTTTCAGTACTGTAACACATTCCCCGTACATGTTTCCACCGATTTTCAGTAGAACACATGGGCTGTGACATTTCATGAGCTAAAGAACCTGCTTTAGCCCTTGTTTTTTCAGGACTCATTCATGGTCACTTCTCAGTTATGGCAAATAAGTTGGAGCCTAATTTTCTAAGTATCTCTCCATTACATCAGATCTACACATATGCACATATTGGTTAATATTTGGGATGAGGGGCTGTATTAAATGATGCTGTAAATGCATTTACTCATTACTCCATGGGAAGGTAGAAGAGTGTGTTGCTATCAGGTGGAAATGTAGAAAGTGCAGTGAGGATTTTCTTGTAAATCTCAGATTTGGGGCTTGGCTATGTCAGGTCCCTGGAAGAAGGAGGAGTCATTTACTGCCGTCTGTTCTCTCCTCTTGGGCCTCTGTAGAGATTTGGCCCTATGCCTTGGCGGGCTCTGCTCTGCAGCTTGGCCAGACACATCCCTCAGCATGGCAAGAAGTGTGGAAGGTCAAGAGGATGTGCCCACTTGGCCTAATCCTAACCCACCAGCACCCCTGTTCTTAACCATGTCCCTCATGTACCTGGGATCCCTGAATTCCCTCCCCAAACACCCTGGACCCTAATTCCAGGGCCTGTGTGGTCATTCCCATGGACTCAACTGCCTGGTTCATAGACTGGCCAGGGCTGTACAGAGGGGGATAGACACAGGTGGACTTCGACACCTACCTGTGTGCATGCTCAGGGCCCCTTCCAATATGGAAGGGAGCTGGGGAGAGGCTAGAGACAGAGGAATGGAGATTAATGTAGCTAGACACAGCAGGAGCCATGCGGTGGGACTGCTCCGTGCAGGTCTCATGGTGAGGACAGCGCAGCCTATGTTTTGACAGACATGGAATACCAGGTGCCAGGATGAGCTTCCCCCAGCTCTGGGCACCTCTGCTGCCGCTGTCCCCAGAAGTGGACCTCCAGCAGGTTCTGATACTATCTGGGGTGCGCCTGCTGTGTGCCACCTTGCCTGTGCCTAGCTTCTATCCTAGAAGGCAGGGCTCACAATGTGGGGGAATTCCTCAGGAATAAGAATGGAATTCCTCAACATTGTGGAGGAACGTTGTGGGAAATTCCTCAAGAAAAAGAAGCTGTTTAATAAATGCACTGTGGCTACACAGCAGGAAAAATGCCTCCTTCCCCTGCACTGGGCCCTAGGCCTTGAGGAAGAAACCTGGGTTCCTGTGACAGCCCCTCTCTCCCCAGCTGTCACTTTTCCCGTGCGTGCACTGGGTATGAAATTCCTTGTAGAGGGACAGGAAGGTGCTGTTGGATGAGGTCAGTATTTCCTGGAAGGGGGGCTTCTGTTGGGGGCCAATATGCTCATTGTTAATTCTTGTACTTAATTTCTACTTTTGTAATTTGTTTCACATTACAGTTTCTCATTCTGGGACTAGTAGGAAATTACTTTATGCCTCAAATATGCATTTTCATTTTGTCTTTAATCAACAAGTAACTTTGTGTGTGTGTTGCACGTGCTGCTGTAGTCACGTTGTGATACGCCAGTGTTACCAAATACGTCATGATCACCAAACAGCGATGGGGGCTGTATTTGGGAAGATCTTCACAATTGCAAGCTTTTGGATGTGATTGTCACATAAAGCCGTGGTGTGCTGCAGTGAATGGACAAGGCCTCCGGAAGTGGGGATGACCAGCCTAGGCCTTGGGTCACCCTAGGATCTGGCTGACTCCCTGGGTCTGGACATCAGCATCTCAGCACTGCCCGCTGTCTTTCCTGGAAGCTGCTATGGAGAGGATGTTAGCCAGTCCAGGGGTTTCACACATAACATAGATATCCTTGCTTGAAGGCTGAACAGGGGGAACCGTATGCTATGGCTTATTAATGTATTGAGTAAGTTAATCCTTTTCTCTTTCTTGTTTTATTTTATGTGGAAAATTCAATCTGAAAAATAACAGTGGCATACACACATCTGTGACTTTTTAATGTTACTGGTATTTTCTAAAGGTACGTTTTGAATCTTACTATAAGTCATTTAAAAGAATTACAATGGACTTTGATTAACTAGTTCTGAATAAGAGAGGTTTCTTTACCTAGTATGCCTTCTGGCAGTAACATTTCTTAGTCTCTAGTCCTATTCCTGTAGTTCCCTCTCCTCAGGGTCATCCCCACCCCTCAACTCTTTCGACAGCCATCTGGGTGTGAACTCTTTATCTAACTCCTTGTGTAGGATTCTACCCTCTCTTATATGATTCCGGCCATCTCCAGACCCCAGTGACGGTTCCCTTGCAATCCTATTCTCTGACCTACACCCAGTACCCTTATTCCATCCTTTCTCTTCTTTGATTCTAGGTTGGGTTTTCATCCCCGTGTGTCTCATGCAAAAATGGTGGGTAGGTAGGTAGGTGGATTCCTTCCCTCCCTCCCTCTCTCCCTCCTTCCTTTCTTCCACAAGTATTTATTGAGCTGTTACAACAGACATGCAAGATGTGTAGGATGGGCCTCCTCATGGGTGTGGGAGAGGGGAGGGTCTGCTCTGCACTGCTTTCTTCCCTGGCCCAGGTAGGGAAGGCCAACAACTAGGGAGCTACCCAATGTTACCAGAGCCAGGGGGCCCAGAGCCAGCAGTTCAAGGCACCTCGGTGCATTGCACCAGGGAGAGCCTGTGTCACTCGTCATGCCTGGCTTTGGAGGAGCAGATGTCTGCAAGGGCGCTGTGGGAAGCTTCTGATCAGAATCAGCTCTGAGATGGTCAGAAATCTCAGAAGCTTCCAGGCTAGGATTGGAAGAATTGACTTCCAGACCCAGGAGGTGCCATAGAGGTGCATGGAGGTGGAATGGCACGGTGCTTATAAACGGCAAGGTAGGGAGCCAGCGCTGGACACAGAGCCAGCTGAACAGTGAAGGCAGAAGAGTAGGGGGCGCTGACCCTCATCCCAGGGGTCAGGCAGAAGGGGCCGATGGGATGGGTCAGGTGCTGCAGAGATGTTCAGTGGGCTGGAGACAGAGGGGTCTTGGCATGGAGAACCTAGGAGGGATAGTGGCCTGGGCAGTGCATCTCAGAGGAGCAGTGAGCTTAGAGGGCACATGGTGGTCGCTTCAGCAATGGATGAGTGGTGGAGACAGTAAGTATATAAATTCTTAAGTGAAGTTTCTGGGGCAGAAAAGGAGGGAAAATGAGGCCATTAGAAGAGTGTGGGGGCCAGGTGCAGTGGCTCATGCCTGTAATCCCAGCACTTTGGGAGGCTGAGGTGGGTGGATCACGAGGTCAGGAGATCGAGACCATCCTGGCTAACACGGTGAAACCCCGTCTCTACTAAAAATACAAAAAATTAGCCGGGCGTGGTGGCAGGCACCTGTAGTCCCAGCTACTCAGGAGGCTGAGGCAGGAGAATGGCCTGGATGCGGGAGGCAGAGCTTGCAGTGAGCCTAGATCGCACCACTGCACTCCAGCCTGGGGGACAGAGCAAGACTCCGTCTCAAAAAAAAAAAAAAAAAAAAAAAAAAAAAAAAAAAAAGAAGAGTGTGGGGAGTCACCTTCTCTGCAAGAAGCTTCCTGGGCCTCCCAAATAAATCCATCCCTCCCCTCCCCCTCCCCCTCTCCCATTCCATACATTTTGGTGCCATTCACTATATAATTCCCAGCAGCTGCTTTCATATCTGGGGCATACTCACAGGGGTCAGTCAGGAGGGCACTGTCCTAGGACTGGGAGCGGGAGGATGTGGGGGTCTCCCCTTTGAGTTTCTGCTATGATGTGATTCCAATTGATGGGCCAACACACCTCTGATACCTTGTGTTATGCTGTGTACTGCCTCAAAGTGAATAATAGCTTGGGATTTAGTTTGTGTAGTCTAAGGAAAATACTTTGTGTTGAACTAGTCAGGCTGTGTTATTGATGGCCATTAAAAGGCCTTGTGCTTAGGTCTTACAAGCTTTTCAAAGGCCCAAAGAAATGATTCAGACAAAAAAAAAAATTAGACTCCAAAATACTAAAAGAAAACTGCAAAAACAGGTGAATTAATGGTGAAAGATCTGTAGGACATAGCAGTAAGGCTACCACAACCCAGCTTTTTGAGGTTGTCTTAAATTAATGTGATATGGGGTGTAGGTATGTTAACATGCTTGATAATGGAAGAGTGAGGATACCTGCTTCTTAAACAGGGCCTGCTCATTTTTTTCTGGCCTCTAGTACATTTCTTTCTGGCAAAACTCAAGCTCTGTTTTCACGGAGATGATGCACTGAGCCATGGCATCCCTAGGTGGTTTGATTCATTTCTGCACCCCGGTGTCTAGCAAAGTGCCACGTGCATGTGTTTAATCAAAATAGCTTGTGGTTGTCAAGCTCTTTGTATTCTTCCCTCCCTCCCTGTGATTTGATTTCCTGAAAGTATCCTTTCCCCAAGGATTATGGAACATACACTTGTTAAACACTGGACCCATTTTCATGATCATTTAAATGTCATGACCTTTCTGACACCTTGATATGGTTTGGCTCTGTGTCCCCACCCAAATCTCATCTAAATTATAATCCCCATGTGTCCAGGGAGGGATCTGGTGGGAGGTGATTAGATCATGGGGGCAGTTTTTCCTATGCTGTTCTCATGATAGTGAGTGAATTCTCATGAGATCTGATGGTTTAAAAGTGTTTGGCACTTCCCCCCTTGCTCTCTCTCCTGCTGTCATGTAAGACGTGCCTACTTCCACTTCCACCATGATTGTAAGTTTCCTGAGGCTTCCCCAGCCATGCGGAGCTGTAAGTCAATTAAATCCTCTTTCCTTTATAAATTACCCAGTCTCAGATATTTCTTTATAGCAGCGTGAAAATAGACTAATACATGCCTCTTGAGATCCTCACAGCAATTGGTGCCTTTAGACCTCTTCATTCACACTTCACTCATGTGTTCTTCCTTCCCCAGGTAGACGCACCCTCTGAAGATGGTGACTCCCTCCTGAGAAGCTGGACCCCTTGGTAAAAGACAAGGCCTTCTCCAAGGTAACAGGGCTGAGTCACCCCAGGGTCCCAAGGCCGGCCTTTTCTCACAAATAGCTGAACTCCTCCACTCTCAGATCCAGGGGCCCTGGACTATCTCCCATTGTATGCAAAAATATTTTATTTCCGTTGACACATTACTCTTTGGGGCAGCTTGATGGTTTTATTAAATTTTGGAAGGAGGCTTCAGCCCCAGTAACAGCCAATGCCTGTTTGCTTTCCCAGGTCACCTTGACTGTGCTACAGTAGAGACCTGGGAAATGATGGGTTCCAGTGCTGTGGCCAAGCTCTCCCCAGTTTCAACCCCTTCCAGGCCTTGCTGTCCATTTTTACTCCACTGTCACCACATGTTCAAATTCTTGCTTTCTGCTCGAGTCAGTACTGCTCACCTCGTTCCAAGAGATCTGGGTCTATGACACTGTGGGTGACACCCTCTGAGCATCTTTTCCGAGCTGTCTGTGGGTACCTGAACCTGCCCCCCAACCTGGCCCTTGCCCTACCTGCCCCGACCTCAGCGAGTCTGGCCCAGTCTGTCCCTGCTTCTCCCCTCTGGCCCCAAGTGTTCTCAAATATGCCCCCGCCTGCCTGTCTGTCACTGCAGCTGGCCCAGCCCTCATCCTCTCTCCCATGAACCTCTGTGGTGGCCTGCTCTCCCTGGCTCCCCTGTCTCCAGTTTATGTTCCACACAGGTGCCAAAATGTCTGCAAAAAATGGAGATTTAACATACACTAGCCCTTGGCTTAAAACCTGTACATGCTTCTCTGCCACCTGCAAATGACAGTCCCATTTCCTCAGCAAACCTCTGCATGTTGTGGGAACTTATGGCTTCTCAGCCTCCCACTCGGAACCCACCTCTGGTTTATGCTCCAGAACATGATGTTGTTGGACCCTCCCCTCCACCTCCTCCAGGCTGAGTTAGCCTCTGTCTCCCCTCCTGCCCTGGGCATGGCTCTTCCAGTAGACACCCCCACATCACAGTCTAACTCTGTGTCCACATTCCCTGCAACTGCTGAGCTCCTGGAGCCAGGCCCTGGGAACCTTGTTCCTGTTTTTGTTCCCAGAGCCAAATAGATATTTGATGTATGATTGTTGAATGCAGCAGTGAGTGAATAAAGACATGAATGGTTAACTGAAAACATTTTATCAAAACTGTTATTTGTCATCAGAGCATGGGCCGGTTTCCAACAGCTAACATTTAGGAGTGACCATTTGCCAGGCACTGTTCTAAGCCCTTTGCATGTGGCCATTCATTTCACCCACATAGCGCCATCAATGACATGCTGTCACTGCATTGCTTGTCAAAAGGGGGAACTGAGGCACGGAGGCTGAGCTTTTACTCAACATGCCATCTATGTTGAGGGACTTCTGACTTGGATAGCCGTTCAACTGCGAGCACTATGGAGGCCAGTCAGGCCTGGCCCTGCCTTGGAATTTCTGTGTTATTCAGGGACATAATGGGGTTTGTGTTGATTTTTGTTGGGAGTGTGTGGGTTAATCTAGGTGCAACCCTCACCTCCTTCCCTTCTGATGTCCTCACTCCCATTGGTCATGTGACCCTTAACGCCCATCCCAAGCTCAGTGCCAATTCCTTGCCCCAGGGTCCTGGGGATTGACATGGATCCCAAAAGCCCGCTGCTGAGAGGACAGGGCCACTCCCACCCCCCTGACTGTTTCCCAGAGCAGCTCTGGGGCAGAAGTAAACTTGGACCCAGGGGGCATAACCCTTTGCCCTTTTATAGTCTATTAGAGGAGGATGAGGTCTGACATCAGCTGGTTCATTGCCCCTTGTGCCCCTTGAGCACACTGGGGCCCAGGGAGAGTCACATCCCTGCCTTGTGGTACAGGCCACCGGCCCTGGACCTGTGATTAAACATTGTCCACAATTAATTTGGAATTATTATCTCGTGATACACTCCATAAAGTTCAGTCACACATCTTCTTTTTCTTCTCCCCTGCCTAATGATCAGACAAGCCAGGTCTTGTGACTAAATGAACCGACAGCTGGCAGTGTTCATCTGATTTTGCAATGCCCTTATTTTGTTGTTGATAAACTAATGCAAATAGCTGGTTGGCCTGGAACTGGTGATTGGGAAACATTTTAACCCTTCTTTCCTTCCTCTCTATCCTAAAGACTTAAAACACACTTCACGCAGTCACAGAAAGAGCTCATAGACCAGACTGCGGGGCTTCAAAGCCTTCTATCTTATTTAATCATCTGTAAATAGTTTAAAGGTAAATATGGTAATAATACTAGTATTCTAGACTATTTTGGGAAGCCAGCTGATGTGAATAAAGGGTCAGAGTTAAAAGATATTGAAGGAATGCAGTTTTACTGCTCTGAGGTAGGTTTCAAGGCTTGAGCCAGGCTTAGAGATCTTTGTCCTGATACTGGGGATAAAGTGAAGAGAATATGAATGGGTATGTCTCGCATGGTTAGAAAATCTTTTTTTTTCCTGTATTTGTTTAAAAAGCATTTTGTAACTTAAAAAAATACCTATACACCTTTTTTTTTTTTGAGATGGAGTCTCACTCTGTCACTCAGGCTGGAGTGCAGTGGCACCATCTTGGCTCACTGCAACCCCCGCCTCCTGGGTTCAAGCAATTCTCCCACCTCAGCCTCCCCAGTGGCTGGGATTACAGGCATGCACCACCACACCCAGCTAATTTTTGTACTTTTTGGTAGAGATGGAGTTTCATCATGTTGGCCAGGCTTGTCTTGAAGTCCTGGCCTCAAGTGATCTGCCTGCCTTGGGCTCCCAAAGTACTGGGATTACAGGGGTAAACCACCACACCTGACCATAATACATCTTAAATAGAACATTTTCCAGCTAATATTTAAATGACTGCATGTCATTAGAATCTGAATGAGTGTTGTGTTAAAATATTTTGTGTTTTCATATTTATTTACTTACTTATAGCTACGGATAAGAATATAGGCAAATTTAATCTCCCGTAAAAATTAAAAGGCAGATGTTTTCAAAGCACAGAATTACATGGTCTACTCTAGACATTGCTCCTAAGGTTGAGCAGAGGGGATAAGAGCTTTTTCTCTTTTTTCCTTTCCTCTTTTTTTCATACAAAGTTCGTTGTAGATATTTTAGAAAGTATAGAAAGCCCCGACAAGGGGAAACCCACTCAACCCAATTTTAATGTTGTTGTCATTTCTTTTAGTTTTTTTGGGTGCATTTCTATGTAGCTATATCCTATTGTACAAGCAATTTAGGATCTTGCAATATAAAATGAAGGCATGACCTTTGAGCTGGCCAAAAGTATGGGCTGATTTTTGCAAATGGGTCCTGGCAGCAGGGGACATAAGTGGGGAACCAATCCCCACACAAGCAGAGGTGAGCTGGCTTAGGGGCGAGTGCATAGCTGACTTTGGATGTAGACTAGATTTGGGGAAATTTAAATGGGGTCCAAGACTGGAAATGTGTAATGGGACAGAAGGTAGAAATGTTTAAAATCTTAAGTTGTTGAGTTTGTTCTCAATTTTGTGAAAACTCTTTATCCCTTTTTGTTCCCCACCCCATTTTCTAACCAGAAGTCAAATATGACAACATTCATGATGTAGAAAAACCAGTTCATCAGTGTGACTTGTGGGTGAGGGTGGGGACAGGGCCGGTGTTGGTATATTTAGTTTTAGAGATTTGCTGGAAAAGTAACATTTTTGCTTTTGTCTTTCTTTCGTTCCTCCATTTCTCCAGAAGAATATGAAAGTGTTACTCAGACTTATTTGTTTCATAGCTCTACTGATTTCTTCTCTGGAGGCTGGTAAGTTAAGTATTTCTTTGTGTTCTTGTCTGCTAAGAAAATCTGTTATTTAGAATACATGAAGTACCTTCCCTAACAGAGTCATTTCTCATACTCGTCTCTGTTGAATCTCTGGGCACAGAGCCTCCTGGTCATAGACCTGTACTGCTGGAAGTTCCTCTCAGCATCTTCGTCTCATTCTCTCCCATATAGAGTGGGAAACTGAGGCCTAGTGAGGCTGAGAGCCCAAGGTCATGTAGCTAGTTTTGGAACAAAAGCTAAAATCTAGGTCTCCAATCTAGGTCCAGGCCTCTTTCCACTTGGCTGCTGGTTGAAAGTGTGATATGGGAAATTCTGACTTTCATTTGGAGGAGATATTATGTATAGTCTTTATGAACCCACAGCTGGAAGTCATCAAGATACACTACTTTTTCTGTTTCTTTCCATTTCTTCATTTTCTCTAATCTTTTCTCTTTTTGCCAGGTGCTAGCTACTGGGGATACAGCAGGGAACAGTGCACACAGAAATACCTGCCTGCATAGGGTTTATATTCTTGTAGAAGAGAGAGATAACAGATAAGTAGACATATATTGTGTCATATGATGGCAAGTATAGGGAGGAAAAAAGAGTATAAGGTTTTGGCATTACAGTGGGCAGAAGGTTAATTTTTTGAATGTGGCCAGAAAAAAACCTCCCTGAGAAGCTGACTTTTGAGTTGACCTTAAGGAAGGGGAAAAGAGAGCTATTTGGATATCAGATTGGGGTGTGGAAATATTCCAGTCAGCATGTGCAAAGGCCCAGAGGCCAAGAGTATTTGGCAGGCTTTCAGAATAAAAATATCAGCATGTCTGGAGCATAGTGAGAGATGAGGGAAGTCATAAGGGACCAGGCTGTCTGGGTAATGGGGGGATGGCAGAGGGTTGATTATATGGAATGTTGTGCCCTTTTTTAGGGTCTTGGCTTGTAGTCTGGCTGGGATGGGAAGACTTCAGGGTTCTTTGTTTAAGACCAGAGAGGTGATCTGACTTACGTTTTGATTCCTGTTTTGAGAATAGATCCGAGGGAGCCAAAGAGAGAAATAGAGAAGCCAGTGAAGAGGCAAGCCATGATGATGGCTTTCTCTAGGCAAGAAATGTTGATGGCTTGTCAAAGGGTGGCAAGGAGAAGTGAGAAGTAGACAAATTTTGAAATATTTTGGGAACAGAACCAAGAGGGATTTGGAGTTGGGTCAGATGTGAGATGTGAGGGAAAGAGAAGAATCAAGAATTATCTCAGGGAATTTTGGCCTGCGCAAACGCAAGGTGAAATTGCCATTGATGAGATGGGGAAGATCAGGTTTTCAGACTGGATGTGTTAAGTTTAGCTGTCCATTAGATGTTTAAAAGGTGACTTTGACTAGGCAGTCTACAGCCTGAGGGAAAGGTCTGGGTTGAATATATAAAATTGGAGACCTCAGCAAGCGGCTGGTATGAGAACCATGAGACTGAATGGGATCATGGAGTGTAGTTAGGAAAGATAAGAACTTTAAGGACTGAGCCAGAGATTGACTTAAATTCCTTGGTCCAGTGAGTTTTCTCCCCTTTGCTGAGGGGCTCCATGTGTGTTGGAGCATACCTTCAACATTAAGGCTGTTTAAGGCCTTAGCCTTCACTTCCTGCTTGTGTATGACCTCAGAGTCATCCAGAAATGAGAGCCTGGTGCCTTCTATGCAATTTCCTGGGCATGCACACAGCCCTGCATACATGCCCACCCTTCTGGGTTCCCCAGGAATGTGTCAGAGCTTTTCAAAGCCCTCTGGAGGTTATGGCTCTGGTATTGCAGCTTTAGGCAGTTGTAAAAAACAATTAACACTGAGTTTTTCCAGCAAACGCCTTGGGGATAGTGCTTTTGCTGTGGAGCTCTTGGTGAGGTCAATAACACCACCACCCTATGAATGTGACTTTGAGGACCTGCCAGTCAAGTCAAAGAGTGGCAGTGCTCTGGAAATGGGACTTTTCGAGGAGCTCCAAACCCTCTCTCTTCTTGCAAGCCTGCTGGTTTTCAAAGCCTTTGTGTCTGCAAAGCTCTTGATATTCATGGCTGTTTTAGAGCTGGGAAGAGTAGGATGGAAGTCATTTAAGTTATAAAGCTACAAACCCTGCTGATCCGTGATTTGGCATGTTTCTGTTTGTTTCCTTATTTTCTAGTAAATGCTCTTCTGGTTACTGCAAGCCTTTGATTTTTGAAATTTTTTGCCAGTCTTTTTGTTGCCTTTATGGAGGAATGATTTATGAGACCCCCACTCCACCATATTGGAAATCTTGCAAATTCAATTTCTTTGAATAGAAAATAGTATTAATAGATATAGGGCAATCCAGGCTATCTACTTCTTCTCAAGGGAGCTTTAATAGTCTGGAAAATTTGCTCATTTCATTTACGTTATTAAATTTATTGGCATAACATTGTTTATAATATTCCCTCACTACCCTTTACAAATTATTTAAAAAAGAGATGTCATCTCTTTTTTTTCCTGATTAGTCTGGCTAAAGATTTATCAATTTTATTGATTTTGTGAAAGAATCTGCTTTTGGTATCTTTGATTTTTCTTCATTGTTCTTCTGTTTTCTATTTCATTGATTTCCTCTCTGATCCATATTACTATTTTCTTCTTACTTCTGTTATATTAATTATGTTTTTTATTTTCTGTATCTTACCATATTTTGACATTCTGGAAGATGTTTCATATCTAGGGAGAGACTGCTCCACCAGGGGCTAAGCAGTTCCTAGGTGTGTTGTGGACAGCTTACAGCTTGCCCTTCATGTGAGACTGCTTGACCCAAGATGGTACCCCACTCACCTCCTTATCCAACTCTCACACACCCAAACCAATGTTACCCCAGCCTCAATCAACACAGGGCTAGGTACCAGAGAACTAGGGACAGCCTCTATGCCCAAAGCCTGCAAAAATGGTTCAAATGGGCCAATCTGAAACTGTTTATGCTGCCCTGCCTTGCCTTTCCCATGGGAACCCCAGTAAAGATGCTGGCCTAGGCTTTCCTTTTGTTTCTGCTTCTGCCTCCTAACCCAATCTGGTGATTCTCCCTGTGGTTTTGCGTGGTATGGCACACCCCTTCTGTCCGAACCACTAAGTAATACAAATCTTTCAATTGCATTAGTCTCTGTTTTGTCACTCAGTCACCTTCGTAAATGAAGACCCAGGCATAGAATCTCTGCTTGCTGCTTACTTTGGAATTACTTTGTTCTTTTTCTAGTTTCTTAAGGTAGAAGCTCAAGTCATCAATTTGAAATTTTTAAAAAATATATAGGCATTTAAGGCTAGCAGTTTCCCTCTAAGTACTGCTTTCATTGAATGCCATAAGTTTTGATATGTTATGTTTTCCTTATCATTCAGATACAAATACTTTATATTCTTTTTGATTTCTTTGACTCATGAGTTATTTAGGAGTATGTTAATTTTCAAATATATAGGGATTCCTTGGATATCTTTCTATTATTGATTTCTAATCTAATTCCATTGTCACCAGAGAATAAGTTTTGTCTAATTTGAATCCTTTTAAATTTACTGAGTCTTGGGTTATGGGGAAGAATATGGAAAATTTGCTAAGTTTTATGTGTGCACTTTAAAAAGAATGTAATGTTCTACTGTTGTTGGTTGGAATTTTCTGCAAATATCAATTATGTCAAATTGGTTGATAGTGTTGTTCAAATCTTCTATGTTGTTACTGATTATCCGTTTAATTTTATTGCTTGTTCTATCGGTCCTTGTGAGTGGGGTTTCTCTAGTTTCTTGCAGAACCAGTTTCTCTAGTTCTTGCAGTTCTGTCAGTTTTTGCTTCATGTATTTTGAAGCACTGTTAGCAGCTACATAAACATTTGGTATTATTGTGTTCCTGTTGATTAATGACTTCTTTATTTTTTTAAAATTTATTTATTTATTTATTCATTCATTTTTGGGACAAAAGTCTCTCTGTGTCACCCAGGCTGGAGTGCAGTGGTGCGATCTCGGCTCACAGCAACCTCTGCCTACTGGGTTCAAGTGATTCTTGTGCCTCAGCCTCCCAAGTAGCTAGGATTATGGGTGCCCACCACCACACCTGGCTGATTTTTTTTGTATTTTAGTAGAGGTGGAGTTTCACCATGTTGGCCAGGCTGGTCTCAAACTCCTGACCTCAGGTGACTCACCCGCCTCAGCCTTGCAAAGTGCTGGGATTACAGGCATGAGCCACCACGCCTGGCTGACTTCTTTATTTTTATGAAATGCCCCTTTTTTCTTGTAATATTTTTACTGTAAAATCTACTTTGATAATAATAGTCACTCAAGCTTTAACTAATTAATTTTTATTAAGGTATAGTTGACAAAATCGTGTATATTTACAGTGTACAATGTGATGTTTTGGTATATGTATACATTGTGAAATGGTTAACCCTAGCTAATTAATCAAACTTTCTTTTCATGAGTGTTAGCCTGGCAAATATTTTTCTTTTCTTTTTAATCTATTTTTACCTTTATTTATAAAATGTCTGTATGTAGGTGTATGTGTTTATGTTAGGCACCACATAGTTGGGCCTTTCTTTAGCCAATCTGATCATTTCCGCCTTTCAATGAGAGTGTTTAGACTATTTGAAATTTTAGTGTGATTATTCATATATTAGGGTTTAATTCTGGGATCTTGCTATTTGTTTTTCTATTTGTCCCATCAATTCTGTTATTTTTTTCTCTTTTTTTGCTGCCTTTTAGATTAATTGGCATTTTTAGGATTCATTTTATTTTGCTTTTTGGCTTTTTAGTCATAACTGTTTGTTGTGTATGTGTTTTTTTAATGACTGCTCTGGGGCTTAAATAGCCATCTCTAAGTTATCTCTGTCTGCCTTCAGGTAACACTATACAGTTTCACATATAGTATACAAAGTTAAGAGTATATACCCATTTCTCCTTTCTTGAACTTTGCCCTATTATTTCCATATATGTTACTTCTTTATTTGTTTTAAACTTTATAGCATTTTATTATTTTTTATTTAAACACTCAGTTTTCTTTAAAGAGATTTAAATAATAAGAAAGATGATCTTATAATTACCCATTTTTGTTGCTATTCATTCTTTTGCGTAGATTCATTTTCATCTTATAATATTGTGCTTTTTGAAGGAATTAAATATTTCTTGTAATGCAGGTCTACTGGTGATGACATTTTACAGCTTTGGCAAATCTGAAAAAGTCAGTATTTTTTCCTAAATTTTAAATATATTTTCATGGGATATGGAATTCTAGGTAGACTTTTTCTTTCAGTACTTTAACGATATTGTTTTGCTCTCTTCTGGCTTGTATTGTTTTTGGAAAGAAAGCTGCATCATTTTTTGTCTTTGTCCTCTGCAATAATTGTGTCATTTCTCCCGGGCTACATAGAAGATTTTATCTTTGTCACTGGTTTTAAACAATTTTATTATTATGTGTTTGTAGTTTGCTTTATGTTTCTTTTGCTTGGGGTTCATTGTGATATGGGGGCCTATGTATACATCATTTTTGTCACATCTTGAAAAACTTCAAATATGTTTTCTGTTTTCCACATTTTTCTTCTTCAGTGATTCATATTACATGTATTGAAGTTGTCCTAAGTAAAATAATTCCCTGCCCATTTTATTCTGTTATTTTTGTCTCTGTGCTTAATTTTGGATAATTTCTAATGCTGTGTCTTCAAGTTCACTCATCTTTTTTTTTCCTGCAGTATCAAATCTGCCGTGAATCCCATCCATTGTTTTTTGTAACTCAACATTATTGTTTTCATCTCTAAAAGTTTTTTAAAATCTCTTTCATGTCTTCACTAATCATGTTTGATCTTTCCTGTAGCATCTTGAATAAATGGAATACAATAGTAATAAACTATTTTAATTTTTAAATTTATTAGGCCTATTGTCTGTGTCATTTCTGGGTCAGTTTTGACTGATCGATTTTTTTCCTCCTTATCGTTGGTTGTATGTTACTGCTTCTTTGCATGCCTAATTATTTTTTTGGATGTTAGACATTGTGGATTTTACCATGTTGGGTGCTGGATATTTTCGTATTCCCCAGAATGTTCTTGAGCTTTGTTCTGCCACATGATTGTTACTTGGAAATGGTTTAATCCTTTCGGGTCTTGCTTTTAAGCTTAATTAGGATCAGGAAAAAGTTTATTCTTGGCCTAATTTTCCCTAATGACTGAGTCAGAACCCTTCTGGGTACTCTGCCTGATGCCTTATCATTAATGAGGCTTTCCACCCTGGCTGTTGGGAACAGCAACTGTTTCCAGCATTGGGTGTGCTCCATGTGTTACTCCCTCCAGTTCGTTTGGTAGTCCTCCCTCTAGCCTTGGGTCATTTTCTTATATGCTTACACTGACTGATACTCAGCTGAAAACTTGGGGGAGACTCTCAGTTATCCCAAGACTCTTTCTGCGTGTCGTTATGCAGCTCTAAGTACTTGGGTACTCTGCCCTGCAAACTTTTCTACCCAGGTTCTCAGCTCCATCTCCTCAACTCACTGGGCTTTGCCTGTGTTTTTTCTCGGCAATGTCATGGCCTAGCTGTAATTTTGGACACCTCCTTTCTTCTCCGTCTTTCTGGGATTTCTCTCCTTTGTTTTCTGATGTTCAATGTCTTGAATACTGTTGTTTCATATATTTTGTCCATTTTTTAGTTGTTCATGTGGGAAGGTAAATCCAGTTTCTATTACTCCATCTTGTACTGAAAGGCATGTCTCTCCTCCTACATTGTCCCCACTTTTTAGATGAGTGAAAAGGGGGTGAAGGATGTTAAATAACTTGCCAGGGGTACAGCACACAGGCAGTAAGTGATGCAGCTGGACTTGAATATGCTTCTCAGACTCCCCAGATAATGATCTTATCACAAGGCTGTAAAGCTTTTATATGTAATGTGAATTGATGTATTTAATAATCAATGTGTTTCTTCGTAGATATTAAATCAAGACACACTGGCAGATTTTTATGTAAATTGCTTCCACCCTTCTTCCTTTTAAAGATAAATGCAAGGAACGTGAAGAAAAAATAATTTTAGTGTCATCTGCAAATGAAATTGATGTTCGTCCCTGTCCTCTTAACCCAAATGAACACAAAGGCACTATAACTTGGTATAAAGATGACAGCAAGACACCTGTATCTACAGAACAAGCCTCCAGGATTCATCAACACAAAGAGAAACTTTGGTTTGTTCCTGCTAAGGTGGAGGATTCAGGACATTACTATTGCGTGGTAAGGTAAGAGAGGAATTAGTATGTTACAAACATGTTCTAGTTTCCTGCAGTTGTTAAGGACAGAAATACTTTTAATAATGCTTAACTTACCTATTTTATTTTATTTTAGAAATTCATCTTACTGCCTCAGAATTAAAATAAGTGCAAAATTTGTGGAGAATGAGCCTAACTTATGTTATAATGCACAAGCCATATTTAAGCAGAAACTACCCGTTGCAGGAGACGGAGGACTTGTGTGCCCTTATATGGAGTTTTTTAAAAATGAAAATAATGAGTTACCTAAATTACAGTGGTATAAGGTAATTTTATTTTAAATATGACATTTCACTTTTCCAGAAAATAAAATAGTTCCCTGGACAATAGAATGTATCTGCAAAGTACCTTTTTATTTTGTATATTGTTTTCTCTTTAATGGTGAAACTTGATAGGGAACCTAAAAAGAATTGTAAGACTGCATTCACTTAATTTGAAGCTTAACTAGAAATTTGTTTGCTGTTGTTTTTATTTAATTTAATAAGATGTAATTGAGAAAAGTACTAGAAATAGATGTTTAAAGAGAAGGCTGATTATAAGCTTAAGGTATTGAAGATGTAACTATTTATTACAAAACATACTATGTGTGTTTTATTGAAGATATGGTCTTCAAATAACCTGCTAGTTTCCATAACTGTCTGAAAAGTGGGTTGACTAGCTTTCCATGGAACACCCCATGTTTTGGTAACTTTAATCTACCTAGTCTGATGGAACTTAAATGGGGAATCATCTTGTAGAGCTTAAGACGTACTAAATACGTAATATCAATGAAGTGCAGTATTGTTAAGAAACTATATAGTGTTAACATTTTTTTCAAACATGTTTTTCTTGCAAAATAAATTGGCCTTCACTTCATAGTACAAGTCTCATAGACTTGAAAACTTAATGTCATAGGAATATAGTTAACTGTTTCCAAAAAGCCAGTATTAAAACTTACTATATGTAAGGAACTTTTCCAGTCACTTTCTAAAAATATAACATTTGCTAAGGTGAAAAAAATGGAGCTCCTTTGGCGGTAGATTGGGGAAAGTTATTGGTTATTGGTTTTCAATGCTTCTCTCTCCCTTTATCTAGGATTGCAAACCTCTACTTCTTGACAATATACACTTTAGTGGAGTCAAAGATAGGCTCATCGTGATGAATGTGGCTGAAAAGCATAGAGGGAACTATACTTGTCATGCATCCTACACATACTTGGGCAAGCAATATCCTATTACCCGGGTAATAGAATTTATTACTCTAGGTGAGTCATAGCTCCAGCCCTAAAAGGTTTAGATCTGGGAAGGTCCAGAGACTGTGATTCTAATACTACTTTCATTATCCATGAAGAAACCAAATCCAAGACGACCTCAATGATACCACAAAAGTCACATGGCTTTAGTTTTGTTTTTTTGTTACTAAATACTATGTAATGTTTTTCCATTCCTGCTTCAGATGTAGTTCTAATTAAATAGAGACATTATGAGCTGTGTTTTCCAACTGATTTAAGAGGGTTGTTCTTTGGCATGGCTAAAAATGGTTCTTACTGAAAGCTCTGGGGCTCCCTCTGGCTGGTATATGGGAATGTTCTGAGAGCCTGCACCTGGGGAATCTCAGTGAGTGTCAGTGTCTAGCAGCAAGCATCGGTGTGGACACTAATGAGCTTTGGAATAAGTCACATTTCCAGAATCTACCTCCTGTTCATTCTGTGTTAGGTGTTAACCTCTCTAACCCTGTTTCCTCTTCTGTAACAAGATGATGCAATCTCCCAAGGTTATTGGGAAGATTAGAGATATGGGGTACACGAAACTTGTGTACCTGGTGCAAAGAAATGCTTGGTGCAAAACAGCTATGCAATTAATAGGTGTAGGATGATTGTTCTTGTTAATTTTCTTGTGTCTTTCAATTCTGCGTTAACCATGTTTCATATTGAAAACTATATCACAGCAAAATGAAACAAAATGCACAAATTGCCAGGGGATAGTCAGAATGCTCAAACTTTTTGTAAATATTGAGATTTTGTAAGATTTATGTAATAAAATAAGAGTTATTCCAATCAGAACTTTTTTGCAGGTTATAGGGGTGACTATTAGTAGTTATGCTGGGACAACAGGTATAAATTGGGACTATCCCAAGCAAACTCAGAATATGATCACCCTATAAATAGCTTCACTTTTCCAGTTATATAATACTTTATTTTCCTAAAAATATTTTTATTAAATAAAAGTTAATTCCTTGCCATGGTCCCACAGGCATCAGTGAATCCCAATTTTCAATGGTCTTTGTATCAAACCATGTTCTTGAGTTTTTAGCAGCCTGTCATTGGGTAGCTCTGGTCTGTCTTTCCTGAAACATAGTAACCTAACCAGCAAGTAGAACTTGAGAGAGAACTGGGCACTGGGGACTATTTAAGCTAGGTTAAGTGTTTTTTTTTTTTTTTTTTTTTTTGAGATGGAGTCTCGCTCTGTCACCCAGGCTGGAGTGCAGTGGTGCGATCTCCGCTCACTGCAAGCTCTGCCTCCCGGGTTCATGCCATTCTTCTGCCTCAGCCTCCCGAGTAGCTGGAACTACAGGCGCCCGCCACCACGCCCGGCTAATTTTTTTGTATTTTTAGTAGAGATGGGGTTTCACCGTGTTAGCCAGGATGGTCTCGATCTCCTGACCTCGTGATCCGCCCACCTCTGCCTCCTTAAGTGCTGGGATTACAGGTGTGAGCCACCGCGCCCGGCCAGGTTAAGTGTGTTTTTGATATTCTCTGTTTCCTTTTCTGATCCCATTTGTAGAAACAATATACTCTACTCGGAGTGAGGTAATATTTTGTTTTCTTTCCAAGGCCCACACCAATGATGCCTAGCACTTTTTGTTCACTCAAGGATTCAAAAATATTTATTGAGCATTTACTATGTTTCAGGAACTGTAATAGGTATACATTAGGGAAAAAAACAGAGAATATCCTACCTTCATGGTGTTCACTTTTTTTTTGATTGGGGGAATACCGAGTGCTCAATTTTATAGTTTCTCATAGTTTCTTCATGGCCACAGATAAACCCCTGAAACCAATCTTTTCATAAATAAGTCAGATTAATTTCTGGGGCTTCTTGATACTTTTTTGCCTATTTTAATAAATTACAGCATTATTCCATAACCCTGTAGTTCTCACTATTGGGTCATTAACACAGTCATTAAATGCAAGCAGGTCTAGTATTGACTAGCCCTTCTGGCCAATAACACCCAATTCAAGGAAGTGACTTTCCACTACTCTCGCCTTTGCTGACATGCTTTCACTTAAGAGAGGCATTTGTCTGGGGACCCAGGGTCCTGGTGATGTGTGTGTTTTTCAGTAGCACCCCACTCTATGAATTCGGAAGGTCTAGCTCTACCCCGGGATTCACAGTGTGCTGTGGCCTCTGCCTCAGCTTTCTTCCTTCACTTTCTGCCTCCTGTCTCCTGGCATATGTGCTTTGAACACTTGATGGAATATCTGGCCAGAAGTCATTTAGTATGTTTTGCTAAGTGTTGTCGTCACTTGAGATTCTGATCTATAAGAGACTGACAAACCTTATGGATGTTTTTCTTTCAGAGGAAAACAAACCCACAAGGCCTGTGATTGTGAGCCCAGCTAATGAGACAATGGAAGTAGACTTGGGTAAGTGGGCTTCAGTGAGGGTATGCTGGAATCGGTTTTTTTTTTTTAAAACATAAGAGTAAGATAAATTGTATCTTTACTATATATAATCTAAGCCATTTACTGTATAAATCTATCAATGGAGGGAAAGTGAGACAAATTATATCTTAATTTTTTGTATTTCTTGCCTCTATGGCAAACATCTTGCCATGTCTGATATCTCCAGCCCTACTTTTCTGTGAACACTTATTACCATGAAAACACCAACCAGACACCAAGGTCAAAAGGCCTAGGAACCAGCAATGCCATTGACTGGTACAGGATTGGATTTCTTTCTTTTTTTTTTTTTCACAGAGTTAAAATATTTAATGACAAAAATAGGGTTTGCTGTAAAAGTGAATCAATACAGTAGGTGTTACTTATCTCTGAATTAAACAAAAATTATATTTGACATCTTAAAGAACTTCTGAAGAATTGATCATTGTACGACAGACATCAGCAGTGTTACAATTTCAGGACTGGATTTCTCATGACCAGATCCAAGCTTTGAGTCGGAAGAGTAAGGCTACAGGCCCCAAAGATGGTAGTCATTCTAGAAAAGTATTTTTCCAAGTTAGTGAACATTTTTTATTCAAGAGTAAAGAAAGAACCCCACAAGCATCTAGCTCTGCACTGTTTAGTGCAGTAGTTACTAGGCGCATGGAGTTATGGACATGTACAATTAAATTAAGTCAATTGATTCATTTAGTTAAATTAAAAATTAGTTCCTCTGTCACATTAGCCATATTTCAAGGGCTTAATAGCCACATGTGACAAGTGACTACTGTACAGACAAGCACAAATATAGAACATTTCCAACATCACTGAAAGTTCTATTGGAAACCACTGATCAAGAGAGAAAAAGTGGTTCTTTGTGTCAGAGGACCCAAAATAGGTTGGCCTTGGAATTGTCCTCTGTAATAGTAACTGCATGACAGCAGTCAAGAACCATACAGAGGTTAGAAGGTATATGCTTGTGATCTGTGAATTCTGTACTTGGCCAATTCTGTACTTGTTATTTATGGTGGAAGGTGGTAGAAAGACATTCTTAGACAGAAACAAAAATGTCAAAACTCAAAATTAAATATGGGCCAATAGGCTCTAGAACAATGTTTCTCAACCATCTTTTTTTGTTTTAAATTGTTCCCCTTTAGAGTCTAAAAAGTCTTCTTCCACCTAATTCTCTTTCCTGTCTTTAAATTTCAGTACCACAGTTATCTTTTATATTTGCTGATATACTGTGGCCCTTTGGAGTACCACAAACCATGTAATATCTAAGGTTTTCTTGCCTCTTCCCCAAGAACCAGTTTTTGCCCTGCTGGCCACAGCCCCTGTTGAAAATGCCTGCCCTAGAAGTGTGTAATTGAGAGCTCTGATGCCTAGGCTGCATTGATCTCTCAATCTACAAAAAAAAGCTTCAAATTAGGAAATAATTATTTTAATGTATTATATTGACAGTGGATCAGAAGCATATAGTACCCTGTCATAGGATTATCCTGAAGGGTGTTAAACAGGCAATAAGATCCAATACCATTACTCCTAAAATGACTTAGAAAAATAGGGATTGAGAGATATTTCCTTAACTTAATAAATAACATCAGTGCAAGCCAATAGTCACTAATATTCTTCATGGTGAAATACTATAGACCTTCTCACTAAAGCCAAGAGCAAGACAAAGATGCCCATGTAACCACTATTACTGAGCACAGTCTAGAAGTGCCTACTAATGCAATTGAAGGAAAAAAACAAGGTATGCTTACCACAAGGGAAAAAAGACATTTTTATTATTGTTTCCTGATCATACCAATCCCAAGAAAATTCCCGGGAAAAACTAGAATTAATTCTGTATAAATTAGTCAGATAATAAATTAACATTTAGAATTAATGTTCTAAAATATAAGACTTGTTTAGCAATAACCAGCTAGAAAACATAATAGGAAACAAATGCCATTTGCACCAGTAAATGTCTTAGAAGTGTCCATAAAATATGTTAGAAAAACTTTGAAAATATGTGGAATTTATAAGAGAGGAAAAAACTAAAAAAACCAAAACCCTGAATATTAATCTCAGAAAAACTGAAATTTAAAGCATGCATCCAGCCAGGCGTGGTGGCTCAAGCCTGTAATTCCAGCACTTTGGTAGGCCAAGGTGGACAGATCACTTGAGGCCAGGTGTTTGAGACCAGCCTGGCCAAGATGTTGAAACACCATCTCTACTAAAAATACAAAAATTAGCTGGGTGTGGTGGTGCACACCTGTAGTTCCAGCTGCTCAAGAGGCTGAGGCATGAGAGTCACTTGAACCCAGGAGGAGAAGGTTACAGTGAGCCGAGATTGTGCCACTGCACTTCCAGCCTGAGTGACAGAGCGAGACTGTGTCTCATTTTTAAAAATGGAATTAAATAATGGATAGAGGGATAACAGTTTTTAAAAAGGAAGGCCGATGAGCACCAAGCTAATGAAAAGCATGTTGATTCACCGTGAATTCAAGAAATGTAGATGAAAACTTAAGTGACATTTTCTTCTCTCAAAAGGCAATGTCTAACCAAAAACACTTGTTATCTGGTGGTTTTGGGGAAAATCGTGCTCACATACACTATTGGAGAGAGGGTAGACTGACACAGCCTCACTAAAGAGAGGGGGTTAGCTTTTAAAATATGTTTCTTTAATTCAATCTTGCTTCTAGATTTTAATACTTCAGGATGTGTACAAATAAGGCTATTCATTAAAATATTAATCATAATAGTGAAAAATTAGGAAATTGTGTTCATCAATAGGAAATAGTTAATCATAGTGTATATGTATTATGGAATGCTAAGCAGCCATGACAGAGTCTATTTTGGAAGACAAATCATGTGGGCCCAAATTCCCAATCCACAGTAATTACAAAATAGTAGGCAAAAAGACCCCATTTCAAAAACTGCACATGTTCACAGAGAAGATAAGGAATGAGACGCATAAGGTTACTAATGGTGGTTTTCTCTGGGTGGTGGGTTTAGGGTAATTTTCCTTTTTCTTTGTGCATTTCTATATCTAAAATTTTAATTCAATAGCCATTTATTAATCTAGATAGATCAGAAAAAATCAATTAATGTTAAGATTAAAAATACATTCTTTGCAGGATCCCAGATACAATTGATCTGTAATGTCACCGGCCAGTTGAGTGACATTGCTTACTGGAAGTGGAATGGGTCAGTAATTGATGAAGATGACCCAGTGCTAGGGGAAGACTATTACAGGTATGTATGCTAAGAGTTATTCACATTTTGGTGTTAAATCCCACGTGATATTTTATATAACCTTGTCGGTTCAGTTTAAAAGCAAGTGTTAGTTGCTCCTAACCTTTGCTGCCTTTTTTTTTTTTTTTTTTTTTTTTTGCTAAGCTAAGTAGAATTTATAAGATCTTGTACATTTAAGGTAAAAAATACTTGTCATTGTGGTGCAAATTACAGACCACTTAGAAGCCTTTCTCTTACGTTATACATGTTGCAACATTTCAACGAAGCAATTATCTTTCATTATTCTTCATATTCCTCAAGTAGCTTAGAAGAGACTCATTAATGAGCTCAAGAATCAGGCAATCCACTGCTCTCGAAAGCCTCTACTGGTTTCCTACTGCTCATCTATGGGACAAGGATCTCCTGGCTTCCCATGACCTCTCCTTCACAACACCTGCAAAGCACTTTGTCATCTGCCCCAATCTCCTCTTGTTTAGTGTCTCCTCTGTGCCCCATGGAGAACACAATGCATTTGTCTACATTTTTCTTCTTGGAAGTGGTAATTTTTTTGCTTTCTCTGCTACTGAGCCTGTTACTGACAGTGGTCTTGGGGTTATAAAATCTCAGATTAGTGTTGCCAGCAGTCTGAATGTTGTGACTGTGATTGGGCAGGGTGATTATTTCAGTGGCAATTTTGTCACAAATAAGGAAATACACAGGGTATACAGGTCTTATTTGTAGTTGATGCAATTAACTTACACAAGTTTATTTACTCTCTCTCTCGAATAGTGTGGAAAATCCTGCAAACAAAAGAAGGAGTACCCTCATCACAGTGCTTAATATATCGGAAATTGAAAGTAGATTTTATAAACATCCATTTACCTGTTTTGCCAAGAATACACATGGTATAGATGCAGCATATATCCAGTTAATATATCCAGGTAAACAACAAACTAATTGAAATGCAGTTTTGTTTTACTGTAGTAAGATTCCATGACTTTGAAGTTTGAAATGCCATTTCCTCTGCTTAGAACACGCTTCACTTCCTCATTACTTGGGTAACTTCTATTTCTCTTTTACTCTTCTGCTGAACTCTCTCTTCTTGGAAGCTTTTCTGTCCTGCTGCCTGCCCTTAACCCAGCTCTCGGCCCAAAGAGAGGAGGTTAGGGCCTCTGTATGTACTTCTGTAGCACCATATGTCACAGGATCTATGGTACTTCGTTTTCTGTACTTAACTATAAATTCTGTGATGGTGGCAACCATTTATCTTAGTAATCATTCTATTTCCACAGCTAATGGCAAGTTAGGTCTGGTACATTGTGGGTACCCAATGAACTACATTGATGATGCATAGGGTAAGACTAAATATCCACTTTCAAAGAGGACATCAGAAGTCACTGGGTTTCATGAATTGGTATAATAAAACATAATATTGAAAGTATTTGTGAAACATTTTAAGGTAATTTGTGGTTTAATTAAACATAGGCTATTATAATTGCGTGCATGGAAGAATATCTGAAAGACTCTATAAATTAACTTCTATGTATGTTTAAATACTGGCAGCATACAAATAGAAATTACATTTAAAAGATAACATTTATGGTAGCATCAAAAATCATCAAATACTTAAGAATAAATCTAGCAAAAGCTGTTCAAAACCTCTGTAATACAAACTAAAAAATATTGAGATAAATTAGAGAAGAACTAAATGGAAGGATATACAATGTTCATAGATTGAAAGACTCGATATTATGAAGATATCAGTTCTTCCCCAAATGAATCTATGGATTCCAAAAAATTTCAATCAAAATCTCAGCAGTATTTGTACAAGTGAGAGTCAGTGTTTGTATGGGTGTGTTTTTGTGGACACCTGTAAAAGTCATAGGGAACTGTAAAGGACCAAGTATAGTCATGGTGGTCTTAAATAAGAAAAATAAATCTGGAGGATTATTACTACAGACATCATGATCTTGTATGAAGCGACAGTACTTAAGACCGTAAGTGTGAACTATCATTTGGGCCAGCTGGATATTTGTCTGGAAAATGGTATAACTTGATTTCTGTTTTATATCCAAATCATTTAAATTGGAAAAGTAAATAAAGCTTTTAGATTCCCTTTTCTGGATGCTTTTACATGGTTCCTGATATTTAGAGGGTACTTTCTTTTTCTTCCCTCTTTCTTCTTCTCTAGCCCCCTCCCCATCACCTACTCCATCTGCTCCCCAGCTTCCTCTTTAATTATTGGATAACTAAGTAGAGAAGGAGGCCAGGAGAATGTGGAAATGTGAAACTTCCCTAAGCCTCCACCTTATTCGCTTTCCACCAGTCTTTAACTTTACCCAATGGACTCTCTGACCTCAGGGAACTTTTGTAGGCTTTTGAGTGATTTTAACTTTTCCCTGTTTTACTGTGGAATGCTCTATCCTGTGGTCTTCGGTATTATTTCCCATGTTATTGTATATTATGCTATTTAGGTAGAAACTTCATAGAATGCACCTTAGTTTTATCATTGCTTTGTACATTAGTATCCATTACAAAGTGATAATAATGAATGAGTTAATATTGTCTGAATGCAGGCCATTCCCAGATATGGGCTCTCTGAGACGAAGATATTTAATTTGCTGTGCTCAAAGTTTTAATTCTTTTTGGTTCTAATATTTTTTCTCCTTTTTTTTTCTTTTTGCTATAGTCACTAATTTCCAGAAGCACATGATTGGTATATGTGTCACGTTGACAGTCATAATTGTGTGTTCTGTTTTCATCTATAAAATCTTCAAGATTGACATTGTGCTTTGGTACAGGGATTCCTGCTATGATTTTCTCCCAATAAAAGGTATAATTTTGTATTCCATGCAGTATTTCTTGTTGGAGATAAGGGATAGTTAGGAGATGTAGAAGATGACTAAGAGGGTTTTTACTAAGAGGGTTTCTAAAATGAAAAGTGGCATATACAAGAATACTAGTTATTCTTACACAGAATTATAGTTTTAGAACTCATTAGGCTGAATATCATTGTTTTCTAAGTTCCTGCCTCAACATTCATATTGGTAGAATAAACAGGTATTTAGAGCATCTGTTTATAAATTCAGTTATGCACAAGCCATTGGTAGGCCTTGCTCTGTGATGAATAGGACAGACAGAGATCATACCTTAATGAAAGAAATGAAATGACTAGATCTTCATGCATCAGGGAGGTTCTCTCTCTCCTTTGTTTAAACTTTGCGAAAAAAAAAAAAGGAATACCACAATATCTAAAAAAAAATGAATGGATAGAATTCAGGGCTGAGACCTCTGGGGAAGAAGATGAGGACAGGGAGACTTTAAGGATGGCTCTATACTAAGAGTATACGAGGCAGCCTCCAAATAGAAGAACAAATTTGCAGTAAAACACAAGAAATAGAAACCTTGTAAGAGATGAACACTTTTTAAAGGGATTATATTTTTGGTATTGCTGCTTCAGTCATGCCATTGTATAAAAAAAGATGAATAGTTCATTATGTAATGAATGTTTGTGATACTGACTTTATCAAATCTCTTATTTTTGCCTTGTGGTTCTAAATACATTATGTTTTTCCTTTAGCTTCAGATGGAAAGACCTATGACGCATATATACTGTATCCAAAGACTGTTGGGGAAGGGTCTACCTCTGACTGTGATATTTTTGTGTTTAAAGTCTTGCCTGAGGTCTTGGAAAAACAGTGTGGATATAAGCTGTTCATTTATGGAAGGGATGACTACGTTGGGGAAGGTATGTGTGTAATGGAACAGAGTAAAGGCTTATTGTTGTAAAACTACTTAGTAAAATGTGGATTCCATCTTTCTAGAAGATCGTGGCATAGGGGTATATGTTTCACAATTTTAAGAACCTCTTCAGAAGTGTATGATGATTTTTACATTTATTAAATGCATTTACTTCTCTCATATTTTGTCAGAGCAATAATTAAGTGATTTTCATTTAGTTTTGAAAAACTTAATGACTAGTTAAACCCAACAGTTGCTTTACAACTGATACAATTAAACAGGAGTGGTAGAGATCAAATGATTGAATAATAAGTTTTTAAAATTCCAACAAAGTTTTCTGAGTTCTAAATGAAATATTTGTCTTTTGAGGGCCAATTTTTGAGTTAGTCTATAAAATGGGAGGTTTGCAGTGGCTCATGCCTTTTATCTCAGTACAACCCTGGGAGGCCAGGGTGAGAGGGTCACTTGAGCCTAGGAGTTTGAGGCTGCAGTGATCCAAGATCACGCCACTGCGCTCCAGTGTGAGCAACAGAACAAGAGACTGTCTCTTAAAATTAATTAATTAAAAACATGGGAAACTCCTTTAATTTTAAGTAAGACAAGAAAAAGGCATTAGGAGCCATACGGTTGTGAAAAGCCTTGTGTGGCTTTGGTTCAGGAGAGAATGATGATAAATAGAATTTTACTTACTATATTGTGCTTCCTGTTTTTCAGACATTGTTGAGGTCATTAATGAAAACGTAAAGAAAAGCAGAAGACTGATTATCATTTTAGTCAGAGAAACATCAGGCTTCAGCTGGCTGGGTGGTTCATCTGAAGAGCAAATAGCCATGTATAATGCTCTTGTTCAGGATGGAATTAAAGTTGTCCTGCTTGAGCTGGAGAAAATCCAAGACTATGAGAAAATGCCAGAATCGATTAAATTCATTAAGCAGAAACATGGGGCTATCCGCTGGTCAGGGGACTTTACACAGGGACCACAGTCTGCAAAGACAAGGTTCTGGAAGAATGTCAGGTACCACATGCCAGTCCAGCGACGGTCACCTTCATCTAAACACCAGTTACTGTCACCAGCCACTAAGGAGAAACTGCAAAGAGAGGCTCACGTGCCTCTCGGGTAGCATGGAGAAGTTGCCAAGAGTTCTTTAGGTGCCTCCTGTCTTATGGCGTTGCAGGCCAGGTTATGCCTCATGCTGACTTGCAGAGTTCATGGAATGTAACTATATCATCCTTTATCCCTGAGGTCACCTGGAATCAGATTATTAAGGGAATAAGCCATGACGTCAATAGCAGCCCAGGGCACTTCAGAGTAGAGGGCTTGGGAAGATCTTTTAAAAAGGCAGTAGGCCCGGTGTGGTGGCTCACGCCTATAATCCCAGCACTTTGGGAGGCTGAAGTGGGTGGATCACCAGAGGTCAGGAGTTCGAGACCAGCCCAGCCAACATGGCAAAACCCCATCTCTACTAAAAATACAAAAATGAGCTAGGCATGGTGGCACACGCCTGTAATCCCAGCTACACCTGAGGCTGAGGCAGGAGAATTGCTTGAACCGGGGAGACGGAGGTTGCAGTGAGCCGAGTTTGGGCCACTGCACTCTAGCCTGGCAACAGAGCAAGACTCCGTCTCAAAAAAAGGGCAATAAATGCCCTCTCTGAATGTTTGAACTGCCAAGAAAAGGCATGGAGACAGCGAACTAGAAGAAAGGGCAAGAAGGAAATAGCCACCGTCTACAGATGGCTTAGTTAAGTCATCCACAGCCCAAGGGCGGGGCTATGCCTTGTCTGGGGACCCTGTAGAGTCACTGACCCTGGAGCGGCTCTCCTGAGAGGTGCTGCAGGCAAAGTGAGACTGACACCTCACTGAGGAAGGGAGACATATTCTTGGAGAACTTTCCATCTGCTTGTATTTTCCATACACATCCCCAGCCAGAAGTTAGTGTCCGAAGACCGAATTTTATTTTACAGAGCTTGAAAACTCACTTCAATGAACAAAGGGATTCTCCAGGATTCCAAAGTTTTGAAGTCATCTTAGCTTTCCACAGGAGGGAGAGAACTTAAAAAAGCAACAGTAGCAGGGAATTGATCCACTTCTTAATGCTTTCCTCCCTGGCATGACCATCCTGTCCTTTGTTATTATCCTGCATTTTACGTCTTTGGAGGAACAGCTCCCTAGTGGCTTCCTCCGTCTGCAATGTCCCTTGCACAGCCCACACATGAACCATCCTTCCCATGATGCCGCTCTTCTGTCATCCCGCTCCTGCTGAAACACCTCCCAGGGGCTCCACCTGTTCAGGAGCTGAAGCCCATGCTTTCCCACCAGCATGTCACTCCCAGACCACCTCCCTGCCCTGTCCTCCAGCTTCCCCTCGCTGTCCTGCTGTGTGAATTCCCAGGTTGGCCTGGTGGCCATGTCGCCTGCCCCCAGCACTCCTCTGTCTCTGCTCTTGCCTGCACCCTTCCTCCTCCTTTGCCTAGGAGGCCTTCTCGCATTTTCTCTAGCTGATCAGAATTTTACCAAAATTCAGAACATCCTCCAATTCCACAGTCTCTGGGAGACTTTCCCTAAGAGGCGACTTCCTCTCCAGCCTTCTCTCTCTGGTCAGGCCCACTGCAGAGATGGTGGTGAGCACATCTGGGAGGCTGGTCTCCCTCCAGCTGGAATTGCTGCTCTCTGAGGGAGAGGCTGTGGTGGCTGTCTCTGTCCCTCACTGCCTTCCAGGAGCAATTTGCACATGTAACATAGATTTATGTAATGCTTTATGTTTAAAAACATTCCCCAATTATCTTATTTAATTTTTGCAATTATTCTAATTTTATATATAGAGAAAGTGACCTATTTTTTAAAAAAATCACACTCTAAGTTCTATTGAACCTAGGACTTGAGCCTCCATTTCTGGCTTCTAGTCTGGTGTTCTGAGTACTTGATTTCAGGTCAATAACGGTCCCCCCTCACTCCACACTGGCACGTTTGTGAGAAGAAATGACATTTTGCTAGGAAGTGACCGAGTCTAGGAATGCTTTTATTCAAGACACCAAATTCCAAACTTCTAAATGTTGGAATTTTCAAAAATTGTGTTTAGATTTTATGAAAAACTCTTCTACTTTCATCTATTCTTTCCCTAGAGGCAAACATTTCTTAAAATGTTTCATTTTCATTAAAAATGAAAGCCAAATTTATATGCCACCGATTGCAGGACACAAGCACAGTTTTAAGAGTTGTATGAACATGGAGAGGACTTTTGGTTTTTATATTTCTCGTATTTAATATGGGTGAACACCAACTTTTATTTGGAATAATAATTTTCCTCCTAAACAAAAACACATTGAGTTTAAGTCTCTGACTCTTGCCTTTCCACCTGCTTTCTCCTGGGCCCGCTTTGCCTGCTTGAAGGAACAGTGCTGTTCTGGAGCTGCTGTTCCAACAGACAGGGCCTAGCTTTCATTTGACACACAGACTACAGCCAGAAGCCCATGGAGCAGGGATGTCACGTCTTGAAAAGCCTATTAGATGTTTTACAAATTTAATTTTGCAGATTATTTTAGTCTGTCATCCAGAAAATGTGTCAGCATGCATAGTGCTAAGAAAGCAAGCCAATTTGGAAACTTAGGTTAGTGACAAAATTGGCCAGAGAGTGGGGGTGATGATGACCAAGAATTACAAGTAGAATGGCAGCTGGAATTTAAGGAGGGACAAGAATCAATGGATAAGCGTGGGTGGAGGAAGATCCAAACAGAAAAGTGCAAAGTTATTCCCCATCTTCCAAGGGTTGAATTCTGGAGGAAGAAGACACATTCCTAGTTCCCCGTGAACTTCCTTTGACTTATTGTCCCCACTAAAACAAAACAAAAAACTTTTAATGCCTTCCACATTAATTAGATTTTCTTGCAGTTTTTTTATGGCATTTTTTTAAAGATGCCCTAAGTGTTGAAGAAGAGTTTGCAAATGCAACAAAATATTTAATTACCGGTTGTTAAAACTGGTTTAGCACAATTTATATTTTCCCTCTCTTGCCTTTCTTATTTGCAATAAAAGGTATTGAGCCATTTTTTAAATGACATTTTTGATAAATTATGTTTGTACTAGTTGATGAAGGAGTTTTTTTTAACCTGTTTATATAATTTTGCAGCAGAAGCCAAATTTTTTGTATATTAAAGCACCAAATTCATGTACAGCATGCATCACGGATCAATAGACTGTACTTATTTTCCAATAAAATTTTCAAACTTTGTACTGTTATCCTGAGAATCTGTTCTTTGTCCAGTCCACAGCTTACCTGCACATTTGCACATTCCCAGGCCTCAACAAGGTGAGGAGACCTTCTGCAGAGAGTTCTTCCTGTTGTGGGGAAGCAGGTGGGGAGGAGCTGGAGGAGGGGAGGGGAGTGGAGGTCAGAGGCTATTGGCTTAACAGTGAGCCCTAACTCCCATCTTCTAGCTAAACTCTACTCCCTCTGCTCATTTGCTTCTAAAATGGATTAAAATGTGAGCCTTGTCAATAACTGTTTATTAACTTCTTATCAATTTACTATTAACTTATCACTTTACCTGTCCAAAAAATGATAAAGGGAATATTTGTATAGACTTTTACATTTTACAAAGCGCTTTTATTTTTTCCTTTGACCCAGAAGGTGGGCAAAATTGGTGAACTTGCTGTCCAAAATGCATGCTCTAAAGCTTGTTAACTCTGATGGTCAGAGATGACACCCAGTCAGTGCCTCCTTCTTACCTCACAGCAATGCTAAGGGGCAGGTGACTCTCTCAGTACCTGGGGAGAAGGGGCAGGTGGCAGGTTGGCTTAGAGTCTGAGTCCAGTATGAGCACTGCCTCCACCAGCTACCTGGAGTGAAACCTTAGGCAAAGTATTTGAGCCTCAATTTACTCATTATATAGGTATAATATCTAACTCATAGAGTTAAGATTAAAAAGATTAAATATATTATGACAAGCCTAGTGCTTAGCATAAAGCAGGTTCTCAGAAAATGGTTGCTTTGTTAGTAGCAATTCTATGAATTGCTTATCTGAAGCCCTATTAGAATCTGCAAATGGAAGGGGTAGAGAGGACTTATAAATTAGAAATGACAATTGACACTAAGGACAAAGTACACAATGTCAAACTGAAGTTGTATAACCACAGAGGCCAGGAGCCCTGTCCAGCCCACAGCCCCTCCACTGGCCCCCAACCTGAAAGAATGTTTCTCACTGGAAGAGTTCAGGGAGCTTTGCACCACATTTTGGTTATGATACCAGTTAATGTGAAAACCATTAGGAAAATCAGTGCTAACCACCATTTAAAACTCACACGTTTTCCTCTCTTTATCAGATAAATTTTCCCCAGTAAATGCAAAATAGGTTTTTAGGGAGTCTCTGGAATTATTTTACAACAGGAATGCCGTCTGGTGGAAAAAGACCTGGAACTAAATTCCTGCACTGTCACAGCTTTGAAACCACAACAAAGCACCTGGTTGTATGGAACCCCCATTTTCTCATGTGTAAAACAGGACTTCCTATGTTACAAGATGTTTATATGTAGGAAGTCTCTGTCCAGTATACGGGATAGAATCTCAAAATATATTTTCTTAGTTTTATCACTTGATGAGTACAGATAAAACAAAAAACTTACTCATCCAAAATGTATATTTTTCAAATTCTAGGGTTTTAGGTGTGTGCGGGGGTTGGAGAGTGATATAATGCTGGTGTTAACTTTTTAAAATGATCACAGCTGCTACTTAATCCCATTTTAGCAAGTCAGGATCTGGTTTAGCATTTTTAATATAGTACGTTCCCCAAGTAGTAATTGAAGGACTTCTAAGTATAAATACCATGCAATTATAAAATCAGAGATTTCCTCCAGCTTATTTGTCAAAAGAAAATCTTTTCGCCTTTGACGTGAGGCTCTGGGAGTGTGGTGAGGTTGGCTTAGCGTGCAGGGCATAGGGAGCGTAGCAGGTGGGGAAGAATGTGGATTGGGCTGGAAGGGAAAAATTGTTCCTCTGTTACTAAAATAAAATACATGAATGAATCACCATCATGGCAATAATTCATAAAATGGAGTACACATGAAAAAATGTATGTGGGAAGACAGAGGAAAGGGATAATTTTTTGATGTGATAACATTCATTTTACAACCAAAGATTGTGTGTGTGTGTGTGGGGGGGGGCGGGGTGTTTAAATTTTAAGGAGAGGAAGAGTTACAGGAATAGGTGGTACTATTTAAAATGAGTATTAATCATTCAAAACAAAAACATGCTCATCTTACCACATGCCGCTCAGGTTTCTTCTGAAGAAGGCTTGGCTGCTCAAAGTACGTAAATCATACCTATACCTTAAATCTGAGCCCCAAACATTAGCACAGCAGTCTCTCAAAATTTGCAGCTGTTAGACCAGTTGAGCCTGTACCACCTGACTCTAGACTCATAGGAGGCTGTTGACATCTCTAAAGCTGTGTTCAACCAGTTGAGAGATTAATTTACCTACAGGGTGAAGTTGATGAAGCTTGTTTTTCTTAGAACCTTTGACCTGGAAGTGATCCCAAGTGCCATTTGGCTTCTGCTTCCGGGTCTGGGAAGGCTACAATGATACCATTCTACAGTGTTCATTGGTTTTCCTGTCAATCTACACATCCTGAGGATGAGATTCCTTAGGCTTCTTTAGTGAAACGGTATTGCATGTTTCACAGCCTGTGTGGGGACCCACTCCTGCTTTGGTTCATGTAGTTAATCCTTCCCTGGCTAACACTACATTTTCCCTCCACAGCCATGTTACGTCACTTACCCTGCTTAGCCAGGGACAGACTGCAGCTTCTCATTTGCTTTCAAGGCTGTAGACAGCAGCCATCTGTTTCAACAGTTTTTGTCGTCAGATGCTATTCCGTAGTCCTGCCTTCCACACTGTACTTGATTGCTTCTGAATTCTTGTCTTTCCTAAAACTGGACCCATGTCCTCTCTCAAATTCAAAAACACAGGGGAAATATTTGTGTTCTCAAGCGTACTTTTAGATTTTTAAAAAGTGCTAACCAAGTGGTTAACATTATGCTAGACACTGAGAAAATTACAAGGTAAGAAAAAACAGAAATCTAGCCAGAGAAGAAGAGTGTGAAGAGAAAGTTGTTCAGGAAACAATCTCATATGACAGAGGGTCTTAAACCCATGACTGAACTATTTGGACTTTACCACTAGGAGTAGGTATATGGGAGATATTGGAGGCAACAGGTTGGAAGAACTTTCGACATAAAGAAACACATTGATAGGGCACTATTGTACAGCAGATTGGGAGGAGGTAAAAGGTTACATAGGGAGGTTGTTAGGAAGGTGGTAGAGTAATCCCCTTGGGAGTCAATTATATTTAAGACATTTTATAAAATAAATTAGGAGAAACTTCTTTTTATTACGAAAGCAATAATGGTTTGAGAGAATGTGGAAATTTCTAAAACATATAAGGAAGAAAAATGTCACCCATAACTTCACAACCTAAAGATAATTATTGATATTTTATAACATTTCTATGGATATAACTGAGACCATATAATACATGGAGTTTAACACTCTTTTTAAAACTTAGCATAAATATTTGCCCACATTACTATTATACGAAATACAATCTATAAGTAGTCACTAAGTCTATCAAATGGATGGTCCATAATCTGATAGCTTTGCTGCCTTCAGTGGACATCCAGATTATTTCTAGTTTTAGCTATCAGTAGTCAAAGTGCAATAGTTATCCTTTCTCAAATATTTTTACTTCCCTAATCATTTGCTTAGCATATATTCAGAGGGCAAGATTCCTTTTCAGGTTCTTGATGTTCCATAGAGACATTTGCTCCTCTTACACAAGCAGTGTGTGGCACTGAGAATACTCATTATTAAATCATTGCTAATTTGATAGACAAAAAAAGGTTATCCTTTGCCAGTTAACTATTAACATGGTTGAATGTTTCACTTAACAATTACAATTGGAGGCGGGTGGATCACTTGAAGCCAGGAGTTTGAGACCAGCCTGGTCAACATGGTGAAATGAAACCCCATCTCTACCAAAAACACACAAAAAGCAAAAAACAAAAATTACCTGGGCGTGGTGGTGCACGCCTGTAATCCCAGCTACTAAGGAGGCTGAGGCAGCTGAGGCTATTGGCTTCGTCTGTGTTATTTTATTTTGGAATTTACAAACTGTTTCCTCCTTTGTGATTTTGCACTAGCTGTTTCCTACTTTGGGGAAAGCCCTTCTCGCAGACCTCCACATGCTGGACTCCTTGCCTTGACAAGGGCCTCTGCTGCACCATAGTCCCTTCTGAAGGGAGGACTTCCCCAACACCCTCTCCATCACTTCATCATAATTGCTTTCAGGGTTCTCACCAGCCTGAAATCATCCTTCAAAATTTTCTTATTTACTTGACACTAGAATGACTGTAAACTCTAAGAGGGTCTGTCTTCTGTACAGCTGTATTTCTGGCACTCAGAATATCACCTGGAACACAGTGGGAACTGTATAAATATTTGATGAGGGACTGAGCGAACTAATGAATGGAGCTCGAGGGAGTGAGTGATTAAGCCCAGGACTGCAGGAAACCAAGTGCTTTAAGGACCTCCTTCCAGTCTCCCTGGCTGCTTCTTCCATTTCTAGAAGTCCATTTCATCCCAACAATAGCAGTCTGCTACAGAAATGCTGCTATATATTCCCAAGCCTCATAGAGGGGAAATATGAGAACTTAAGGGCCTTAAAGGTATAAAGATCTTGGTGGAGCCCCAAACACCCACCCCAGCCTAATACTGGGTTTTGGAAAGTTTAATTGTTGCGTGTGAATATATTTCTGTTTCATTCTCATTGGGAAACATTATCTGTGGGATATGGCCAATGGGAAATAATCAGATATTTAGTTAGAACAAATAAAAGGTAGTATGCATCATGTAAAATATAAATTTGTATATGAAATCTTTAATCCAAATTGTTGCCCTCCTACCCTTCTGAATAGCCGTCATATCCTAGTCTGAGGGTCAAATAGACTGAAGGTAAAATTCAACCAAGCAGAATTCTGTAATGCTTTCATCACACACAGATTTGTTGCTTTTTGCCTGCTCTCAGAATGAAGTGATGAATCTCTAGAGGAAGTTGATTTACTTCATAAAAAAAAAAACCAACTGAAAATTATTTCCTATGGCCACTGACTAATGCTAGAAAACATTAAGAATATTCCCATTGAAAAAATATCTGCAAGTGGGAGAGAATTAGACAAGGAGGGGTTGGTAGGGGGATGGTGATAAGCATCTATTACATATTATACACCCTGTTATGGAGGCTTTACAACTGCCACCTCTGAAAACTGGGCATAACCTCTCAATCTAAATGTATATAAAATAAAATCACAGGATAGCTTTTACATCAGAGCAGCAAAACTGGCAAAATTTAAAAGTCTGACATTACCAAATATTGGTAAGAACATGAAGCAATGAAATTCTTTTCCTCTAAAGGACATAGCTATGGAAAAAAATTAGGGCTTTTCTAATACAATTGAGGATGTACCTACCCAATGATTCTGCAATTCCGTTCACTAAATGGCCTCTGAAATACTCGCACAAAAGGACATTACCAGAATCTTTGCAGCAGCACCGTTTATAAGAGCAAAATATAAATTTGGAAAAACTTAAATGTTCGAAGGAGATGAATACATTTAAGTTTTTTTTTTTCAAGGTAATTGAGAACCTGCAGTAAATATTATGGTTTCCTGTTATTTTTAATTGCTAAGTTTACAATACCCGGAATCAGTTCTGCCTTCAAAGCCAAGTGTTCATTTTCCACGTATCAGGAAACACATTTGGCATAGAGACCATCCCAGGAAGTTAAATTTCAGATTCTCAGAATTAGTAGCAAAGTGCAATGTCAGAAGTGTCCAGTGAGAGGCACTGCAGGGGACTGGGATGGCCTGTCTTAACTTCATACATTTTGGGGCAACAATACCCATTAAACTTGGCATATATACTAGTCCTCAGGCTAAGAAATAAGATAGGACACAAATGCATCTATTCATAAAGTGAAAATGAAAAAAGATAGCATAAAGATTTAGAAATACCTTTCAACACTGCTCATAGAAATAATTCTGAATGCAAATCATATGACTTTTATAAAAATAGTAACACTTTTGTTTTGTTTTGGATGAGGACATAAACGCTGAAGAATATACATATACAGAGGAACCTCGTTTACTGCTGATAGTAGGGGAAATAAATAATAATCTCTATTTATAGCTTAAGAAAGAGGTCCTCAAAGAGTGGGAGCCCTATGGGTCCCTGAGAGACCCTTCAAAAAGATCTGTGAAATCAAAACTATGTTCATCGTAATATTAAGACCTTATATTCCTTTTTTATTCTCATTCTCTCATTAGTGTATGGTGGACCTTTTCAGAAGCTATATGACATATTATATCATGACACTGATTGCAGAAGCAAGTATGAGAATCCAGTCATCTTCTAGTAAGCCAGACATCAAAGAGATCTGCATCTATGTAGAACAATGCCGCTTTTCTCAATAAGCCTGTTTTAGAAAGTAGAGTTATTTTTCATAAATTGTATGATATTTGCGTTAACATGTAATGGGTTTATTGTCACTTAAATAAGAAAGTAAACGTTTAAAAATTCTCCCTTTAACTTCTAATGTAGTAATATTGACAGGCATAACCTACATAGACAAAAGCACTTTGGAATCCTCAATACTTTTTAAGAGTGTAGAAATCTACAAACCACTGACCTTCAGCCTATCACAGGAAGCTTTGCTATTAGCACAATTATTGCATCTCTGCTCCTATGGTTGCTTTTGTCTCACTGTCTCTGATCTTTCAAAGACCGTTGGGAAGAGCTTGACCAGTAATCTATTGAATGGAGATTACATTTTGAACCTTTTCCTACAACTCAGTGCCCTGTGGGATGACTCTGGGGTGTCTCCTGATGGCTAGGGCAACAGGTCCCTGTTGACATCACCTTATCGGGAAGTTTTAGACAGGAACAGTCTTCAGGCTCTGAAGTACTTGAACACCATGGGATTCCTGCCTTACAGAAGTTAATGAGCACGACTCAGGCAGATTCATAATTCTCCTTAGAAGCCATTTGGGATGGCTTCCACTTTGGGGTCATTCCACATAGGCCAATGCAGAGCATGCAGTAACTGCTCAAATAGGATTTGGAAAGGAATGAATAATTCATTTAGACGTTCAACTTGGAATAGACTTAAGCAGACACTCCTGGTGATGAAGGACTTAGATGCCAGAAAATCAGGCTCAAAGACTTTCAAGCCACTTCCTAGTGTGATGTCACATTCCTTCCTACGCTCCACTGGGGAAGGCAGGTCTGCCCCGCCCACGGTGGCGGGGAAATACCTAGGCATGGAAGTGGCATGACAGGGCTCGTGTCCCTGTCATATTTTCCACTCTCCACGAGGTCCTGCGCGCTTCAATCCTGCAGGCAGGTAGACACCGGGCCGGGAGTCTGGCTGAGCCAGGCATGGGTGGGGCCCTGACAGTAGGAGAGGTGTGCAGGAAAAGACGTGGCAACAATGTGTGCCACCGCAGGCCAGGGATCAGGCCCCCCAGGCCGGCCCCCGACCGGCTAGGTGACCATGGGGGAGCCGACTCCGTCTCTGGGTCGAGGAGTGGAGCTCGCGGCTATTTTCAGCTCCAGCGGCTCCCTGCCTTCCTTTCTCCTTTCCCGCTGGCCCTTGCCAGGTAGGCCTGCCCTGGCTGCTCCCCAGTGAGCGGGTGTTTGGGGTTTCTGTTTAGACCGCCAGGCTCGGGTGGATCCCGAGGACACAGGCGCGCAGGGGAGGCTCCGTGCGCCGCGAGCGGGGTTGGGGTCCCACGTCTGGAACCCAGGCCGCAGGCTGCGCTGGGGGGCGCCCTGGCCCTCACGGGGGCTCTGGACACCAGCCTGCTTCGCTGTCAGGTGGCAGAAGCAGCTCCCACGCGGTCCCCACCGCCGCCGCCGCCTACTCCTCGCCCATCCTCCTCTGCGGCGGGGCGAGCTCCCTGCCCTGGATCCTGGTCGGGCGCCCAGACGAAGGAGACAGGGGAAGGGCAGTCTTTGGGGAAACGTGGGGCCAAAGTCGGAGGGCTCCCCAGGAAAAAGGGAAGGTCAGCGGCCTGGGCGGTTGTCTTTGAGATTCCGAGGTCGCCCACGCCGGCGCCTCGGGCCCGCCCTACTGCGTCCTCCCCTCCCACCCTCTTCTCCCTTCCTTGCAGCCCGGTTTGGGGATGTGGTCCTTGCTGCTCTGCGGGTTGTCCATCGCCCTTCCACTGTCTGTCACAGCAGGTACGTTCCGTGTGTCCTCCGTTCCCAGAGGCTGCCCGAGTCCACAGGCTCCTGGCCTGTCATTGGGAGCCCCCGGGGATCGCGTCAGCCCGAGCGCGGCTCCTTCCCCTCCCCAGACCGCCAGGCGGAGTTCCGCGGAAGAGGAAACAGAGAACCAGCTCCACGTGCTCGGATGCTCAGCCCTGAATGTCGCCTTTGAGCTTGGAGGTGACTTCGGGGAGGGGAAGGAGTTAGGCAAATTCCAAGTGAAGACTTGAGTAACAATGCTCAAATGGAATTACTACAGGCTATTTTATAAGATAAAGCGTTATTTTATGACACAAGGTGAAAGCAAGGAAACCGTCAATAGAACAAATTTCTTCTAAGAAATTTGGTATGGCCGGGCGCAGTGGCTCATGCCTGTAATCCCAGTACTTTGGGAGGCCAAGGCGGGCGGATCACGAGGTCAGGAGATCTAGACCATCCTGGCTAACACGGTGAAACCCCGTCTCTACTAAAAATACATTAAAAAAATTAGCCGGGCGCGGTGGCGGGCGCCTGTAGTCCCAGCTACTCAAGAGGCTGAGGCAGGAGAATGGCGTGAACTCGGGAGGCGGAGCTTGCAGTGAGCCGAGATTGAGCCTCTGCACTCCAGCCTGGGCGACAGAGAGAGACTCCGTCTCAAAAAAAAAAAAAAAAGGAAATTTGGTAGAAATGAACTTTAAAAGTGAACCAAATTTTTTTTCTTAAACAATCGTTTTGGGATGAAATACCTTTTACTCAAGACAGAGTAAAATAACTGGGTGGCAGAGCAGAAACAGAAAAGACAAGAAGGGTTGATTTACTCTGTAGGTGAGTACAGAGTAAAGAACTCTGTGGATGAAAAGAACTAAGGGTCGTAGAATAGAAGGGAAAGAGGGAAATCACTCCCGATGGGGAGGTTTGTGAGGAGGGAACGGAGTAAATTCTGTTTTATGGATACATTTAAAGAACTTGGAATTATACTTTATAATCAGCAGGCTATTTTTAGGAAACTTCCAGACTCAAGAAACTCCCAAATAAAATTTCAAATTGGCTGGAAAATTGAAGAGGCATTTAAAAAAACTAACAGTAAATAAAACTGAAGTTTTCTTTCATGGATAATTGTTTTGTTTTGTTTTTCTTTCCCTAGATGGATGCAAGGACATTTTTATGAAAAATGAGATACTTTCAGCAAGCCAGCCTTTTGCTTTTAATTGTACATTCCCTCCCATAACATCTGGGGAAGTCAGTGTAACATGGTATAAAAATTCTAGCAAAATCCCAGTGTCCAAAATCATACAGTCTAGAATTCACCAGGACGAGACTTGGATTTTGTTTCTCCCCATGGAATGGGGGGACTCAGGAGTCTACCAATGTGTTATAAAGTAAGTTCCTAATTTAAAATAGAACTAACTCGTGTGTGTATGTATAAATTATTTTAGGAAAATTCTTAACGAACATAGAAAACTCTTGAGAAGAATTATGTTGTTGTATGTTTTTATAATTGCTACAAGACAATTTCCAGTGAACACATTTTTAAACAGAACAGATTTGTAAATCATTTTTGGAACCTGATATGCATCTTTCCCTATGGAAATGGCACCTCAGACCAGACCCACTCACAAAGTGTGTTTGTCCCAGTATTATTGCTGCCATCTTTCTTTCCTGTTTTCTTTTTCTTTTCTTTTTTATTTTTCTTTTTTATTTTTTGAGATGGAGTCTCGCTCCGTCACCAGGCTGGAGTGCAGTGGCGGCGATCTCGGCTCACTGCAACCTCCGCCTCCCAGGTTCAAGTGATTCTCCTGCCTCAGCTTCCGAAGTAGCTGGGATTATAGGCGCTTGGCTATATCCGAAGTAGCTGGGATTATAGGCGCAAGCCACCATGCTTGGCTAATTTTTTGTATTTTTAGTAGAGATGGGGTTTCACCGTGTTAGCTAGGATGATCTCGAGCTACTGAACTCGTGATCCGCCCGTCTTGGCCTCCCAAAGTGCTGGGATTACAGGCCTGAGCCACCTAGCCCGGCCGCTGCCATCTTTCTTGAAATGCCAAAAGTTTTTGTGGGAAATGGCACATCCAGATAGGAATGAGCCTCCTATGAGCGCTTTTCACGAGGAATCTGCTTAAGGCAGGGAGTAAGCATGGAGTATGTTCCAGACCTCACTGGAGAACCTGTGCTAAGAAATATGAATAACACAGGCCTGCTGGTGACTGTGGTCAGCTGGAAAACACATGCCCCTCAAAGGTAGCTGTCTATTCAGGTCAAGCCCATCTTCTCACTTTTCAAGGGAATATGGAAATCGGAATTTGTGTGTGCAACTTTTTATAATTTGTAAAGCTTTGTGGGGCCTGAATAAAACACATCTGTAGAACAAATTTAGCCTGAGGGCCCAATTTCGTGACTTTCCCACACTGGCTTGCATGACCTTAACAAATTACTTGATCTCTCTGAGCCTTGGTTTTTTTCTGTAAAATGGAAGTAATGCTGGCCTGATAGGCTTGAGGTGCAAATTAACTGAGATCAGGTGTGAAGTAGGTACTCCATTCTCTCGCTCTTGTTTTGATTCCGCGATATTTGCCAGCCCCTTTCTGTGTCCCAGCATGGCCCCTGTCCCACTCTGATTGCTGCTAGATTCCTCATTTCTAAACACCAGACAGACTAAATGCACAAAATTGAGTGGTTCACAAGTGGAAGTGGTCGTTAGCTCTGCCTGGCTCCTTTCCACAGATTTAGTTGCTAATAAACCGCTCAGGGCACGTGGAGGTCTGCTGTCCTATTTTAGCCTAGGCTGTGAATTATTAACTAGTAGCCTAGGCTGTGAATTATTAACTAGACTTGAAGATCATACATCACATAAATGAATCTGGATGTCGAAGCTAGACTTAAACTATTTAAATCTGGGAGCTGTGAAATGAGGAAAAGTAATCTTTAATAGAAATTGACGAAGATATTATCTGCCATGAAAGAAAATGAACATGAATTCTCCAAGACTTTTATTACTAACATCCAGATAGGATACGTGTTTAGGAAACTGTATATTTTTACTTTTTGCTTTGAAATAATTTTAAATTTAAATAAATTTTGCAGGAATAGTATCAAGAACTTCCTTCTACCCTTTATCTAGATTCCTCGTTTTTAAGAATATATTTTTACATTTATCTTATAATTTTCTCTTTCACAATATATATGATATAAATTACAAACAATATTTTTCTCCTAAACCATTTTTTAAACCATTTCAGTTGAAAAAACTGAATACTGCCTTAGCCCTTAATCATCATACCCTCTTAGCCCTTAATATTTCAATGTATATTTCCTATCAACAGTGTATGTTTCCTATTTCCTTTCAATGTATATTTATTTATTTCTTACATAATCATAGTATAGTTATCAAATTCAGGAAACTTAAACATCATATAATACCTTAATCTATAATCTATATTCTAATCTTATCAATGATCTCATTGAAGACCTTTTATAATGTTTTTCTTTCTTTTCCAGTACAGTTACCAATCTGGGATCATGCATTGCATTTGGTTGCCATGAATATTTAATTTCTTTTAATCTGGAACAGTTCCTCAGTCTTTGTTTTTCATGATACTGACATTTTTAAGAACTGTAAGCAATTATTTTGTATTACCTCCTTCATTGGGGTTTGTCAGGTATTTCTTCATGAGTAGGTTCAGCCATTTTGGCTGGAATGCTAGGTGAGGCTTTGTGTCCTCTTCAGAATATTACTCAGAGGCACATGGCGTCCACTTGCCCCTAGTTGGTGATGTCCATTTTGATCACTCAGTTAAGGTGTTGTCCAGTTCCTCCACTGTATGAATACCATTTGTCCTTTTGTGATGAATCATTTGTGGATGCTTAGTGCTTTGTTAGAGGCAGAGGGTTTGCACAGTGCTGTGAAAATGATTTGAAAACATTTGAAAATGAGTGGAATTATTTGATTTTGTGATTTGTTTTAAAGAGTTTATGAGGTCTCAATCTGTCTTACAGGGGTAGAGACAGCTGTCATAGAATACATGTAAACCTAACTGTTTTTGAAAAACATTGGTGTGACACTTCCATAGGTGGTTTACCAAATTTATCAGATGAGTACAAGCAAATATTACATCTTGGAAAAGATGATAGTCTCACATGTCATCTGCACTTCCCGAAGAGTTGTGTTTTGGGTCCAATAAAGTGGTATAAGGTAAAAAAGAATTTTCTTATTGATATTTTTCCTCCTTTTCTTTAAAACCCACTGTTTTTTATAGGTTAAGTTGTATTTTTTAAGGCAGAATTGGTAAAGAAAGTTGTGTGCCTAAGATAGATTAGTTAGCTAGCAGTCATTGATAACGTTACCTTCCTAATTACTGTTTTTAAACATTTTTGGTTATTATAGCTTTGTAATATTTTATTATTTGGATCCACCACCTTCCTCCAGTTATTCTTATTTTTCAGGCTTTTCTTTATTTTTCTAACATTAATTATATTTGTTTAAATGCATACTATGTGCACATGGTTCAATAATCACAAATTCTAAGAGGTCACCCCCTGGAAAACCTCTTTCCTGCTACCGTTCCATATTTGTTCTGGGCTCATCACACCTTCCTCAACTGTGGCTACCATGATTAGTGCCCTGTGATTATTCTTGTATGATGCTATACTAGCAAATAAAAATATATAGTCTAGCTCTTTCTAGCCCTTCCTTTTTTACGCTCATCTTTCTGCACTTTGTGTTTTCATCTTCAAAAGTTCTCTTTTCTTGATGATCCTGGCATATGTTGACATAGAAGGTAACTCTTGGCATGGAGGAGCACAGGCTAGTCATTTGAGATTGGAATTAGTTTTTCCTGCTTGTTAACGCCTGCCAGCACACCCCTCTGGGTCATGAGTTTTCTTTATGGGAAGATTTTCATCTATTGATTCAATTTCTTTAATGGTGAAAGAATTACGCAAATTTCTTACTTTCTCTTGTGTGAGTTTGGTAAGATTTTGTGTCTTAGGAAGTTTCTCATTTCATTAAAGGTCTCATATATTCTGGAAAATTGTTTAGCAGCTCTTCTCTTTTAATGTCTGCAGACATCAAAACCTTCAAAGTAAGGTTCACCTTCAGTCATTATTCATTCTCTCTTACACACATACACACACACGTGCACACACACACACACTTACTTGATTAGTTTCATCAGAGACTTGTCAGTTCTAGTACTCTTTTCAAAAGCTAACTTTTGACTTTGTTGATCCTTTCTGTTATATGTTTCATGTTCATTTAGGTTGTTTAGTTTCCCTCTTTTACAAGAAATGTGGAAGTGAGTGTCCTTATACCTGTATTTTAAGGCACGTTTGCCAGTGAATGCATTCCTTTAAGATTACTAGCCCTAGAATTGCTCATTTGTAGGGCATGCAGATGAACAAAGTATTCAACTTTGTTGATGTTACACAAATTGCTTCACAGAATTTTGTATCAGTTTATACTTTTGCCAGGAGTATTTTATTTTACTTTATTTTATGACAGAGTCTCACTCTGTTGTCCAGGCTGGAGTGCAGTGGTGTGATCATGGCTCACTGCAGCCTAATTCCTGGGCTCAAGTGGAAGCCCAGGTAATTTTTTAAATTTTTTGTGTGACAGAATCTTGCTATGATGCCCAGACTGGTCTCGAACTCCTGGCCTCAAGTGGTCCTCAGGCCTTGGCCTCCCAAAGTGGTAGGATTACAGGCATGAACCACCATGCATGGCTCACCAGGAGTATTCTAGATTTCCTACAACCTTGTGTTGAACTTTGTATTATAAGCCTTTGATTTTTAAAATCAGTTTGGTGGGTATAAAATGTACCTTTTTATTTTATTTTGCTTTTCCTTAATTATTAGTGAGATTGACCACATTTTTCAGTTTATTGGCCATTTCTGGATCCTCTTCTGAACTGCCCACTCATATCTTTTGGTATATTTCTTATTTTACTTTTCATGCCATTTTCTTGTGACTTATAGGAGATTTTATATATTTATATATCCTGGGTATGATTGTTTGCAATGCATTAAAAAAACCCCTTTTCATTGAAGTATAACGTATACATATAAAATGCAGAAATCATAATTGGACAAGCTTGTTGGATTATCAGAAAGTGAACATACCTTTTAATTACCCTTTCCCATGAAAGTTAAGAAAGAAAACATTACTAGCACCTCCGAAGGCCCACCTCTTCCATCTTGCAAAAACTATGCCTCCCTAGTCCCCCAAATAACCACTTCCCTGATTTATGCTATCATAGATTGGATTTACCAGTTTTTGAATTTTATTTAATTTGAATAAAATCATATGTAGTGTTTATGTCTAGCTTCCTTGGCTCAATAGCAAAACAGTGGGAATCATCTATGCTGTTTCATGTGGCTATATTTCATCCATTTTCTTTGCTGTGTACTATTTCATTATTATTATTGTTAGACTCTTGAGTCATTTCCAACTTCTGGGTCTTAGAATCAAAGCTGGTATGAACACTTTCCTCACTTATGAATGCAATTTTGTGGGACATATTACATGAGAGTGAAATAGTTGGGTCATAAGGGTACGTAGAAAATGCCAAACCATTTTCCAAAGTGGTGCCAATTAACAGTTCCAGCAGCAGTGTATAAGAGTTATTTATGCCCCTATACCTGACAACACATGGTACTATTAGTCTTTTTAATTTTTGCTATTTGGATAAATGAGTAATTGTGTCTCATTTCAGCTTTAATTAACACTTCCCTGATTACTGATAATGTTGATCTTCTTTAAATTTTCTTATTGGCACTTGGATGTCTGTGTGTGTGTGTGTAATTTTTTTCTTTGAGTGCTTGCTTGTGAAAATTTTTTTTGAGACTAGCTCTTGCTCTGTTGCCCCGGCTGGAGTGTGGTAGTGCAATCATAGTTCACTGTAACCTTGAACCCCTGGGCTCGAGTGACCCTTCTGCCTCAGCCTCCTGAGTGGCTGCGGGTTACCTTGTCCAGGAGGTATCATTTTTTTTTTTCTGTGAAAAGCCAAATAATAAATATTTTAGGCATTGTAGGCCGGATGGTCTCTGTTTCACCCACTCAACTCTGTTTTGGAAGCACAAAAACAGTTGTAGACAATGTAGAAATGAAGGAGTGTGGTTGTGTTGCAATAACATTTTATTTACAAAAACAGGTGGTTAGCCACATTTGGCCCGTTGTGTGGTTTGCTAGCCTCTTGTCTATTTCTCATTGATTTGTAGTAGTTCTTTATAGATCTGGATATCAGTAATTGTTACAATGTGTCCTTCTAAGCAATGGCTAACCTTTCTACTCTGGTAATGAGGTCTCAGACTTCCTAGTTTTAATGCAGTCTGATGTATTGATTTTCCTTTGTGATTAGTACTTTCTGTGACTTGTTTAAGAATCTTTTTCCTACCCCTAAGTAAAAAGACCTTTTTTCCTATATTTTCTTCTTGAAGTTTCATTGTTTTTCTTTTTCCACTGATTTTTAAGTGTGTAGTGTTGGTAGGGTCAAATGTAATTTTTTTCTCTGTGGACTTATAGTTTACCTGTTCTTTTCACGTTGCTTTGCATGCAACGTAAATCATATTGGTCTTTGTGTGTAGATCTGTTTCAGAACCCTCTGTAGCATTCCCTTATTCTATTTCTTTCTTTCTCTTTCTTTCTTTCTTTCTTTCTTTCTTTCTTTCTTTCTTTCTTTCTTTCTTTCTTTCTTTCTTTCTTTCTCTCTCTCTCTCTCTCTCTTTCTTTCTTTCTTTCTTTCTTTCTTTCTTTCTTTCTTCTTTCTTCCTTCCTTCCTTCTTTCTTTCTTTTTTTTTTTCTTTTTTCAGATGGAGTCTCAGTCTCTCTCCTAGGCTAGAGGGCAGTGGTGCGGTCTTGACTCATTGCAACCTCTGCCTCCTGGGTTCAAGCCATTCTCCTGCCTCAGCCTCCAGAGTAGTTGGGATTACAGGTGCACACCACTATGACTGGCTAATTTTTGGTATTTTTACTAGAGACAGGATTTCACCGTGTTGGCCAGGCTGTCTCAAACTACTGACCTCAGATGATCCACTTGTCTCAGTCTCCCAAAGTGCTGGGATTACAGGTGTGAGCCAGCGCATCGGGCCCTTATGCTTGTTAATTATTATGGCATTAGATAAGTCTTAAGTTTTGTATAAGTCCTCTGCTTTTCCTTTTTCTGAAATGTTGCCTTGGCTATTCTAACTTCTGTTTCTGCAGCACTTGGAGATGGACTCAGGGCTATGACTAGCAATCCTAAGTGAGCATCGGATTTGATCCTCTGGATCTTTTAAAAATTCTGATGTTCAGCCTCACCTTCTGCTAACTGAAGCAGGTCACCCATGGGTGGCGCTTAGATGCCTTTATTTTAAAAACAACCCCTGGGCTTGCAAATGTAGGCAAAAGCTGAGGGTCAGCAGTGTAAGCAGGAGGGGTCACCTGATACTATACCACCTGCTCAGATTTGGTGATCCAGGTATGGCTGTTTTTGCCACTACCATGTGCTCAGACCTGGAATCACTCTTTGGGCCTCAGTGTTGTCATCTGTAAAACCAGAGGGTTGGAATCAATTCTGCAATATCTGGAGTCTGTGATCTTCTTGGTGCTGTGCCAAGGGATGTCATATGTCTTCAAAGAAGTTACAATTTATCAGAGGAAGCAGACAAGTAAACTAAGAATTTTATTACAGCATGAGGTGAACATAAAGAAAGCAAAACTAGAGCAGACCCTGGGAATGTCCATGGCTATGCTTCCTGGAAAAGGTGACTTTGAACTGTGCTTGAAGAGTGAACACAGTTAGCCTGGTGGGTACGGCAAGGAAGGTCAGTAATTAGAGGGAAGCAGCAGGTGCAAAGGCGTTGGGTGAGAAAGAGAATGGTGTTTGGGGGCCTTGGTTAGAGTTTAGGGCACATGTAGAAAGATGGTGCTAGAAAATAAACACCATTTATGCCAACCTAAAGCATTTCAACAGTGAATCCTACCATCAGGAGAATGGCATGAGCAAATTCACATTTGAGAAAAGTCCTTCTGTGGGGCTATAGTGAATACATTGGAAGGCCTTGAGAATGGTGGCATGCTGATCATTTGGACTATCCTAGAAATCAAGTTAAGAAGTGCGGTTCATTTCAGAAAGTTATAAAGTAGAACTGAAAAATTAGGGAAAAGGAGGAACTCATGTCTGAGGGCCCCTAATTTTTCTAATTGTAAGGAGATGTTATGGGGAAAATTTGAAAGAGTAATGTAAGTAAATAGATGGAGATGTAATGAATTTGTAGTGGTACCAAGACCCCTGTTTATGTGATTATCTCCTATAGTGCTCTGCTCTCTGGTTGAAGGCTTGCAGGAGAGGGATGAAGGGATCCATCAGAATGGGTCTTTGCAGGTGAAGATGCTGGAAGGACGGAGGGCTGCAGAGTTGAGGTACTGGAAGGGAAGTGATTCAAGTGATGGACACGTGAATCCAGGATGGACAGGAAAGGAAATGATACCTGAAAGAGCTTGGAAATTAGACAAAAGTAGAGAGGTCAGGTGGGCTAATTCCAGTTAAGATAGAAAAGTGAGTTGAATGGATAGAAAGTTCAGGTGGAAAAGTGTAATGCCCATGGTGAGTCTTTTTATCCTGTAGAGGCCATAAAACTAAAAAGACACAGGAACAAAATGACCATACCACCTTACATTTTGCTGAGTCACCTACTGCTAAGGCTCTGGATGGAATTCCATGTCTCCAGCTGGCTTTGCTGAAAGGTAAAGGTGAGGATGGAGGATCTTCCTGCTCTTTCTGCTGGAAAGCAGAGCCCTGGAGACACGGAAATTTCTCCAGCAGCATTGAAGTGTCCAGTCTCCAGTTCTGTGGGAGCTGAGTATTCCACTTTATTTGTTGGGGTGGCTCTTCCTGATGTGGCATTACTTGACACACTGGAGTTGCATAAGCGGCAACTCCTGGTCTCTGAATTGCAGGTGGTGTATTTCAGAGTTGATTCCCCACTTTCCAGATTGTGGTAGAGGTAGCGGCTCTCAGGGCAAGCTACTTCTGCAGTGTGGTTCTGGCCTCGATGCCACTTCCTGAGTACTTTCACAGATTTAGCAAAGCACCTAGTATCTTGTCTTGAATCCTTTTCTGCATAAAATATAGAATGATTTTTGTTTGCTAAATCCAGACAGAGATATATGGCTTCATGGCTCTGTTTCAAAGATTAAATGATCTAATCTATCCACGAAGCATTTAGTTCAGCATGAGTACATAATAGGTACGTAATAAATAAATATTAGAGATTATTATGTTACAATAAAGGAATGAATGAGCTGGAATAGGGAATCAGTCAGAAAGTAATAAATTTAATTTTAAGAATTTTGAGACAGAGGTTCTGGATAATGGCAAATCCCTACGAAAATCCTGGCTTACGTCTGGGAGAATTGAAAACTGAAAGTCCCCAGGAAGTCTTTGAAATTGAAGAGCTTACAGAGGACAAGGTTTGGGTATTAAGACATCTGTCTACACCTGGAAAAGTGGTAATGTCCCCAATTTTGTTTTTGTTTCAATCCCAAATTACTCCTCAGCACAGTGGTTTTGGGTCCCTATCACTGTGCTCAATCTGAACTTGCTGAAGTTACTTCGCGCTCTTCAGTTGCTAAATTGACATTCATTTTCAACCTGATTGTGGCATTCAACATTGCTGGGCACTCCCATCAGCTAGGAACTCCTTTCCCATTTCCTTCTAAGACTTATTCTTTGTCTCTGTTTATCTTTTTTATTTTTATTTTTTTCTGGTGCTTCCTTTGTAATCATCACTGAGTTCTTTTCCTCTATATTTGGGTCTTAGGATTTGAGGTTCCCCATGGTTTCAGCTGCGGTCATCTTCTGTGCTCGCTTTTGCTTACATTCAAGTGGATGATTTATAGAACCATCCGTTTGGCTCTATATTCTCCATATGGCTCCCAGTTCTCTTCCACTTGGACCTTTCTTCCAATCTCCAGATTTCTTTGTCCAACCGTCTAATGTACAGTCTCCTTAGACCCTCCCATCCCCACCACTCACCCCATGCACCATGGTTAGATCTATTTTTTAATCTTACCCTAAATAGGATCATTTTCTTCATTTCTTTGCATTCCTTCTTCTTCTTAGTAACACCTTTGCTTACCTAAGACTGTAGAAGTCCTGCTCCCTCTGCATATTCCAAATTTGTCACTAAATTCTGTGGACTGGAACTGCTTAAAATAATTGTTTTTTGTTTTTTACTTGCTATCCCTACTTCCCTGCCTTAGTTTAGGTTCCATTTGGTCTCAGTTTATGGAAATAAAATCTAAATGGTCTTTAGCATTGCACTATTTTAATCCTTTAAACTACACAGCAACTAAAGGATCTTTCTCAAAAGAAAATCTGATTGTCTTATTCTCTTGCTCAGAAAGCTTCTGATGCTCGTCTCCTCTTCATGGTTTTCTGTGACAGGTCTCCTGACTGCCTCACCAGTTTTATCTCCATCACTATTCTGTACCCACTGCATCTTAGTAAGAATTCTCAAGGCTATTTTGTGTTTCTGAAATATTGTACATGCTGGGTCAGGAGTTTTCTTCACGTTGCCTGGAATACATAAGGCATTCAAAAGTGGACGCTATTGTTCTTAACATTTTAATTTTAAATCTTGTTAGTGAGACATTACCCTAAAGATTTTAAATTTAAATCCAAGCTCATTGAGAGTTTAAACTTTGAAATAATGTTCCAGTGGATCAGAATAGAGGTAGTCTAAGTTATAGCAAAGCGACAGAATGGCCCTCAGCTGCAAGGCTGAACTTTAAGATGATTAAAATATGTATATCTTGAAAGAAAGAATGAACCCATCAGAAAGAGGACTGCTCAGCCATGGAAGCACAGCAAGGGAGGCCCAGAGACTGTGCCTAGCCAGAGACTATCCAGGGCAGCCTGTCCAGGGAAGAGGTTTATGAAATGTGAGGACTAGACATTGTACTTTGTTTGGGCTGAGTTCAGTGGCTTATGCCTGTAATCCTAGCACTTTGGGAGGCTAAGGTGGGCAGACTCCTTGAGCTCAGGTGTTCGAGACCAGCCTGGGCTTCATGGTGAAACCCCACCTGTACTAAAAAAACAAAAAATTGGGGTGTGGTGGCACGTACCTGTAGTCCCAGCTACTCGGGAGGCTGGAGTGGGAGGATCCCCCGAGCTCAGGAAGTGGGCGACAGAGCTAAGACCCTGTTCCAGCAAAAAAAAAAAAAAAAAAAAAAGTGCTTGTCTGTATCCTAAAGAAGGAGACATCACAATATCAGAGTCTGATCCCTTTATACATCTAACTCTGATTAGTAATTCCCATTTTGTTTGACAAGCAGTTGTCAGATTATGAGTTGGTTTCCCATATCAGGTATTTATAGGGAAATAATGTAAGCCTTATAGGAAGTAGCATTTCACATTATAAATAAACCAATGCTTGTTTGGCATTAATTATTTACTGCATCCTGCTGGGCGGCTCTATTCATGCTGTTCCAGGGGTGGAGAATGAAGTGTGACTCTGAACCATGCCTAAGTGAGGAGAGAGCCTAACACTTGGGCAGGTAAATATTTATTTAATTAGGAGTTTGCATGTTGATTTTATCTTTTAGATTGTGCACTTCCTGAGGAGAGGGATTGCATCTTAGTCCTGCATGGCCAGGCCTGTCACAGTGCAGGCAAACTGCAGGAATTCAAATGTTTGAATGAACAAATGGACTCAATTAGCTAAGCAGTCACTCTGTGGACTGCAGCTTCTTGGAGGACAGGGAGCAGGTTTGGGAGAATTCAGAAGGTGGCCCAAGGGATGGAAGAACTGGTGATTAGCATGAGAATGTGAGCCTAGGACAGGACAGAGAAACAGTGAGGCTTGCCCTCTGGGTGGTTGCTGGGAGAGAAAGCATTCCTGAGACTCACTGGTCTTCTGGTTGGTTGGGTGTGAGGTTGTTGCCTTGTCCATGGAGGAGGCATGGGAAGCGGGAGAAGTGATGTGACATCTGCCCACCATAAACCTGGCCAGCTTCCTTTGATCACTGTTCAGACCTTCAAATTGGATGTTGGTGAAGAATTATTTTGGACTTCTATAAAGTCCAATGCTTGATAAGTGCAGAAAGTGTAATTGGGCCCGCAAGGCAGTGGGAGCAGTTGTTATTCACCTGGGTTTCCAGTCTTGGCAGAGGGTCTTGGGCCATTAAGCGGGAGTCCACTGGCAGACATGGGCCCCTGAAGGTGGAGGACATTCCTGCCTGTTCATGTCCTCCTGCAAAAAACTGACCCAGGCTCAGTTTTCCTCCATGAAGTCTTCCTTCCAACTCACGTAGGCCACTCTCCTCTCAAGTCCTACTAGACTTATTGTTTGTATCATTCACTTCAGCCTGTAAAATATCCTTTGTCAAATCTGTGTATATCTATATACACACACATGCACATATATATGTACACACACACACATATATACACATTATATACAGACTAGGCAGGGAATTCTGCTGCCTATCTATCCATCTATCATCAATCTATCATCTACCTATTTTTCTATTTACCTAGCTAGCTAGCTATCTGTTGTCTTCCAGTTAGACTGTAAATTACCTAAATACTAGGGATCACACAGGTTTCTAAGTATTCATTGAATTGAATTTTGTTTTTATTTGTATTAGGACTGTAACGAGATTAAAGGGGAGCGGTTCACTGTTTTGGAAACCAGGCTTTTGGTGAGCAATGTCTCGGCAGAGGACAGAGGGAACTACGCGTGTCAAGCCATACTGACACACTCAGGGAAGCAGTACGAGGTTTTAAATGGCATCACTGTGAGCATTAGTAAGTATGCTCATGTATGCCTGTCGCCTTGTATTCTCTTGGCTTTGTGTGAACTGGCTTCTGGCTTTGGGTTTTGGGCTTTGAGCAGGAGTGATTCTAGGTCTTGGTTTCCCTGAAGGCTAGTAGGCTCTCAGACCTGCCACTGTTAGAATCAGAAGGTGGGAAGAGTGAGGCAGAAGGGCATGAGCAGCTTAGTTTCCTCTTCTGAACAACAGAACACTCAAAACTCTTGGTTGATTTGTGAAAATTAAATGAGATCATGCACATAGACTAGCTGCTGGGGTACCTGATGAAACACAAGTATCTAGACAATAGTAGATGTGATGAACATGACTGTCATTCACCTCAGCCTTCATTGTCGTGAATATTCCTGCGGGCCTTCCAGCTGAGGCCTCCCCTGCCTCAAGTGCCGCAGAGCTCAGAGTTCTGGATATGGTCCTGGGATATCCTGCTGCTCATGGACCTGTGTTCTCAGCCCAGAGCAGCCAGCTCTCTTGAACATATGCCTGGAGGTTTGAAAGTAGAATCTTAGGGGAAGAAGAAACCCTAAAAGTAAATTAGCTCAAGCCACTAATTTAATTTAATTTTTTTAATTTTCAATTTTTGTGGGTACATAATAGGTATATATATTTATATATAGTATGTGCATATATTACATAATAATAGGTGTATTATATATATAATAATGGGTATATGATATATTAAACACATAATAAGTGTATATATTACATAATATGTGTATATTTATAATCCATGAGCATAGAATATTTTTTCATTTTTTGGTGTCCTCTTCAATTTCTTTCATCAGTGTTTTATAGTTTTCATTATAGAGATCTTTCACTTCTTTGGTTAATTCCTAGGTATTTAATTTCGTTTAATTCCTATGTATTTTAATATTTTTGAAATGATGATATGGTTTTATGTGTGGCTATTGTAAATGGGATTACTTGTAAAATATCTTTTCACATTGTTCACTGCTGGCATATAGAAATGCTACTGATTTTTGTATGCTGATTTTGTATCCAGCAACTTCACTGAATTTATTAGTTCTAATAGTTTTCTTGTGGAGTCTTTAGGTTTTCCCAAATATAAGATCATATCATTTGCCAACAATGATAATTTGAATTCTTCTTTTCTAATTTGGATGCCGTTTATATCTTTCTCTTGTCTGATTTCTCTAGCTAGGACTTCCAGTACAATGTTGAATAACAGTGTTGACAGTGGGCATCCTCCTCGTGTTCCAGAACTTAGAGGAAAGGCTTTCGGTTTTTCCCCATTCAGTATGATACTAGCTGTGGGTCTGTCACATATGGCTTTTATTACATTGAGACATGTTCTTTCTACTTCCAGTTTTTTGAGGGTTTTTATCATGACCTGCTGAATTTTATCAAATGCTTTTTCCGCATCAATTGCAATGACCATATGGTTTTTAGCCTTTATTCTGTTGATATGATGTATTACATTGATTGATTTGCAAATGTTAAACCATCCTTGCATCCTAGGGATGAATCCCATTTGGTCATGATGAATGATCTTTCTAATGTATTGTTGAATTCTGTTTGCTAGTACTTTGTTGAGGATTTTTGCATCAATATTCATCAGAGATACTTGCCTATAGTTTTCTCTCTCTTTTTTTTTTTTGATGTGTCTTTGTCTGGTTTTGGTATCAGGGTAATAACTGGCCTCATAAAATGAATTTGGTAGTATCTTCTCATCCTCTATTTTTTTGAATAGTTTGAGCAGGATTGGTATTAGTTCTTCTTTAAATGTTTGTTAGAATTCAGTGGTGAAGCCATCCAGTCCTAGACTTTTCTTTAATAAAGAGACTTCTTTCTCTTTAATAAAGATACTTTATTAAAATTTCTATATTGTTACTTGTTATTGGTCTGTTTAGGTTTTGGATTTCTTCCTGGTTCAATCTTGGTAGGTTGTATTTGTCTAGGAATTTGCCCATTTCTTCTAGAGGGATTTCCTATTCATTGGCATACAGTTGCTCATAGTAGCCATTAATAATCTTTTGGATTTCTGCAATATCAGTTGTAATGTCTCCTTATTCATTTCTGGTTTTATTTATTTGTATCTCCTCTCTTTTTTGCTTAGTCTGGCTAAAGGTTTGTCAATTTTGTTTCCCTTTTTAAAGAACCAACTTTTTGTTTCATTGATCTTCTGTGTTTTTTTCATTTCAATTTCATTTATTTCTTCTACTAATTTTGGGCCTGGTTTGCTCTTGCTTTTCTAGTTCTTTAAGATACATCATTAGATTGTTTGTTTGAAGTTTTTCCTCTTTTTTGATGTAGGCACTTATAGCTATAAACTTTTCTCTGAGTACTGCTTTTGCTGTATCCCATATGTTTTAGTATGTTGTGTTTCCATTATTTGTTTCAAGAAATTTTTCAGTTTCCTTCTTAATTTCTTCATTGACCCACTGGTCATTCAGAAGCATACTGTTTAATTTCCATGTATTTGTATAGTTTCCAAAATTCCTCTCGTTATTGATTTCTAGTTTTATTCCATTGTGGTCAGAGAAGATGCTTGATATTATTCCAATTTTTTCAGTGTCTTAAGACTTGTTTTGTGACCTAACAGATGGTCTGTCCTTGAGAATGATCCATGTGCTAAGGAAAAGAATATGTATTCTACAGCCATTGGATGAAACGTTCTGTAAATGGATCTATTAGATCCATTTGGTCTATAGTGCAGATAAAGTCAGATGTTTCTTTGTTGATTTTCTGCCTGGAAGATCTGTCCAATGCTGAAAGTGGGATATTGAAGTCTCCAGCTATTATTGTATTGGAGCCTATCTTTCTCTTTAGCTCCAATAATATTTGTTTTTATATCTGAGTGCTTCAGTGTTGGGTGTTATATCCTCTTGCTGAATTGACCTTTTTATCATTACATAGTGACTTGCTTTGTCTTTTTTTATAGTTTTTGTCTTGAAATCTATTTTCTCTAAGCATAGCTACTCCTGCTCTTTTTTTTGTTTTTGATTGTCATGGAATATCTTTTTTCATACCTTTATTTTCAGTCTATGTGTGTCTTTATAGGTGAAGTGTGGAAACAATCAATGGGTCTTGTTTTTTCATTCATTCAGCCATTCTACATCTCTTTATTGGAGAGTTTAGTCCATTTACATTTAATGTTATTATTGATAGGTAGAACTTACTCCTGTCATTTTGTTATTTGTTTTCTGCTTGTTTTGGTCTTCTCTTCCTCCTTTCTTTCCTTCCTGTCTTCTTTTAGTGAAGGTGATTTTGTCTGGTGATATGACTTGATTTCTTGCTTTTTATTTTTTTGTGACTCTATTGCATTTTTTCTGGTTTGAGGTTTCCATGAGGCTTGAAAATACTATTTTATAACCCATTATTTTAACCGGATAACAACTTAATATTGTTTGCATAAACAAACAAGCAAAAAGAAAACTAATAAAAATTTTACACCTTAACTTTATTCCCCTGCTTTTTAACTTTTTGTTGCTTCTATTTATATCTTGTACTCACTACACCTTGAAAAGTTGTTGTAGTTATTATTTTTGATTGGTTCATCATTCAGTCTTTCTAGGATAAGAACAGTTTCACACCACAGTTACAGTGTTAAAATATTCTGTGTTTTTCTGTGTACTTATTATAACCAGTGAGTTTTGTGCCTTTGGGTGATTACTCATTGCTCATTAATGTCCTTTTCTTTCTGATTGAAGTACTCCCTTTAACATTTCTTGTAGGACAGGTCAGTAGATGAAATCCTTCAGCTTTCGTTTGTCTGGGAAAGTCTATTTCTTCTTCATGTTTGAAGGTTATTTTTGTGGATATGCTATTCTAGGGTAAACGTTTTTAAAATGTGTCATGCCACTCCTGGCCTATAAGGTTTCCACTGAAAAGTCTGCTGCTAGATGTATTAGAGCTCCATTGTATGTTATTTGTTCCTTTTCTCTTGCTGCTTTTAGAATCCTTTCTTTATCCTTGACCTTTGGGAGTATGATTATTAAATGTCTTGACGTAGTCTCCTTTGGATTAAATCTGCTGGGTGTTCTATAACCTTCTTGTATTTGGGGACTGATATCTTTCTCTAGGTTTGGGAAGTTCTCTGTTATCCTTTTGAATAAACTTTCTACTCTTTTCTGTTTCTCTACCTCCTCTGTAAAGCCAATAACTTTTAGATTTGCCCTTTTGAGGCTATCTTCTAGATTCTGTATGCAATGCTTCATTGTTTTTTATTCTTTTTTCTTTTGTCTCCTTTGACTGTGTATTTTCAGATAGCCTGTCTTCCAGCCTGCTAATTCTTTCTTCTGCTTGATACATTCCTCTATTAAAGGACTCTGATGCATTCTTCAATATGCCAATTGCATTTTTTCATTTCCAGAATTTCTGCTTGATTTAAAAAATCTTATTTCAATCTCCTTGTTAAATTTATCTGATAGAATTCTGAATTCCTTTTCTATGTTATCTTGAATTTCTTTGCGTTTCCTCAACACAGCTATTTTGAATTCTCTGACTGAAACATCACATATCTCTGTTCCTTCAGGATTGGCCCCTGGTGCCTTATTTAATTCATTTGAGGAGGTCATGTTTTCCTGGATGGTGTTGATGCTAGTAGATGTTCTTCAGTGTCTGGGCATTTAAAAGTTAGGTATTTATTGTAGTCTTCACTCTCTGGACTTATTTGTACTTGTCCTTCTTGGGAAGGCCTTCCAAAGGATTTGAGTGTTTCGATCAAAGCTGTATCTGCTTTAGGGGGCACCCTAAGCCCAGTAATGCTGTGGTTCTTGCAGACCTGTAGAGGTACCACCTTGATGATCTTGGACAATATCTGGGAGAATTCTCTAGATATCAGGCAGAGACTTGTTCTCTTCCCTTACTTTCTCCCAAACAAACAGAGTCTGTCTGTCTGTTCTGAGCCACCTAAAGCTGATGGTGGAGTGACACAGGCACCACTTTGGCCATGACCACTAGGACTGCTGGGTCAGACCTGAAGCCAGCACAGCGCTGGGTCTTGCCCAAGGCCTGCTTTACCCACTCCCTGGCTACTGCTTATGTTTGCTTTAGGCCCTGGTGCTCTACAATCAGCCGGTGGCAAAGCCAGCCAGGCCTGTGTCCCTCCCATCATGGCTGATTGCCACTGGCAAGGTCTCTCAGGCCCTGGGTGGATCCAGAGGTGCCATCTAGGAGTGAGGGATTAGAGTAAACAAACCTTAGAAGTCTACCAAGTGTTTTTTTGTACTGCAGCTGAGCTGGCAGTCAAACCACAAGACGTAGTCCTTCCCACTCTTCCCTCCCCTTTCCAAAGGCAGAGGAGCCTCAGCATCCATAGCCAGTGCCACAGCCGGCCACAAGGAGTACTGCCAGACTACCGCAGATTTTCCCTTAAGGTCCAAGAGCTCTTAAGTCAGCTTGTGGCAAATGCTGCCTTCCTGGGACTCACTCTTCAGGGCACTGGGCTCCCTTCTGGCCCAGGGCATGTGCAGAAGTGCCATCCAAGATTCAAGTCCCAGAATCAGGGACCTCAAGAGCCTGCTTCATGACCTACCCTCCCCTGTGGCTATGCTAGTACCTGAAGTGCAAGACAAACTTTTCCTTCTGCTTTTCTCAAGCAAAAGGAGTTTTGCCCTATAATCACTGCAGCTAATAATGTGCTCAGTCTCACCTAAAGCCAGCAAGTTTCAGATGCTCACCCAAGGCATTCAATGTAATACCTGGATAATTGCTACTGATTATTCATGGCACAAGGACTCTTAAGTTAGCAGGTGATGAATGCTGCAAGGACTGAATCCTTTCCGTCAAGGCAGCGGGTCCCCTTCTGGCCCATGGTATGTCTGTAAATGTTATCTGGGAGGCCTGGAACAGGGGCTTCATGACTCTGATCATTGTTCTCTCTTGCTGTGGCTGAGCTGGCATCCAAGATGCAAGTGAAGTCCTCTCCGCTCTTCCCTCTCCTCTCCTTAAGCAGAAGGAAAGCGTCTCTTTTATAGCTGCAAGGTGTGCAGTCTGGGGTGATAAAGAGGGGTGATGCCCACACTCCCTTGGCTGCCCTAGATGGGAATACTGAGGTATATTGCATGTCCCACTCCAGTCCACCGTCTCTGGGCAGCACTAGGACTCACCTAAGAGTTGCAGTCCCTGTGGCCCAGACTGCCTCTCAAGTTTACTTAGAGACCCAGAGCACTTTAGCTTGTGGTGGTAAGATTTACAGGAACTCAAGTTCTGATCACTGGGATTAACAATTCCCTCTGTCTAGGGCTGGTTTAAATGTTCCCTCCATGAGCCCGTGGCAGCTGAGTTTGGTCCAGTTTTCCTTTCTGTTCTAACAAGTCAGCATTGAGTTCAGTGCCTCACAATTGTGGTGTCCTTTCTCCTCCAGCAACCAGAGACACTCTCAGTACCATGCCGCCACTGTCAGGGGTTGGCGAGAGTGGCATTGGTGATTGAGGACTGCTTTTTCTATCTCATTGGTGTCCTTTTCTGTGATACAGATTTAAAACCAGATACTATGAGTGATTTTTGGTTCTTATGAAGGTGTTTCTTCTGTGTAGATGGTTGTTAACTTGGTGTCCTTGTAGGGGAGACAATTGGCGGATTCTTCTATTCTGCCATCTTGTTCCACATTCTCTCCCCAAGCTATACATTTTACAGAGTTCCAGGAGGGGAGCAACTTATTCAAGGTCACAAACCTGGTTATTGTCAGAAACAGAGCCAGAGCTCTGGCATTCAATGCCCAGGCCAGCATTGGTTTTTCCAAACACACTGGACAAGGAGTTCCTGCTGTGGTGGCTTTTGCTCTTTCTTTAGTAGAAAGTTGTTTTCTATATTTACTCATCTAGATGAGAAGAACTAAAGGCTGGATACTTCTTTGATGTAGACCTTCCTATTTGTCACTAGTTTCCATCACACTTCAGAGTACTAGGGGAGACTGAGCTATTTCTGGGTGGTGTGGATCCCTATGGGGATCTGGTCAGCATGGGTGGCTCCCTGCTGCCTATGCAGGACAGGGCCCTTTACTCTGTACAGTCCAGTGACTCCCTGAATTCCAGCTGTTCTTCTAGAGAGCCCGTTCTAGTCCTCCTATGTTCTTTGCAGCAACTGCTCATTTGATTTAAATATTTTGGGGTGGTTTTCAATTTTAATTGTTCATGCTAAAAGCACAGTCATTAAGAAAATTAATTGTACAAGGTTTTTTTGATTTTCCTGCTCTTGGGTTTTCTGCTGACCATTATCTCTCTGAAAGAAAGCACCTGCCTCATCTTGTTCACAGTTGAATCCCTGGCCCTGAGCCCAGTGCCTGGCCTAGACTAGGCACAGATCTATTTATTAAGTGAATGATTGACTACTATAATGCATTAATGTTACATTGGTAACTGAGGGGAAATTTTGTAAGGTGAAATTGCTCAGGTAAAATGAAGAATCCCTTAAGAAGTAACTGGGTTCAGTAGTCACTACTTCATGTTCAATAAACATTTATTTATGATCTGTTATATGCCAGTATTATGGAAGGTCCTGATAATTCAAAAGTGAAAAGCATTGTTTCTTCTACTATGAAACTGTCAGACATGGTGATGGTGAATCTAGGGGTTAAATGGATCATTTTAACATTATGTGCTAAGGGTAGAGCCACAGACAGTGTTTGCGGAGCAGGAAAAGAATAAGAAGGGTCCGTGGGTGGCACGCAAATGGTCTGGGAAGGCTTCCAAGAGGAAAGGAGTTCTCAGCTGAATTTTGAAGAATGAATAGGATTCACAAAAGTAAAGGAGGGTGAGGAGGGGTCTCTAGGCAGAGAGAACAGAGGGAACAGTATAGGACAAAGCATGGAAGTGTTAAGCATTATGTTTATGTTGGATCTAAAATGACTTTCATTAGATCCTATGTGAGTATGGGGTGGGGAGGGTGGGAGCTGAGGTCATGGAGTTAAGCAGGGCAAGGTCCAGGGGACTGTTTATGCATAGGCTTTACCATGCAGCCACTGAAGGGCCCTGGGACGGTGCAAATGCAGAGTCATTGGGCTGCATTTGTGATGGGAGACATCAGTATTGAGATGATTTGAAGCCAGAGTTGAAGAGGGCCTGGCAGCTTGGAGACCACTTAGGAGGCTGATAAAATATCCAAAAGAGTGCTGATAGTCTCAACTTGGGAAGAGGCCATGGGGGAGCTCTCCTTCAAGCAATCATTTAAGAACTCTTTGCTGAGTACTGAACAAAGCTAGGTTCTGTGCCAGGCAGAGAGAACATGGTGGTGAAGAAAACAGCCACCCCCACTGCTCTGATGAAGCTTGAAGGCTGAAAGGAAGGCAGAGAATAATCAGATAATTCACTAATAAGATGTGTAATTATAGGGAAGATGAAAGCGTGAAGGAAAGGAAAAATCTGAGCTCAAACAGACCAGGGCCTCGTGAGAAAGCAGTGGCTCAGGGAAAGCTTTCTGATAATAGTGATGCTGATGGTCAGGAAGCATTATGTGGATGATGGAGTTGGGGAGATTTTTTTCCAGACTGAGGAAGTAGCAAATGTGAAGACCCTGGCACAAGAGGGAACTTGGAGTATCTGAAGAGTAGAAAGCAGGGCTAGAGTGATCCTGAATGAGAGAAATTATGGCAGGTGATGAGGTTGGGTAAGTAGTCGGGGGCCAAGATCAAGTAGGAACCAGCAATTCAGAGTAAGTAGTATGAATTTTATTCTAAGAACAATGACAAGCAGCCAGACAGATCAAAAGCAGGAGAGTAGCATGAGTTGATTTTCATTTCTGAAACAGCAGACTGGCCGCTGTGCACAGAATGATCCATTCCAGGGTGGATCAGAAGTGCAGGTACAGAAGCGCAGGTAAGGCATGAAGGCACAGGTAACATGATGTCATTGAAGATGGAGAGATATGGATGGGTTCAAGGCACCTTAAGAGGTAAAACCCACAGATTTAGTGTTGGACTGAATATGGGGAGAAATATGGCAAGGTCAAAAAAGTTAACCAGGCTTTTTGACATGCACTATTGACTGGATGGTGATGCTATTCAGTGAAGGAAAATGGCTCTGGAGGAAAACCAGATTTAGGAGTGAGATCATGAGTTTGGTCATTGCTACGTTGAGTATGAGGTGCCTTTGGATGGTGGAGGTCCAGAGTAGGTCATGGCCTGTATGGGCATGGAGCTTAGAGGAAGGACTGGAGACATGACCTTCAAAGTCATTGGCCTTGAAATGATATTTGAAGTAGTGGGTGTGAATGAGATTGCTTAGGAAAATAATGGAAAATAGAAGGCTTAGAAGTGAAGAAAAAGACAGACTGAGAAATGAGGAGGCAAAAGTAGTTGAATTTGGTGATTGACAAGTTGAAGAAGGTGAAAGAAAAGCTGTTGCCTAGAATGGCTTCTGGATTTTACATGTGTGTGATCTAGTGGGTGATGATACATTAACAAGCTGGGGATAACTTTTGTTTGGGACATGCTGCATTTAAATAGTTTGTGGAATGCACATTTATTATTGCCATCATAAAAGATATGTATTTTTGCATTTTTCTTAGCTCCTCTCTTACAACTTTTCCATATCCCACTCCAAATATATAGGAGGAATACTGGAACTAAGTAGGTGATCGCTAAATTTTGGCAGACAAATGGGAGAGGAAAGAAGTAGAGAAAGACTGAGGGGCAGGGAGTCCAGGGAGTCAATACAGGGAGATAATGCTAAAGTTTGGTGGTAGGATGAAAGAGTTAGAATAATAGTAGAAGAGGACGGGATATAAAATAATATGGAAATGCAGAGTTGGAGGAGGAAGAGGAAAACTGAAGATATGATGAACCCTCACAGATCCCTCATCCAACTTTGACAATTATCAACTTCTGGATAGACTTTTTTCATCTTTACCTCTACCCATTCCCACCAGTTCCCAAGATTATTTTAAAGTAATTCAAAAACATGATATGTATTTTTCCATCTACATAACATTCTTATAAGGACAAAACTATAGAAATAGGAAACAGATTAATGGTTGCCATGGAACAGGAACTGCATGAGGGAGTTTTTTGAAGGTAAAACAAGAGGGTTACTATTTCTCTCAAGCTAGCACCTAAGCCAGGCCTTTGTCTATAGCCACTGCCTGCAAAGTGTTTTTGGATTATTAAGTATTGAGATTTTATTATAAAAGCTTATTAGTTTATATTATAAAGAATATAGTTTATGGTTTATACCAAAATATGGCCAAAATGAACTCTCTTGATAGCTCAGCTTCTAGCTTATTTTTTTTTTCTTTTTTGGCAATTCAGTTACTTCTGGTTGAAAATGTGTATTTATGGAGTGAGATTTTGACCAGAGCTTATTGATGGTCTGCTCTGTTGGGCTTCATGCTATTACATCAAAGTACTTGGGAATGTATCATACGTGATTCTAATGCAATTTCCTGTGGGTATGATTTCTTAGCAGAAAGAGCTGGATATGGAGGAAGTGTCCCTAAAATCATTTATCCAAAAAATCATTCAATTGAAGTACAGCTTGGTGAGTAAAATTATTGAAGCCATTGAAATCACCAGGGGAAGAGCTCATTATGTTTGCATATTCTGGTGAATATTTTGAATGTTAAGGATGAAGATAAATCCTATACACACCCAGTTTCCAGCTTTGGATATACGTGAGCTCATGGGGAGAGGAATCAAAATAAAACACCAGAGAGCCGAAGCATGGAAAAGTTGTGGTAGCAGAGAAGTCTGGCAATGAGGACTATGGGCCCAAAATGATTATTATAAATCTGTTTATGCAAAGGCAATGAAAATGCAAATAATTCTTCAGACAATACATAATATAATATAAAACTACTATTAAATAATGTTGACCAGGAGTTCTGGATTATATTACCTCACAATGCAAGATATATTACAGGAGTGAAAAAAATTATGATGTTATATTCCTTAATCTATATGGAAAAGGATCAATAAGCATTGCCTCAATTTGTGATCTAAGTAGATAAAAAGGCATCAAATTACTTTTTAAATTAAAAAATAATCACTAGTGGCCAGGCACGGTGGCTCACGCCTGTAATCCCAGCACTTTAGGAGGCTGAGGCAGGCAGATCATGAGGTCAGGAGATCAAGACCATCCTGGCTAACACGGTGAAAACCTGTCTTTACTAAAAAATACAAAAAATTAGCCGGGCATGGTGGCAGGCGCCTGTAGTCCCAGCTACTTGGGAGGCCGAGGCAGGAGAATGGCGTGAACCCGGGAGGCAGAGCTTGCAGTGAGCCGAGATCGCGCCACTGCACTCCAGCGGCGACAGAGCGAGACTCCGTCTCAAAACAAAACAAAACAAAACAAAACAAAAAAAATCACTAGTAAAATAAATATGTTGTATTACATCTGAAAAAAAAGCAAATTAGACAAAAATCTCAAGATCTCACAAAATAGAAAGTTTTATGTGTCTTAGTGTATCAAACTATATAATGCTAAAAGTCTCAGAAATACAATACAACAAAACAACACAATTGTTTCAGTTGTAGGGGGAGATTTTAACATACTCTTGCTTTGAGAAATTTACTAGGAAAGTAAGAGTCTACATGGTTCGAGGAATATAGTAAAAGTAATGTGTCTAATACATAGATCACTCTCAGAAACATCTATGAAAAACCAGAGTCCAAAAGAGGAAATTGTACAGATCATGGGGTATAATAACGATACAGTAAATGTAAAAATTTATATCTAAACCAAAACAATAAAATAATCGCACTTAATAAGTATGTGAAGTGACGGATTTGTTAATTAGCTTGATTTAATTATTCTACAATATAAACATATATCAAAACATCACATCGTACCCATAAATATATGTAATTATTATTTGTCTATTAAAACTAAAGAAAAATTTAAAAACTTAAACAACAACAAAAAATCTCTTAATTATTTGCATTTTTGATTAGAGAGCCAAAGCCATAGTTAAAGAATATTTAGAAAATAATGATAGTGAGAATACGTCATATCAAATTTCATGGCATATGACCAACTCTAAACAAGTTTATATCTTTAAATAACATTATTATTAGTAAGTGTGGAAATAATTAAAATATACAACTAACCATTTGACTCTATAAAAGGACCAACTAAACAACAAGAATAGAAGTAGAAAATAATGAATTTATTAAAGGAAAATAAACTAATAGAATCTGTCCCAGAGTTGGTTAAGAACAGAAGAGTTGAGGTGGGGGTTGGGGAGAAAGTTAAACTTCCAGCAAATCTAATCCCCAAAGTGCAGAGACACCCAAATATAAAAAAATTAGAAATATGGGAAAGCTTATATAAAACAACAAATGGTAAGAGATAAAATCTGTTTAAATGCCTCTAGGCCCATATGTTTTTAGGATAATTCTTTTAAACTTTCAAGGAAATAATAATACCTATAATAAAGGATAATTGTCTACACATTACTCATTATGTGAATAGTCTTAAAAGACAAATTTGGCTGTTTTATCTCTCTTAATTGACTTTCTTTCTCTACTCCTGTCTTTGGAAATTCTAGCCAATGTATTTAGACAATTAAAAGGCAAGAGAAGGAGTTTTGGAAGTCTTGGAGGGAGGAAGATAAACATAACTTTTAAAACATGATCTACTGGTTTCTACTTAGAAATTTTGAGAAAATTAAGTAAAAAACTATAATCACTAGCATTTTCTTATTAATGTTATTTTAATACAAAATAAACATTCAAAGCTAATAGCATTTTTACATGCCTGAAATAGCATATATTATGTAATCAGGGAAAACAGCATTCACAATTGCAATACAAGAAATAAAACAGTAAGGAACAACTGAACAAGAAATTAGGAGGACTTGCCTACATGATTAAAAATGCAGCATTTTATCATTTTATAGATGGAACATAAAAGAATATGTGTTTTAGTGAAATTTCAAAAGATGTTCCTAAATAGAAACACTCAGTATTAAAAATGTTATTTCTCTTAGATTAATATACAAGTTTAATATAATACCAATTAAATTACCAAATATCCTAAAACTTGTCAAAACATGTCTAAAATTTCTGTCAAAAATGCTGGAAACAGTTAGCCAAGAAAAAATTGAATAGAAGAAAAAAGAGCCATTTCCTTGTAAGTATTAAAATATATTATAAAGATAGAGATTATTAGTATGTCAACAAAATTGCTGACTAGGGGCTCCTAGCACTAATTCCCGTACAAAAGGGCCAAAATATAAAATAAATAGCTACATTTTGACTAGCGTGTCTGAAGGAGGGCGCTGGAGTGCAGCATGGAAATGATGGAATCCCTGTGGAGCACAGAAACCCAGGATGGCAGCATAGAGAGGGGAGGAAATCACCCTTTCTCTGTCACTCTGTTTCCCCCACCAAGATTGACTTGGAGCCAAGAGAAACTTCTCTTTGCAGGGAAAAGGTAAGCAGAAGGCCTCTGCCACCTTCATTATTACCACAGACACCTGCAGTTCTTGCTACAGAAGAAAGCTGCAGTCCTCACAGGTCCTGAGCCCAGTTTGGGGAGCAGCCTGGAGTTCTCATGGCTATATTGCTCCAGTGCAGGAAACTACATTGTGCATACCCTTATCCCCTATGACCCATGCTGCTACATCATGCCACTGTCTTGGAATTATAGCTACTGCTAGAGTGAGTCCTGTTCTGGGGGCCAGTAGCCACTGCATCTCTCCATCCCCAATGCTTTCCCGTCATTTCACCATGTTCATACAGGTGGCTACAACTCCAAAATCCTGGTTACTTAGAGTATGGGCCCTATGAAATTACTGTGATCCTGGTTCCCAAATGCACATGGTGCCCTGCTTCCTGTATGGACAGGCAGTCCTGCACAACTGGGGAAGCTTTCCCTAGCCAGCAGACCTACTCTGCTCACCCTCATACCCATGAGGGTGTACATACTCACCCTCATCCTGAGAACCAGCCCAGTAGCCCTGCACCTGGCAAGACGACACCCCTTTTCCATTGGACCTACTGTGTGTGCACACACACCCTTGGCCTGAGAACCAACATGGTAGCCCAGCACCCTGCAAAGCCATGCCACTGCCAGTACAAACTCCTGCAGCCTAGGCCACTGAGACACTCAAAGATACTGCAGATGTGGATTGTAGCTGAAGAAACTGCATGAAGACTACACTTCTGTCTCTGTCTAGAACCAAAGCCAACATACCTTATCCAACTGACATGCTAGGATGCATCTACAGAAAAAGTCTTTCTCTAATAAAGCTACTTCATAAAATTAGAAGAGGTGACTGTTGCACCAGAAGTGCAGCTATCAACATAAGGACACAAGAAACATGAAAAAACAGGAAACATGAAAAAACAGGAAACATGATACCTCAAAGGAGCACAATAATTCTCCAGTAACAAACCTCAAAGAAAATAAGATTTGCTAAATGCCTGAAAAGGAAGGAATCCAAAATAATGATCTTAAGGAAACCCAGCTAGATACAAGAGAATACAAGCAAATAATTTAATGAAATCAGAAAAACAATTTATGATCTGAATAAGAAATTCAACAGATAGATATTATAAAAAAGAACCAAAGAGAAGTCTGAGCTTAATAATTCAATGAATGAAATAAATGCAATTGAGAATTCAACAACAGAATTCAACAATCTAGTGATCATTATATAATGACCTTCTTTGTCTCTTCTTATAATTTTTAACTTGAAGTCTATTTTATCTGATGTAAGTGTAGCTACTCCTGCTTGCTTTTGTTTTCCATTTGCATGGAATATCTTTTTTTCATCTCTTCACTTTTCGTGTATATGTATCCTTACTGGACCTACTGTGAGTCAGTGAGTAAGTGAGTCTCTTTTAGGCAGCATATAGTTGGTTCTTGTTTTTTTCTTTTAATCCATTTTGCCACTGTATGTCTTTGAATTAGAGAATTTAATCCATTTACATTCAAGATTATTATTGATTGGTAAGAACATGACTCCTGACATTTTGTTATTTGTATTCTGGTTGTTTTGCAGATCCTTTGCTTCTTTCTTTCTCTCTTGTTTACTTTTGTGGTTTGGTGGTTCTCTGTAGTCCTAAGCTTTGATTCCTTTCTCTTTTTATTGTGTATCTGCTGCAGTTTCTATCATTGTGGCTACCATGAGGCTAAAATAAAGACTTTTATGGTTATAATAGGCTATTTTAATCTGATTACAATTTAACTTTGGTCACATAAAAATACCCTTGACTTTTATTGTCCCCCTAACAGTTTATACTTTTGTTGCCTTAATTCACATCATTATACATTGCGTGTTCTTTAATAACCAATTGTGTCTGTAGTTATTTTTGACCATTTTGACCTTTAAACTTATTACTAGAGTCTTGAAAGATTTACATAGCGCCATTTCAGAATTGAGATATTCTGAATTTGATTTTGAATTTATCTCTACTGGTTAGTTTTCACATGTTTTTATGATGGTAATTATCACCCTTTCACTTTCAGTTGCAGCATTTCCTTAGGGATTTCTTGTAAGGCTGGTCTAGCAGCAATGAATTCCCTTAGTTTTTGCTTGTCTGGAAGGGACTTTATTTTTCTTACATTTCTGAAAGATAGTTTTGCTGGGTATAGTATTCTTGGATAGCAGTTTTTATTTTTGTTCAGCACTGAATATAATATCCTTTGTTCATGAATTGGAAGAATTAATATTGTTCAAATGTCCATCCTACTGAAAGCAACTTACAGATTCAATGCAATCCCTACTAAAATACCAATGACATTATTTTGACAGAAAGAGAAGAAACAGTCCTAAAATTTGTATAGGACCATAAAACACCCTGAATAGCCAAAGCAATCTTGAGAAAAAGACCAAAAGGCCCAAAACCAAAAACAAAGCTGGAGGTATCACACTACCTGACTTCAAAATATACTAAAAAGCTATAGTAATCAAAACAGCATGATGTTAGCATGAAAACAGGCACATAGATCAATGGAGCAGAATAGAGAGTCCAGAAATAAGTCCACAAATCAACAGCCAACTGATATTTGACAAAAGTGCCAGGAACACACATTAAACAAGTAACAGTCTCTTCAATAAATGGTGATAGGAAAATTGGATATCCACATGCAGAAGAATGAAACTAGACCCCTATCTTTTAACATATTCAAAACTCAACTTGAAATGGATTAAAGACTTAAATATAAGCCTGAAACTATGAAACTACTAGAAGAAAACATAGAGGAATTGCTCATGACATTGGACTGGGCAAGATGTTTTGGATAAGATCTCAAAAGCACAGACAACAAAAGTTAAAATAGACAAATGGAATTACATCAAACCAAAAAGCTTCTGAACAGTAAAAGAAACAATCAACAGAGTGAAAACATAATCTACAGAATGGGAGAAAATATTTGTAAACTGTGCATCTGACAAGGGGTTAATATCCAGAATATAGAAGGAACTCAAACAGCTGAATAACAAACAAACAAACAAAAAACAAAAAACAGAACAACAAATAATTTGATTAAAAAATGGACAGAAGACATTGCTTCTGGGATTCAGACAATATCCTGTTTTCTTGATGAGGTGAAAGTGTTACAGATATTTGCTTATGATAATTCATTAACTTGATATTTCTATTCTATACTGTTTGGTACATGTGTGTTATATTTCACAATCATTTTTTAAAAAAATATCATTTAGAATAAAGAACACTCCTTGAATGTTAGAATTTACTAAGCTCATGGGACAAAGTCCACTGAGACTATAAATTGATGAAATTTGTGAATGTGTGTAGAGGCAAGATAAGGGAAAGAGAGGGAAAGGGTGGGGGTTACATTTGGTGAAGCAGAAATATCACTGGATTTGGTGTTAGAAATCTAGAGTTCATATTTCATTTCTTCCTCTAATTAATTTGGGCAAGTCACTCAATCTATCTGAACTTCAGTTTTTGCATCCTTAACATGAGGATAATAGCCCCTCCCCTTTTCCTGCCTTGTAAGATTGTTTTGAAGATTCAAAGACTGAAGGATAAAATGCATAAAATACTTTGTGAACTGTCAAGTTCTTTGCTAGTGTTACTAGGAGTAGAAATAGCATTTGTGTACCTGATGATGTTTGGTAATGCATGTGTGTCCCTTTACAATGGTTGTCCTGGAAGGCCACTTGCCCCTTGTGGTCTCTCTCCAGGGAAAGAAAAAAGTAGATTAACATTTGCCTAGGGGGCTATTTCTGGTAATCAAAAGGTATTCGAGGCTCGAGAGTACGATGCACTTGTAATCCAGATGTTAACAAATTTGAAAGTTTGTAGAATTTTCATTGAATATTGATGATATTGGTTTTTTTTAGGTACCACTCTGATTGTGGACTGCAATGTAACAGACACCAAGGATAATACAAATCTACGATGCTGGAGAGTCAATAACACTTTGGTGGATGATTACTATGATGAATCCAAACGAATCAGAGAAGGGGTGGAGTAGGTGTTTTGCTTTTTTGACTTCTCTAAACGCTAGCAAGGATTTCTCCATCTAAGTGAATCTGGTATCACTACTGCCTTCTCCTCTTGTTTTTGCCTCTCAATGATTCATGTTATCAATCCCACCTATCACATAGTTAGGGAGATATGGTAAAAGACCAGGTATCCCTGAGAGCAGTAAGATCCATTTCTCTTAGCTACTACTCAAAATTAGTCCCATTTCCATTCAGTTATATCATGAGCCATCGGCCTTCAAAGCTTAATGCCCCGGGCATACAAAGCAAACACTGGAAATGACACAAATGTGTATATTGCAACAGTAGAAGAAAGAAATAGTAGTATAGTTCTTTGCTATACTAAACAAGCGCCAATGGGGACTCTTAGGGAAGACAGTGCATAATCATTAGCTAATTGAATGGGTATAAACTCAAGTTATGGTGGTATAAATGGAGTGGTGTAAATAAAACTAATGAAGTCAGAGGGCAGGAGAGCTTGTGTTGGGCCTCGCAGTATGGATAAGTTAGGATACTTGGAGAGGAATAGGGGAAAGGCCTTTGGGGCTGAGAATGGTGTCTGTAGCTAACAGAACCATACTTCCTTGTCACCATGCAGAAGAAAATGCAAATTTGGGAATATACAATCTACAAACCTCACTGGGCCAGTCAGCAAAGTATTTTTAGGATAACATGATGGCCCAAAGTGTTCTCAAAGAAAACACTTTATCTCCAGAAAACAGATTATAAAATATGTTGGGTAAATCTGACTCATGTATTAATGACTTACTCTTTTCTTTTATAGAACCCATGTCTCTTTTCGGGAACATAATTTGTACACAGTAAACATCACCTTCTTGGAAGTGAAAATGGAAGATTATGGCCTTCCTTTCATGTGCCACGCTGGAGTGTCCACAGCATACATTATATTACAGCTCCCAGGTAATACTCCAGTGGGTTACACACTGTTCAGAGTGTTCAAAACGATGGCCAGGAAACACATCTGAAGGAGCAGTGACTCTAAATGCTCAGTGTGAGGCATGAGGGTGATATTAAAGGGACAAACTCAGTATGAAATCTAGGGAAAATCTCATGCAACAGCTCATAATGTTGTTGGAGTGAGGCTGTGATTTTATTGCAGTATATTTTGAAAGTGCCATATTTTCAATACATCCAGATTTTATACATCAAAACAGAAAGAAAACAAAAGCTTTTCTTTATTAAGCGTGATTGCCAAATGTTTTGCTTTTGATTTTCAACTTTTAGATTTAGTATAAATAATTTGATATAAAGCCAAAATGCCTATGTATATTTTTACCATGGAACTTTGTAAAATTATCTGTAGAGGCTGAATTCTGATATTTAAGCAGGAGGGCTTCCAACTCAATGTGTGTATACGAATTGCACTCTGAGTACCGTACAGAACTAATTGATTATGCATTGGAAGTAATAAAGTCAGTGAAAAGATAGTGGAGGGTGAAGCCAGAATCAGGAGAACAACTTTAAATTCGTAACCTATCAGGGGAGGTGTGTGAAATACCTTGCAAAATGCTGTGTGGTTTACCAAGACAGTTGTTCTTGATTCTATTAATATCATTAGTGTATGTGTGTGTGTGTGTGTGTGTGTTTGCACACGCACGTGTGTGGCTAGCTACATGCAAGAGAGAGGACTTGAATTTGCTGATGTCCTTTAATGATCAGTTAAACCTATGCTTGCATACATCAAGCTAAAGCCCCACCAAATATTTTTCTAGAACCTAACAGAAAACACAGTGGTTGCTGTATGGAGTTAGCAATCGTGCCTTTGCCCCTGCCAAGCTCCTGGCCTCCTAAGTGCCCGTTACCTCCCTTAGAATTGCAGTGAATAGGGATCTGTGCGTGGCAGCTTGCAGCTCTGGGTGTGCACATTCTCTGCTTCACTTCTGTGTCCTGAAGGCCAGTGTCGTTCTGGCCTCAGCTGCCTTAACTGTGAGTGAGCACAGCACCCTCTACTCACCCTGAGCACATGGGGAATCCTTCTTGGGTTGCAACATGTGGAAGGACCCTTGGGTTCATCTGTCACCACTGCCCATTTTTTCTCTTCTCACTGGCTTTTCTTTGTCATAAAGCATCCTTCTCCATCACTTTCCCCCAGTCAGTCTTGTGTTTGCCATCTCTCTCTCTCTGGTACCTCTAAGAGGTTCATCATCTGTGCTGCTTTTCTTTCTGTGTCCTCATCCCTCAAATCTCTTTCCCCTTTATGGCATCAACTGTCATTCCTGAGCAGGTGCAAACAGGTTCCATATATTGAGCTGTATACTGTCTTCCCCCATGACAGCTCTGCGTTTCCAGCTGTGTAAGGGACTGCAGATACACTGGCTGATGTCAGAAAGCATGTTTAAACTCTCCAACCTCCTGGTTCTGTTTTTTCTTACCTTTGTTAGTGGGACTCCTGTATCTTCCACGTTGTTCAGGCTCAAAATCTGGGGTCATTTTATGCCTTCCCTTATCCTCCCTCATGCCAACACCCAATGAGTTGCCAAGCTCTGTGGATTCCTCCCCTCCTGCCCATTCCCACTAACGAGCTGGATGGTAGGGTGACTCCTGCCCTACACTTTAAGGTCAGGTTTTCAGGCTCAGATCCTATCTTGTCCACTTAGGAGCTGGGTGAGGACAGCATTGTCACTCAACCTCTCTGTGCCCATGTCTCCTCATCTGGGAAATGAGGAGGATAGCGACTTCCTTCCACGACTGTTGTAAGAATCAGCTGGAATTTTCTTTTATACTTTTTTATTGTGGAATATAATGCATATATGTGTTATAACATATGCACATATATGGTAAAGGAACACAGAATTTCTACATCACATAACAAGTCATTGTATAGCAAACACTCATGAAACTACCACCTGGATTAAGAAAAATGCATTGCCTGAAAAACTCCTGGATGTTCTTCCCTGATCCTCCCCTCCTGATAATCATCCCCCCAACTTTTAGGAAAGTCGTTTCTTTGATTTTCTATCTATGCTGATAGTCCTAATAATACAATTTATTTTTGCCTGTTTTTGAGTTTTATATTAAGAGAAGTATATAGTATGCTTTATTTTCTTAGGTGTGGGGGCTTATCAGTGTATCACTGATATAGCATGTAGCTTAGTTCATTAATTTACGTTGCCGTATCCTAGTCCATTGAATAACTAGGTCACAATTTATCCACTGGGCTATAAATATGTGGTTTGCATTGTTTTGAGTTTGGAACTCTTAACAAAGAATACTGCTATGGAAATTCCTGCTTGTGTGTCTGTGTACCCATGTAGAGGCATCCCTCCAGGATATATCATGAAGAGTAGAGTTGCCAGGTAAGAGTCTGTCATTAACATTTCTATATAATGCCATACTGTTCTACAATGTGATTCACCGATATTTACTGATAGGCGATGAAATGGAAACTCCCGGCTTGACATTCAGGGCCTCCTGATCTACTTGTTCCCACTCATTTCCCAGTTGTCACCTTCATCTACCCCACAGAACAGAGAGCCAGATCAGAGACAAAGGTGGGTCTTTTGTGAGCTCATATTGTGATGAAGTAGGTGAGTTTGAGACAAGTGCAGAAATGTGCGGTAGGTCAGTGAGGACAGGTTGAAAACCTGTTTTCACCCAAGCAGAGCCTGCTGGCGTTTCCTCCCTTCTGACTTTCCATTGGCTTACAGCAGAAATGCAGCCTCGCTTAGGCCAGAGACAGAGACTCAGGGTCCACCCCAGAGAAAAGAGAAGCTGTTGTAAGAAGCCTTGGAGAGTCCAGGAGACCTGAAGTGGTTACAACTTAAATCTGTCCCAACCTAGAAGTTTGAGTTCTTTACTGAATAATATAGACTGAAGCTGACCAATAGCGATTTCCATCCCAATACTGACTTGTTGAACTTTTTGAAAGCACTGTGTTCCGAAGGATTCTGAGGCCAAGTCCAAGCTCAGAGGAGCTAATGCTGTGACCAGTTAGTTAACACCTGTCAAGCTTGTGGAGGGATGGAGTCCTTTATCCCCTTTGTTTTAAGCTCATGCTTCTTAAATCCCTTAGTTCCTGGCAATGCTCATTTTATCTCAAATGTAGAGTATTTTGGTTCTGTTGACTTAGTTTTGTTTGTCCTGAGTTCCTAGGAACTTCACCCTTTTAAATCCAAACCTCTTGTTGGTTTACTTGGGGACAGAGCTAAGGTTATAGCTTCTCCATTTGACTTCCTTATGTTTGTTAAAGACACCTCCAGATTTGAATCTTATTTGGTTTTTCTGAAGCAGGGTCTCTAGAAGGTTGTTTAAATTGGGTGTGCTCTTCCGTGAATTCGCGTATTACTTATGCTCACTCACCATCTCAGTTGAAGGCTGGTAGTAGTCAAATGACTCAGATGGTGAATACCACCATTAACCTTTAACAGGACATCTAGTACATCAACAGTGGGCTCCCCATTTATTTCTATTTCAAAACCCTGAGTCCCTCTGAATGTATTCATTGATGTCCTGTTTCCAATTTCATTCTCTTTTAGCTCGTTTACAGAGCAGAGGGCATCAGTACTCTCGAAGGCAATGAGTGAAGAGCCCGAGAATTTTAGAGCATCACTCCTGTCTATGTGCCAGAGGCTTTCTGAGCCTCATTAGTATTGTGGGCATGGTCTTCTTATCAGGACAGTTAACAAAACCAAGATCTCCAAAACAGACACTAAATATTCCCAGACACGAGTCGTCCCAAAGGGAGAGGTGGCAATGTTACCCCTAGAAAGAATTATAACAAAGGGCAAAGAAGAGTAGAGGATGAGGAAGCAGGAAGGATCTGTCTTATGATTGAAGTGAGAGGTTCTCACAAGTGCCCAGGATTGGATTGGGCACCGGTGTGTGGTGCAGTGCGTCTATACTGGCTGCATTGGGACTTACTCAATGAATTAATTTTTTTGGCACCAAATGTGTTCTTAGTTATTGTGCCATGTATTTAAAGATGTGCAATAGTAAATGAGAAATCTTGGGCCTCAAGATGTTTACAACACGGCGTGGCCTAGGGCAGGTGGCAATAAGCTCTTTAATGAGTATTTTATAGCCACTGTGGAAAACATTATAGTGGTTCCTCAAAAAACTAAAAATATAACAACCATATGATCCAGCAATCCTACTGCTGGTTATATACCCAAAAGAAAGGACATTAGCATATTAAAGAGATATGTGAACTCCCATGTATATTGCAGCACTGTTTACAATAGCCAAGATGTAGAATCAACCTAAGTGTCCATCAATGGATGAATGGATAAAGAAATTCTGTCATAGATGTACAATGGAATATTATTCATCCATAAAAGAGAATGAAATTCTGTCATTTGCAGCAAAGTGGATGGAACTGGAGGCCATTATGTTAAGTGAAATAAGCCAGGCACAGAAAGACACATATTGCATATTTTTACTCATTTGTGAGAACTAAAAAAATTGATCTCATGAAGGTAGAGAGAAGAATGGTGGTTACCAGAGGCTGGGAAGGGTAGTGGTGAAGCGGGGATAAAGAGAGGTTGGTTAATGGGTAAAAGAAAAAAATACAGTTTGATAGTAGGAATGAGATCTAGTGTTTGGTAGCACAACAAAATGACTATAGATAGGAATAATTTATTGTATAATTCAGTATAACTAGAGGAATGAATTTGGAATATTCCCAGCACAAAGAAATGATGAATGTTTGAGGTGATGGTTATCCCAATTGCCCTGATTTGATCATTACACATTGTATGCCTGTGTCAAAATATTACACATACCCTATAAATATGTGCAACTATTATGTACCTATAAAATTTTTTTAAAATTAAAGTGCTCTAGAGGCTCAGAAAAAAAAACCCTCTTCCTCCCCTCCTCTGCCCACCCCACCATCCAGTGAGGACTGGAGGATGAGGAAAGGGCTGAAGAAGGAAGTGGTGTGTGAGGTGGGTTTTAAGAATGGGGAGGACTTTTCTTCCTGTCTCTCTCTTCCCCTTTTCTAATTCTTTCCTTCCTAGAGGGTCTTCTTTGGTGGTATGGGTTTGGGCTGCGGTGAGGCAGAAGCCAAGCTGTTCCTTTTCTTGGATGTGTAGGAACATGTTTTCAGGGACTTGAGGTTCCAGAGGAGCTGGTTCTGCTCCTTGGCCATCTCCTGCCCACCACTTAGGCTCATAATTACTCTGCAATGTACTCATGAAACAGGCTAGGGTGTAAACATTCTTTCTGAGACTGTGCCTCTCGCACAGGCACCCAGCCTGGAAATCAATGGCACAGAAAGGATGAGGTGAGAGTTTGGCTCTTGGCCTGTCTTGTGGAGCCAGCCATGCTGGCTTCCAGAGGGGACAACTGTTGGCTCTTTAAGGATGATGGGAGTCCAGCTGTTCAACTTTGAATGGCTGGGAAAGCAGTTACAATATGATTGTAATCAAGAAAGGGCAGCAGAACCAGCTGGAGAAGGTGCCCCATGAACATACTCAGGCGCCACCTCTGGACAGTCTCATGTTGACTCAGCAGAACCTGGACGTGTGTGTTTTGAAAGCAGTTCTCGTCCAGTTGGGTCCATGCTGCGTCTACCACCGGAAACTAGGGCTCTGCAGACTTTTACTCGTATAAGTTCCCAGGAGCTGACTTGTTTCCTAACAATCATGGTGCAGATCAGATTATTCTGCTCCCATACCACTTTTTTGACTTTAAAGAAATGTTTAAGCAGTGCCCTCATTGACATCCAAAACCTTTCCATTTGGCATTCATAATGTGATCTGTATTAGTAAAGTATATAATGGACTCTTTGTTTCATTATTATAATTATAATTATTATTATTTTTTTGCTGTCATTTGTAGCTCCGGATTTTCGAGCTTACTTGATAGGAGGGCTTATCGCCTTGGTGGCTGTGGCTGTGTCTGTTGTGTACATATACAACATTTTTAAGATCGACATTGTTCTTTGGTATCGAAGTGCCTTCCATTCTACAGAGACCATAGTAGGTAAGTGTGTGTAATCACTGAAAAATGCCTCAAAATTGGTATCCTCTTATACATATACAACGATTTCAAATATACTTTGTCATATTTTACTACGTTGTTGGCAAATTTAGGGAAAGGAATCTCCTTGGAACTGCCTGTGCTTTAGAGAAATGATTTGTCCCTAATCACCAGCATCATTTGGTCAGATAAGGCTTGCAGGCTCGTAGTGATTGAGGAAATATTTGCTAAGCTGCAGGAGGAGATCATCTTCTAAGTCCTGCTGCAACCATGTTACAAAAGTTTCCACGTCCATCCTCCGTCCACTGCGGGAAAGTTTCTCCGAAACCAAAGTGCTCTCCATCCATGATGTGTGCTCAGCACAGTGGGTACTTTCTCAGAATCTGGGTCATGGAGAGGGATGAGCTGCCTGCGGTTGGAGCTCTCTCTAGGCCCTGTACTTGGTGCCTGAAGGGATTTAAGTCTTCAACTCTCAGATATGGAGAGAGATCAAACCAAGTTTGAATGTGACTTCTCCACTTACTCCCTATGTAAACTTAGAAAGATGTTTAACTTTCTTCTATTTCTCAGCTATAGAAAGGAATAGAGGAAGGAAGGAAGGAGACAGGGAGGGAGGAAAGAAAGAGAGAGAGAGGGAGGAAGGAAAGGAGAGAGGGAGGGAAAACGGAGGGAAGAAGGGAGTTTCGTAGAAAAGAAACTAAAGAAAGCAGGGGAGAGAGATGGAGGAGAAGGGAGGAAGGGAAGAAAGAAGGAAGGGAAGAAAAAAGAAAGAAACAAAGAAAGGGACAGTGATTAAATCCTGCTTTTTGACAGTGGGAATAACTGAGTTGAAGTACAGGGAAGCATTCAGCGGGGCCTGGGCCACAGGGCGGCCTCTATTGCTTGTCTGGAGGTCAAAACAAATCCCCAACACCACAGCTGTGGGTTTTAGTCTGTGGGCCTATGTCCTGCCAGTGCTGTTTGGCATAGAAATGCCTCAGTGTGATCCTGACTCTCTGAGAGCCTGGCATTTCCCACCATGGTGCTTGTGACTATGCTACTTTTGTTTTGTTTTGTTTTGTTTTGTCTTAGAACAGATACAATCTATTAAGGCCTTGCAAAAGTAATAAATCTGCTCTAAAGTCCCCTAATTAGATGAAAAAAGAAGCCTGGTGCAGCTGATCTGTGTGGAGATGCACGACTTTATACCTTTTAAGTCCAGAGGCCTGAGTGACAAGAGCAGGAAAGGGAGGGAAACTGGTTGTCTGAGAACGTTTTATGGGCCAGCTAAAACATAAAAGAGGTCACTGGCATCAAGTGCTTGCTTTGCACATAAAATACACAGTACGGTTGTTGCCCACATGTTTGATAAAACGTGGCTATTCACTAACTTGGATTTTTTCCAAATTAAATTTCTGAATTCAGAATTAGCAACCCTGAGCAATGTAGAAAGCGATAAACTCCTTTTTAATGACAAAAGTCATCTGAACCTTAAGTGTCCAGTGCAACCTGAAGTGCTGCTAGTACTGTGGATAGTCCGACTGGGCATGGGGAGGGGGTCTCTGGTTTTGGCTCTGGCATCTGCAGAGGCCGCCCCGTCTAAGCACACCCATGACTGCTCTCTCCTGCTTGCGTCTTTGAGAAGAAGACAGTTCAGTCCCCCACCACTGATTGTTTTCTGACACAGAGTTGAGTGGTTCAGTTGCTTTCTACTTTTTGACTAACAGAAGCCTGCGTCACTTTACGTATTCTTCCTGGAAGCTCAGGCCCCATGGTGTGTCTCTCTCACTGTCTCTCTCTCTCACTGACTCTGTCAGTGACTCTCTCACTGAGTCATTGCGACTCCCAGGAGCGTGACTATAGCTGTGACTTATGGGTGTTGTGCAGTGTGTGGGGAAGCTGCTAGTGAGGTCGAGTTTAGCAGGAAGAGAAAACAGGAATAGTGACTCACACGGAGTAGTGGGGGCTGGGCAGATGAGAGAGTTAGGCAGCCCCGCCCTCTGCTGAGACTGGGACGCAGCCCAGATTCTGCAACAGTGGGCAGAGGATTTGGCGATGGAGGCTAACAGGCAGCCAGGGGTCCTTTTTTTCTTTATTTTTATTTTGCTTAATTCAGAAAAGTATGTGTGCATTTTGTGATGAAATTCTCTACAGCTCTGTCTACGAGAACTGCCCTGTAATATCTCTGTGTGTTGGCTTTAACAGTGAGCTACTGATGAGATTCTGAGATTAGTCCCAGATCTTGTTTATGTCCTTGTTCCCCTTGAGGATATTTTCTGAGTTAAATCAGGAAATACCGATTAATGGATGAAAATGAGAAAGAGAGAAATAATGTCCTTCGTAGGATAAGTCATTTACCCTGACTAGGTTAGCTAAGCTGTATCACTCAATTAATAATTAGGTGTGCATGACTCACCATTTTAGAAGGAGCCATTGACAGCCCTAGCTGAAGTCAGCAAGTTCTGTATCTTCTCTAGCAAGCCACTGGAGCTTTACAAATTCTCCTGGCAGGGGTGCATGTGTGTACGAGGATGGAAGGGTCTGTGCACGGATCTCCTAGAGAGATTTGAAAATGCCTCGCCTTACTCCAGATAGGTCTTTGGAGAATGTGCATGTAGGATAGAATGGCTAAAACGAAGACAAGCCAAACAGTTAGAGTGATCAAAGGGAAACCAAGGGGACAATGGGAAAACAAGTCGGGGTAGAGTTAATGACACCTTTAACAATTATTAAAGGTGAATTTGCTTTTCAAGCTAAAGCAAAGGCAATGACAAGATCCACTGTGTGCCATTCACAACAACCTTTCAGATTTTCATGAGAGAACATGGCTTTTTCTGAGACTAATTTCCAAAGGCAGATTTTTTTTCCCCCACAGGGAGTCCTCATTTCAAAAGGGCATGGTGTAGGGAAGCTTGACTGCAACAACTTTCCCATGGTAAATGTCATAGCGTGTTTTGTGTGGCTTTTCTTCTAGTGTTTTCTATGCATATTGGGGGTAAACCCACCAAACCTCCTGCAGTTCAGTAAAAGCATTTGCGTGGAGGCCAGATTGAATCTGAATTTTCCACTGTTCTGGTTTCATCAGGCCTAAAATTTAGCAATATCATATTGAGAGAAAGTAGGGAATTGAATAATCTTTAGACAGTATTTCATAGATATGAATTTATGTGAATGAGCTTTTATATATTATTGCCAAGATCAAGAAGGACATAACAATTTTAAGGGAGTGGAAATAGACTCTGCTTCTTTGCTAGGGTGTGGCAAAGTTCTGGAAGAACATGTGGGACTGGAAATATTGCTGGGGCTACTTTTGGAAAATTCAGACTGACACAGCTGCACAGGACTAATCAGGGATTAGTTTTGTGAAATTTCCTGCTCCCATTTCTCATTTTAGTCACAGCAAAAGGAGCGGTGGACCTGGGTTTACATCAAGGCTATGCACTCACCAGCTGGGAGACTTTGGAGAGATCGCACAGTCTTGCTGGTCTCAGCTTCCTTACTCATAATTTGGGGATAGAACCATGTCCCACACGGTTGATCATGAGAAGCAAAGCCGGGAAATGTTGAGGTGCCGTTGCCTGGCAAGGCTCTTCAAAACCAGTGGACTACAACTTGATCTCTTGCTATTAATGTATTGGTCAGTAAATTATGAATTAGTCATTTGAAAGTGATGAAAAGTCACTACGTTTTGAGAACATCAGCAAGTTCTATTTCTACTCAAAAGCTTAGTCAGACAGAAAGAAAAAAAAGATGACCAAAAAATTGGGCACATTTGTACATTTTGAATTTTTCAAAGGTGTGAGACTTTCTTCCTACTCAAATGTCTTCTGATCCTGAAGTTGGAGAGCAACAAGTACCTATATCCTCAGACACCTTGTTTAGAAACAGGGAACAGGGAACATTCGCAAAAGAGAGAATACACTTAGCACACAAGGTTTGTTTGTTTGTTTTAAAAATCAGAAACAGTAGGAAAAAAGAGAAACAGATTGAGAGAAGAGAGATAACTAGTGGCAGGGTCTGGGACAAGTGGCAATAAGCCTGCATGTCTGCTGTAGTTTAGAATAGACCAGGAAACACTGTATTTACCAGAGAGGTTATTCTCTGTGGTGAACCGAGCATCAACTCACCCAGCCCTTCATCAGAAACCAAAGGATTAATATGATCACATTTTTAAGTGGGAAAATTGAATTCCTTCTCCAAAAGTTCAGAAACATAAGAAACTTATGAAATGTTTCTTTTCCCATTTTCTATCTATGGAAAAAAAATCCTCTGGCTTTGGAAAGTCAAATGTGTGCTATGAAATTTCACACAGAAAAGTATCCACTTATTTGAGCGGTGGCCCTGATCAGTGACCTTTATGATTCCACAAGGAGTTTCAGCTATGTTGGGTTTTTGCCAATTCAAGACACAAATTAGTTATCCCTTTTGTACCTGCCCTGTGATCCCACTTTAAAAAGCTGAGTCTGATCTCAGATTCATCCCCAACATAGATATAAGCTCTTTGAGCCTCCGTAAAATCAAGCTTCATTTGGATATTCGGTGAGCACTGATGAAGGCCTCCTCTGCGCCCGGTCCTGCTCCAGTGGCTGAGGGCAGGGCAGGGAGCCAACGAAGTCTCCACTCTTACACAGCTTCCTTTCATGATGGGGTGGGGAGGCAGACAAGGAGTGTGCACGTGTGTGTGTGCATGCGTGTATATGACTACATGTGCAAGCATGGGTGTGCATGCATGTGCATGCGTGTGTGTTTGTGTTACCATTCTCTGTAAGAGATGGCCAAGAATGGTGAGCAGGGACCCGAAGGTCAGCAGTGGTTGGTGTGAGAATTGATGGACTGAGAAATGGTGTTATGTAAACTGTCAAGATCTGTGCACATTTTCATTACTATTATTTGGACGAAAGCTAGAAGAATACAAGGTTTTCCTTTCCCTTATTAATCTTAAAATCACCTCTTTCTGCAAGTCTGCTCATCCAACAAACTCTCATATAAAGGAAATAGAAAAGGACACCACCCCTCTCTAGTACCTACTAGGCTGTCTGAGTTTCTAAACAGCCCAAAGCTCGAAATCGCGTTTTCCAATGAGACGCCCACACTTACCTCTTCTTCCACTCAAGCCCTCTGGCCCTGCTGAAGTCCTTATTCATTCACAGGATTCCTGAGTAGGGAATTATTCCTCCTTCCATGCCCTTCTGAAGCTGCACCCCTGCAAGACTGTTTACCATCCACTCTTAGACCCTCACTTTTTTCCCCTCAACTCTCCCACCCTTTAAAATCCAGGAGCTCCAGCCTGGCCAACATAACGAAACCCCGTCTCTGCTAAAAGTACAAAAATTAGCCGGGCCTGGTGGCGGGCGCCTATAATCCCAGCTACTCAGGAGACTGAGGCAGGAGAATCGCTTGAACCTGTGAGGTGGAGGTTGCAGTGAGCCAAGATGGCGCCACTGCACTCCAGCTTGAGAGACATGAGTGAGACTCCATCTAAAAATAAAATAAAAAAATAAAATAAAATAAAATAAAATCCAGGAGCGGTCCCATGTTCATTGTGAGTTTTTTTTTTCAAGAACTCCAGACCATGGGGATTTTTGATTCTTGCTGTCTTTTCTGTTCGTTTGACTCTCGTCGCCTCGTAGAGTCTTGTGTTTAACTTCTGTGCATGTGGATGGTCTGCCCAGTGAGGTCTTGTTCATCTCTTCATTGGCCAATGCAGGGGCTGCTTTTGAGGTTGCTCAATAAATACTGATGACGACGACATGCGCCATTGGGTTTGACTTCTCTCAACGGCACTGCAGATTACTAGAGTCTGCTCAATTGCTTTTTCTCTTGTTTCACAGATGTGAGTCTGTGGGTTTGTAGTGATGGAATTCACTGGTGGGCCTGAATCAAGAGGGAGTCATCCAGTTTTGCCTGGTGCAGTTAGGACAGTGCTTCGTCATACAGGACACGCTGAGGGTAACATGGGTAAATGGCTAGAGTTTCCTGCTTTTTGTTTGTTTATTTTAGAGATCCTTTTTTTGTTTGTTTTAGAGATGTGGTCTTATTCTGTCATCCAGGCTGGAGTGCAGTGGCGTGATCATAGCTCACTGCATCCTTGAACTCTTTTTTTTTTTTTCCGAGACAGAGTTTTGCTCTTGTTGCCCAGGCTGGAGTGCAATGGTGTGATCTCGGCTCACTGAAACCTTCGCCTCCCAGGTTCAAGCGATTCTCCTGCCTCAGCCTCCTGAGTAGCTGGGATTGCAGGTGCCCACCACCATGTCTGGCTAATTTTTTGTATTTTTAGTAGTGACAGGGTTTCACCATGTTGGCCAGGCTGGTCTTGAACTCCTGACCTCAGGTGATCCACCTGCTTTGGCCTCCCAAAGTGCTGGGATTACAGGCATGAGCCACATGCCTGGCCACATCCTTGAACTCCTAAGCTCCCATTTCAGCCTCCTGAGTAGCTGGGATTTCAGGCCTGAGCTATCATGCCTGGCTAACTTTTTGAAAATTATTTTCTTTGGAGAGTCTTGTTATGTTGCCGAGGCTAGTCTTGAATTCCTGGCCTCAAGCTATCCTCCTGCTTCAGCTTGTTTATTACAGCCATGCACCACTGCGCTGGACGAGTCTTCTGCCTTTAATTCTCATTTCTGGCCACATCACAGGGAGTGGTGGACTTAGACTCAAAAGACGTGGGGTAGGGGTAGGGTTAGGGATTGCAGATGTGATGCAGCCTACCCAGCCTCAGCTTCACTCTTGAGCATTGGGGATAAGACCACCTCCCTCAGGGGTCCATTTGTGAGAGGAGATGATGTCCCTTGGCAGCCCCTGGCACCAAGTCAGCCAACTGGGCACTCAGAAGTCATGGAACCCAGGCCAAAGGACACCATGGTAGCCGCTCAGGCTTCCGGTTTATTAACATGAGAGAATTTGGTAGCAACAATTCCACAAGCTTGTCCAATTCCTTTTCAGATGGGAAGCTGTATGACGCCTATGTCTTATACCCCAAGCCCCACAAGGAAAGCCAGAGGCATGCCGTGGATGCCCTGGTGTTGAATATCCTGCCCGAGGTGTTGGAGAGACAATGTGGATATAAGTTGTTTATATTCGGCAGAGATGAATTCCCTGGACAAGGTGGGTTTTAAGTGAGGTGTAAAAATAACAAATAAAAGAAGGAAAGCGACCCCTCTGTTCCTCCACTTTACTAATGGCGGTGACTCTGCCTGCCTTCCCCATGGAACCACAGAGAGTCTATGACCAGCGCCCCCTGCCCGTCAGCCCCCAGCCCCCAGCCAAGGAGGTTAGGCCCAAGCTCTTTGCCTGCTCTAGGCTCCTCCCTGCCCCGCAGTGCCTGAGATTCCTGCTTGCAGCAGCACGCGTCTCACTTTGAGTGAGGATATGGTTAAGCCATTCACAGAAACAGGTGGCCAGTGATGTAGTGGTGGCTAAAGGACTGAAAGGTGGCGAGTGGTCATTTGAGCCTCACATCCCTGAGATGAACTGCTGGGTGTTTTCCATGGGTTTGAACAATGTAAATCAGGTCGTGCTTAAAGCTGATTTTATAAACCTCGACCCTACTTGCCCCCTCCCCTCCCTAAATATAATGGAAGTTTTAGTGTACTTTTCCCACTTGATAGGAAGGTGGCTTTGGACAGTTCAGTTAACTTCTCTCAACCTCAGTTGTCTCATCTGTAAAATGGGGATGGGGTGCTTCCCTGACTCAGATGAGAGAACTGAATGAGAAAACCTGAGAAGGGGTCCCCGGCATGGAGCTCAGCACACTTTAGACACTCACACAACAGTGCTTTCCTGTCCCTTTGTTCTCCTTCTTGGAAGGCTATACAGCAAAATGGCTGAAATCTGAAATAAACATTCTTTTCTAGTCACCAGTAAATGCCAATTCACTCACTTATTCAACAAATATTTACTGAAAACCTCTATGTGATGGACAGTATTCTAGGCACTAGAAATATGAAAATCAGCCAAGCGGAAGGGCCTGTCCTCAGGGAGGTTCCAGTCTATTCTTATTTCCCATGAGAGGCAACTGTAGACTGAATAGCATCTGCAGAGCTGGGTATTTAGAGAAACCTCCCTTTCCCAAGCAATCATCAGGGCATGTTATTTGGTTTCTAAATTACTCACATAAATCCTGGTCATTTAAATAACTATAAAGAACAAAAGGAAAACACAGATTCAAGATTAATGCAACATTTCAGCTAACTACATTTTCCTATCCTTTTAAAATCTATTTTTAAAAACGTGTTCATCTGCTAATATACACCAGACCTTCAGCTAGTCTGGGGATACAGAGTTAGGAACCATCAGATACTTGTTGGCCAGGGAAAGTGACATACAAAGAAACCACATGCAAAACATGATTCATGACTATAGAGGACCAAGGCTCCAGGGAAAGCCACAAAGGCTTCACAGAAGAGGTGACAAATATTAAAAAAAAGAAAAAACCCAAAACTTGAATTAATCCATTCCTGACTAAGTCATGTTTATTTTAAAGTCCATTTTTGGCCAGGCAAGGTGGCTCACACCTGTAACCCCAGCACCTTGAGAGGCCGAGGTGGGCAGATCACTTGAGGTCAGGAGTTCAACACCAGCTTGTGGTAAAACCCCGTTTCTACTAAAAATGCAAAAATTAGCTGGACGTGGTGGTACGTGTCTGTAATCCCAGGTACTTAGGAGGCTGAGGCAGGAGAATCGCTTGAACCTGGGAGGTGGAGGTTGCAGTGAGCTGAGATTGCATCCCTGCACTCCAACCTGGGCAACACAGTGAGACTTCACTTCAAAAAAAAAAAGTCAATTTTCTCCTGGCCTGTTTCAAACATTCTCACTAGCATTAAGACCCGGGCTGTTTTAATTGTGAGTTCTTCTGAGCCTTCTTTCTTTATTTCCAGCCGTGGCCAATGTCATCGATGAAAACGTTAAGCTGTGCAGGAGGCTGATTGTCATTGTGGTCCCCGAATCGCTGGGCTTTGGCCTGTTGAAGAACCTGTCAGAAGAACAAATCGCGGTCTACAGTGCCCTGATCCAGGACGGGATGAAGGTTATTCTCATTGAGCTGGAGAAAATCGAGGACTACACAGTCATGCCAGAGTCAATTCAGTACATCAAACAGAAGCATGGTGCCATCCGGTGGCATGGGGACTTCACGGAGCAGTCACAGTGTATGAAGACCAAGTTTTGGAAGACAGTGAGATACCACATGCCGCCCAGAAGGTGTCGGCCGTTTCCTCCGGTCCAGCTGCTGCAGCACACACCTTGCTACCGCACCGCAGGTGAGCGGGTGGGAGGACACGAGGTTTGTCACGCACTGATGGAGGGTCTATCATTGCGTGGTGGCTCACAGCTGGAGGAGGACACGTTTCATCGGGGCCGTCTGCTCTGAAGCTGGCAGTTGCGTACTAGTGAGAGGATCTGTTGTGTTTGTTGTCATTTGTTTGCTTCGATCAGAGCTGCTTCTTCAGGGAAACACACGGCTTCTGCAGAAGGCCCTCTTTAGCCTATGGGCTTATTGACACATGCCCACTCACTGAGGCCTGGATGGATACAGCACTTGGGCCCCTTGAGAACAGGACATGGAGGGTTTTAGAAATGGCAGTGGACATGCCCGGAAGTTTGCCCATGATGTGGCACCCATAGAGTCTGAGATGGGAGCCTGTGCTGTCGGGGGACCACAGGAGGGCAGTCTAGCACCAGGAGAGGGTTGGCAAGGATAGCAGTATTTGTCCACGCCTGTCCAGTGTCTTCAGGGCCCCATGCTCAGGGGTCATTTGCTGTGTCTGCGTCTCTCTCACTCTGTCAGTGCAGACAAAGAGCTGCAAACACAGCCTTAGCACTTTGCTTCCAGAAGCAAGTTAAAAGTCACCTAGACCAGTGGGGACCCACGGGAGTGGCCATGACTGCCTCTTGGTCACCCTTCCATGTTTGAGAGGCTTTATCTGTCAAACTAAAGCAAGCAGGAATTCCTTTTCTCTCTCTTTTAGACACATGTCAACCAGAATTCTGAGCAGCCTGTGAGAGACGCAATTAGCACACAGATGATAGAATTATAGTCCAAGCAAGGCAAAGTCAGTTTCCAATGAGCCAATGTGCCCTTGTCACAGGCCAATTTATAACTTAATGATTAAAGGTTTTTAATACTAAAAATTAGCTGTAAACCCTCATCACTTTTTTCCAAGACCCTGGCCTGAGGGAATTAGGCATAGCTCAACCTTCTGAAGCTGTGGGTTGTTGACACTGAGACTTAGTAAGCAGTCAGTGGGGGCTGGAAGGGAGTCAGCCCTGAGAGCCAGCCGGCAGGGGCGAGAGAGGGAGCCAGAGGGTGTCAGGAGGCCTGTGGTCTTAGGATGGCATGGGGAGCAGGGTGGGTTAGGAGGTGCTGTGCCCTCGTTCACAGGCGATGGGTGGTACCCAGTGTGGGATGGACTTTCAGGTGCTAAGGAACCCACTCCTGTCTTTGAAGAGTTTATGTTCCAAGGTGACCTCACATTACACATTTGTTTAGCATCCTATGGAGGCCTCGACTTGACATTGGTCCACTCTTTATTTAACATTTGCTTTTTAAAATTTTTATTTCGGTAAACTATATGAACATAAAATTCACCATTTTAACAATTTTTAAGTGGCATTAAGTACATTCACACTGTTGTGCGGCCATCACCACCATCCATTCCAGAATTGTTTCATCCTCTCAAGCTGAAATTCTGTGCCCATTAAGCTATGCCTCCCTATTGCCTTCCCATTGCCTTCCCATTGCCTCCCCATTGCTCTGAGGTAGGACATAAAATACATTTTAAGAATAACAGCATTAAAAAATGGCTACTATAATTCATTACTACTATTACATTTTTGATACTTTTCAATAAAAAGAAAGTAGTGACACATGTTGGAAAGAGGGAAGCTTTTTGACTTATAAAACTCCAGTTAAAGAATTTACCAACAGTGCTGGTCTCCGGGAAGTCAGAGGTTTCCAGAAAATACCTTTTCGTCTGACGGGTCAGCTTTCTATTTTGCTGACAGCCTCGACTGATGTCCTGTGAGTGTGGTCATTCATTTATAAATAATTAATTGCTAGAGAATCCATTTTCTAAAATTCACAGGCACACCCTTCAGAGAGGACACGTCCCCGTACCTCTCCCACTCTCCCCACACTGTGGCTGCCTCTGGCTGCCTCCATCCTGCAGAGGGAAATGGCTGGGAAGGAAGGGGGAAGGGTGCTGAGATGCCCTCAAATCTGAATGGGGTGGGTGTATTCCCCAAATCCTCACCAAACCACGAGCCAGTGACCACTCACCCTTTGCGGTCCAGATCTTACTGCCCCGGGGTTAGTCAAGTGGCCAGAGGTGGTGCCCACTGCCCTCAGGGGGTTTCCTGGCGTGGCCTGGTCTCACATGCACTCCGCAGAAGGAAGGACGAAGCGTCCTCAGCCAGCCCGCAGCCACCCTGCCCACTCCAGCACTGCAGGCAGCCTTCAGAGACCAGCCCAGAGAAGAGAACGGCAGCGAGTGAGGGGACAGAGTGCGGAACAGATCAGTAATGCCCATTTTCCTCTTGGGTGCAATAGGAGAAACAGCCTGTTTTAATTAAACTAGCGAATCCTCCATGAGGAATAACGACTCTCATGTTGGAGAGAGAAATCGAGATGCAAAGAAACTTTTTAAAGTTCTACTAATTCCTAATGAAATAATAGGGATGCAATGCAGCAAGAATACAAATAATTGAAGTAGCCTGGCATCACCGCTGACATGTAGGCAGGTTGGCAGGTAACAGCTCCGCTCATGGTCTCAAGTCCAAATTTGTATAAGAAAGGAGGTTTAAGAGTTCAACGGCTAAGGGACAAAAAGGTAGTTTATGGGAACGCTGAAGGCCACCCTCAATTCTCTCCCGTTTCTCCAGCTGGGCTTGGCGCAAATATGAGGTCAATGGGGTCCTATCCCTAGCCCTTGGGGGTGGGCTCCAGAATTCTACTCCAAGCAAAGTGAAGTCAGTTTCCAAGGAGCCAGTGTGCCTTCATCACAGGCCAATTTATAATTTAATGATTCACAAAGTTTTTTAATACTATGAATTAGCTGTAAACCCTCATCACTCCTTTCCAAGACCCTGGCTTGAGGGAATTAGAGACCCCCCTGGGAATCCCCAGGGACTGACCTGGAGGTAGGGCTGCGAGCGGAGATTGGACCAGAGAGGTGAAATACAGGTGCTGAGTCGCTGGGTTACCTTTACATTCACCTTCCCATAATGACTGAGTCAGCCACAAAACCCACTACCTTTGGTATCTCCCCTCAAATACCCTGAGTCGGCTCATGAGAGAGGCCCTGGGAAAGACCCAGTCACATTAAATAAAGGGACCGGGAAGGTGTGGTCTTTCCCCGGAGGACCAAGCAAGATGAAGATATACATGTGAAAAGTGCTTGGCAAACCGTGGGATGCCATGAGGAGCTGGCCTGCCAAAATATGGAATGTGCTCAGGGAGCCTCAGTCCCCAGGGCCCCCCACACCCATCAGCACCCCATAGTGACGCAGACCACTTCCTGCCACGTCATGGTTGGTTGACCTTTCCTCGGCACTTGGTCCTGTTTTTTATTTATAAACTTCCCTCTAACACATGCTTGTTTGGTATTGATCTGGGGCTGTGTAAAGTGGAAAATTCCTTCCTGGTTTCCTTGAAGAACAGAGGCTGTTCCAGATGAGGTCTGGAGTGAGCTACAGAGGGTGATGCTGGCTTTAGGAGTGGTGGCTGCTGGGTCTGAATGTTAGAGGCCACACATCTCCAGTAGTAATATTATTCTGGGAGATGGGAACTCTGTGTGTGGATGTCCCCTCCCATACACCCAGGAACTTCTGAGAAATGCTGCTGTTCACTAATACAATTCCACCCTCATCTCCCAGGCTGTCCCTGGAGAGGAGCTCTCCACTTGAGAAGGACCTCAGAGCCCTGGCTCTTGTCATCCAAATTCACCTTTCCTCTGGGGCTCTTATAGGAAAGGTGAGAGTTGACACTGCTCACCTGTGATCCTCTGGCATAACCACCTTGCAAAGATAACCCAAGAGAAATGGAAGCCTCAGGGATATACCACCAGATGAACTGACGGCAAGGTGGAGGTTTTCGCATTCCCATGGCAGGTTTCCTTATCAGCCCCCATCTCCCACCACATCAGAAAAGGAGTAAATAGATCTTTCCTGATTTCAGGCCCAGAACTAGGCTCAAGAAGAAAGAAGTGTACTCTCACGACTGGCTAAGACTTGCTGGACTGACACCTATGGCTGGAAGATGACTTGTTTTGCTCCATGTCTCCTCATTCCTACACCTATTTTCTGCTGCAGGATGAGGCTAGGGTTAGCATTCTAGACACCCAGTTGAGCTCAGGCGTAGAGAAGAGGAGGATGGGATAAGAACTGGGGCCATCCCCATGTCATGGTGGGTGAGAGCTGGGGCCATCCCCGTGGTCATGGAGGGTGAGAGCTGGGGGTTATCCCCATGGTCATGGAGGGTGAGGGCTGGTCGGGGGAGGCATCCCCAAGTCATGGTGGGTGAGAGCTCGGAGCATCCCCATGTCATGGTGGGTGAGATCTGGGGGTATCCCTGTGTCATGGTGGGTGAGGGCGGGTGGTCATCCACATGGTCATAGTGGGTGAGAGCTGGGGGTATCCCTACATCATGGTGGGTGAGAGCTGGGAGCATCCCCATGTCATGGTGGGCGAGATCTGGGGGGTATCCCCACGTCATGGTGGATGAGAGCTGGGGGAATCACCATGTCATGGTGGGTGAGATCTTGGGGGATCACCTGTCATGGTGGGTGAGAGCTGGGGGGATCACCTGTCATGGTGGGTGAGAGTTGGGATTCATCCCCATGTCATGGTGGGCTGAGCCCACATGGAAGCCTGTGCTTGGACAGCGTATGCCCTTTTCTCTGTTTTTCCACAATGAACAATTAAACTGTAAATGTTAAAAATATCAGTAATTTGTGAAATAAATTTTATTCTCATTTGAGCAACATAAATCACAATTTTGTTTGTTTACCATGCCTGTCAAAATCACAAACATTTTCTTATCAGTTTAAATAATGAAAACTGATTTCTGCTAAAATCATCTGACAATTAGCTTGTCAACATTCAAATATTTTTCACCTTAAATCCACTACCTTCGTGGTGTGGTCCACTGAAAAGTTGGGCAAAACCCAACCTGTGATTGAGGCTATAGAGAAACATGAGGGTCATGCACAATAGCTTTTTTTCCCCACACTTAGTAGATGGACTGTTTCTCAGTCTGACAGCCACCAAAGCTTTATGTCCTGATGAATATTTTCGTCCTCTCATCCTCTCTGATGGCCTCATTTCTCCAAATTTCTTCTTCTCCTCCTTTTTTTTTTTTTTTTTTTTTTTTTTTGAGACAGAGTTTCGCTTTTGTCACCGAGGCTGGGATTACAAGCATGAGCCACCGAGCCCGGTCAAGGCTTTCATATTTTTAAAACTTTGAAGTACAGTGAGAAACATAATTTAGTAAGCAACTCAGTATGCACACACGGAATGGAAAAAGCTCTGTTCTATGTTATTTGTTCTATTTTGTTCAAGTCTAGCTCAATTTTTCAAAATGCTGGTCACAGCTCGCCAACTTGTTTTAATAACCAACTTATGCCTTTCCACTGCAATCTGGAGAGCTCAGCCTCTCAGGCTGCTGGTCCCCCTGTCAATCACGATACTTTGGCTACTTTGCTTTCTTCAATCAACAAGGCTTTATCAAGAACTTATGGCTCTTTTAATTATCTGACTTCCTGGTCAATCAGCTTTGTTTGTGGTTTTAAATGACCACAGGATAGTAGAAGTGAACATAATTTCCTGCCTGTGTAAAAGGATGACATCAAGAGGAAAAGAAAGCAGCTCACTGGGTGAAGGACCTTGAGAAAGAGATGAACATTTCCTCTCTTGAGACACAGGACAAACAAGGTCACGCCTGAGCTCGGCAAACAAGGACTTCGGTGCCTGCCTACGGCGCCATTGCGCCCTCTAGTGGCTGCTGAGGAACCGCTGTCCAGCCCGAAGCTCACAGAGCCCCGTTCAGGCTGCCGCAACCTACCTAGGCGGCCAGAATGGAGACTTACAGGTGGGCGGGCATCCCGGGGTGCACACATTACCTTCTCGGGGCTCTCCAACTTAAGGCCAAGGATATCTTTCTTCTTTTTCGGCTGCTGAGAAGGTGGAGATAGTGCCATTTTCGAATGTGTTCCTAACTCTTGGGCTTCTGAGACTGTCGCAGTCTGTCCAAGGGTGGTGAGTGGGGATCAGCAGGCCCTGTTTACTATGTGCTCGCAAGAGGGGACTGCGGTCATAGGGATTTCAGAGAGGTGGCCCTGGCGTCGGGCCCCTGGACTCCAGTCACAACTCAACCACTTGCTGAGGGAGTATGCTAGCTAAATCCCTCTTGCAAGTCAAAAACCCTGTGCCCCAGTTTCTTCCTCTGTAAAAAAGGGATAATACAATGTTGGTATCCTTATTGCCCACTACAAAAAGGGCCAGAGAATATGAACAGGACATTTACAAAGTAAGGATTAATTCGTACAAAAGCCCGGTGAACGGAAAATGTGTGTAACATCACAAATGATCTGATGCCGCCAGGTAGGGGGGCATTTACCATGTGCCAGACAGACCCTAAGCTAAGCTCTTTAAGTACATTATCTCATTAACAGTCAATTATCCTATATCCTCTCCATTTTAAAATGAAGAAAGTAAGTGTGTAAGAGATTAGATAACCCACCCAGGGGTAACACAGTTGTTAGACATGGCCCCAGGGAAGTGTATCACCGGCTGGGTATTTCACGATGTTACAGCATTCCTTTTAAATTGTTAGGCATGATAATGGTAGCATTGTTATGTTTCTAAAAGCATCTTATGTGTTAGAGGTGACATACTGAAACATTTGTGAATGAAATACTATGATGTCTCGGATTTACTTCAAAATAATCCAGTGCAGGGAGTGGTGGAGGACATGAGTTTGTGAAACAAGACTGCCCATGAGTGAAGTTCATTCATGAAAACATAGAGCAGTTAAAAAAATTTTTAAAAACAAAGAAACTCGCAACCCTCAGACACTTACGCAAGTCTGCTGTGAAATAAGACATCCTGGCTATTCTGAAGAGCCGGATGAAACTAAGGATGGAGATTTTTGTTTTGCTTTCAAAATATAAACAGCTTTTTCCTCCCTGATTATTTGCTCATTGGGTAAATTTATGAAAACAGGAAGTTATAAAAATATTCATTATCCTTTTGGTGTATATATGAATATTCACATAGATTTGATCTTGCAATACCAATCTTAGATTTATGAATTGCGTTAGTCAGGGTTTTCTAGAGAAACAGAATCAATATGACTTTTATATATATACAAAATTAAGAACTGTCTCCCATGATCATGGAGGCTGAGAAGGCCCACAATCCACTCTCTGTGGGCTGGAGACCCAGGAAGGCCAGTGAAATATTTCTTTAGTTGGAGTCCAACACCCTGAGAACCAGTGGCGCTGATGATATAAATCCCGGTCTGAAGGCAGAAGATGAGATGGTTCAGCTCAAGCAGTGAGTGAGGCAGATCTTGAAAAGGGGTGGAGAAGAATTCCTCCTTCTTCTGCTTTTTGTTCTATTCAGGCCTTGAAGGGATTTGGATGATGCCCACCTGCTCTGGGGAAGGCTCACTGTCTTACTGAGTCCATTGATTCCTGCGCTAATCTCCGCTGAAACACCCTTACAGACACGTCCATAAATAATGTTTAATCTGGGCATCCTTCAGCCCAGGCAAGTTGACATATAAGGTAAACCATCACATGGATGTTTAGGTTTGTTCTATTTGTTACTTTTACAAACAAAGTGCATTCATCTGATCATTTGCCTTAGATAAATTACTGGAAATAGAAGAATTTATCTTTTAAATAGATCTATTTATATCTGATCATTTGATGCATTCTTCCAAATTTCCCTCCAGAAAGCTTGTACCAGTTGTGACTCCCACCAATGCTGGCTGAAGATGTCAGAAAGCAAAACCTATTCTAAGGTGTCCCAGGCTCAAGCCTGAGTTCCTAGTTTGGTAATGACACTGGGGAATTTCTTGTTTTATATATTTTTTGTGCATTTCAAAAGAAATGATCAAGAAGCTGTGATGGGATGTTTTTGGTCTTGAAGGACCTAGTAATACACTTCTCTGTTTCAAGGTGTGGCTGTGCAATTCCCAGCCCCACTAGTCCCCTGTCTTGTATGTTTATCCATTGTACCTTCTCTGCTGCTGGTGATTCTCAGTAGGGCACGTTCTCAAGCAGGCCTCCCTAGGGGTGGATGGTGCCATTGCTTCCATCCAGTTGGATGGATCCTAAAAACTTAACAGGCCATAACACAGGGGTGGAGAAAGCTCAGAGCTCCAAACAAAAGGGGAGAACCATCTGGCCTTTCCCAGTACCTACTCTAGTAGAGCAGGTTAATTAAAAACAGAAGCAACCATAAGACCTGACTGGTGTTATCTCTTTTCCCAGCCCCAACCAAGGCAAAACAACAAAAAAAGCCCATACTGAGACTCAGGGTCTTTTGTGTTTATGATTCCCATGTGTGTGGTCCCAGAGAGAAAGAGGTTGGAGGAGGCAGGGGCTTGAGGTCAGCAGGCTGCAGTGGAGAGCTGCTTTCCTGTGAGGAGGCTGAAGTCCCCTAAAACGAAGAGAAAGCTTGGGATGTTGGGCTATTCCCGACCCTGCTTTCATGTCACTCTCTCTGATTTCATTTCACATATCACAGTTGACAGGGCATAGATACTCTCGAGACTTTTTTTTTTTTTGAGATGGAGTCTCGCTCTGTCACTCAGGCTGGAGTGCCGTGGCATAATCTCGGCTCACTGCAACCTCCACCTCCTGGGTTCAAGTGATTCTACTGCCGCAGCCTCCCAAGTAGCTGGGACTACAGGTGCATGCCACCACACTCGACTAATTTTTGTATGTTTAGTAGAGACGGGGGTTTCACCATGTTTGCCAGACTGGTCTCAAACTCCTGACCTCAGGTGATCTGCCCACCTTGGCCTCCCAAAGTCCTAGGATTACAGGCATGAGCCACCACACCAGGCTCTAGAGACATTTCTAAAGGGGATGCTTGGAATCTTGAGAAGCCTGTAGGTCTTCTTGTAGGCAATCAATTATCTGCTCATTGAAGTAAGAAAGCCAAGTACTTGATTGGGGGCAGGTGGGTGGGCAATGGTAGGACATTTACTCCCAGACCCCATGCTTGAAAATCAATTCTCTTTCCAGTTTTCCAACTTTTCTGTTTTAAGCAACATCAGTCAGGTGTCAGAATGCCCACAAAGCTTTTCTGATTGAATGAGTAATAGGTAGGCTCTATTTTATTCTGTGTGAAAATTAAGGGTCTTTATCTCTCAGCTCTTACCATGGCCAATAAATAAATGCTTTGGAAGGTACAGCTGTGGCCTTCTCTGGAATTGAGGACCCTCAGAACACTGCTGGCACCCTAGACCTTCCACAGAGCTTGGCCCAATGAATGAATGATGGGAACTTGGACGCAAGAGCAATGGTGAGATTTGCTCGGGTCTCTCCTGCCCAAGTTAATTTGCATATCTGTTGTATGGCTTCCAAGCAAGGTAAGGACAATTTGGCCTAATTTTATTTGTATCTATAATCCAACCTAGGGGTTTGAAGGACAAATATCAAACAGTGGCAGATTTCTGTTTCAGTGTTGAGCACCGGGTGTCCCTTCAGGCCTTGTTCAAGGCAGCTCCCAAGAGTCCAGTGGGCAACCTAGTGTTAGGAGGTTGCCTGTCCCATCTCTCTAGGGTATGAGACCAAAAGATGGGCTTTGTTTGGTTTCCTGGAAACCTTGCCTCTGTGAAAGAGCATTCAGGGATCTCAAAGGACCAATCTTGTACTTCCCTCCATGCCACCTGTCTACCTTCCAAGCCAAAGGTGCATGGTAGCCACTTTAGGGGGAAATGAGAGAACTCAGGTAGTCATTTAGCCATACTATTCAAAAGTCCCAAACTGGCCTTTTGTAGTTTTGTTGTCACCTTCTGCCACTCATTGAACACATGGGCCTCCTATATAGATACAGAGGTGAGCATAGAGGCATGTCTCTGCCCTGATGGCATGCATGATCTAATAGATGGAGGAGACAGCCACAAGGAAGGGGTGGGAAGATGGCTGGGGGTAGGGGAGTGAGGAGATGCAGAGAGAGAGCAGGAGGAAAATCATGGAAGAAAGCCATTTGATGAGAGACTCTCTTTTTCTCTTTCTTTTTAAAAAATGCAACACTAGTCACAAGGGGTTATGGCTGACCTGACTGTGACACCCCCAGCCCCCACCTGAGGAAGAGGCAACAGCTCCGGCACCTGTTTCTGACCTAGGGGCCAGGTGATGGCCCGGCTCCACACCACATCAGGCCTGAGTGTGGGAAAGCGTTGCGGCCAGGAGCCATCTGGGAGCTTGAAACAGAGCTGTGCTCTCCTCTGAGCTGTCTGGTTTCAATTAAACCCATGGCTAAAACCTCCACCAGGCGTGTCCATTTGGGACATTGTTTTGGCTTATTTAGAATAAATAATCTATCGTGGTTTTCCCTTGGTACTCGGGGAAATTGTCTTCGGGTGAAACTAGCCTGAAATAAGTACTGAGATCATGCTTGGAGGTCCCGCTGGCCCGTGGGGAGGGGTGGCGGTGGCGGTGGTGCGGGGTGAAGGGAGGGTCGGTCCTGCTTTGCTGAGGACGGAGCGGCCTGGGAAAGAACGGCCTGTCTTCAGGGCTCATCCTCGCCTCGCTCTGTCTGCCCCTGAGGGTCTGTCCGCCACAACACGAACCCTGTGGATGTTCCAGGGAGGTATCTGGTAGTCTGACCTCAGTGACAAAGAAGGGACCTTACAACCCAGGCAGATGAGCAGCGTTAAGTCCCAAACCCAAGTGAGGGCTCCAGCGATTGCCCCACGTGTCCCCCAGGGAGCGCCCTGGTGTTTTTCCTTCGCTTCCTAAAGGGATTCTAAAAAGAACATGCAACCTTGATTTGTCAGGAAGCAATAAAAATGCATGCAGAGAGCTGACTGGAGCCCGGATTGTACATGCCTCCTTCTTGCCTCAGAAACACAGAGGAATGAATGAATTAAAGACACAACACTCAGCCCTAGGCTTCAGGATTGGATGGGTGAACATTTTGGGGTAGTCTTTTCTAGAGATGTGCCATCAAGGTAGGAAGAGTGTCAAATGAAATCTCACTTTATAATCACAACAGCCCCATAGACTGTTGTGGCAAGTGGAAGAGAGGTGTAGCCAGGTAATTGAGTTCAAGGCAGCATGGTAGAAACATGATTTTTTTTCCCCAAAGTCAAGCCCTTTTTTTCCATTAGGTAGAAGCTCCCTTCAGTTATTTCTGCTAGGTTTCATAGTTTTGCAGTCACTTCTGGTGCTTCGAAGAGTCATTTGGGGTTTATCAGATTCAGCTCTGGTTCATGTTAAAACTTTAATCATTTGATTCCAAGCTTTTCTTTTCCTCTACTCTGCTCATGGGAGATGGGAGCTGAGACTAGTGGGTGGAATAAAGGTGGTGATGGGCTGCTGTCACACACCTGTCCTCTTCCTCCATCTCTCCCACCTCATTTGGAGCAGTGAGAGATAAGGGAAAAAACCATGTCTACATCTTTGACTACATATGATGGCTCTGCCTGGGGTACCACAACTGCCATCCCTGCTCATTGCCCAAGGGCATCAAGTGGATGGATGGTGACACCTTCATGTCCTACAAGGGGCTCATATCTGAGGAGAGACCCTGGCAAAGGTGGGTTTTGGAGGGACCCAGCTGTGCTTTCAGGCGGCCATGCAGTGGGTGGCCTCACATGCACACCTGTGGGGCCTGTGCTGCTTTGTGCCTGGAGCTTCTAGCTCAGTTTCCCACCACAGTCTACCTTCAGGTCTGCAGGTGCGCTGGGGCTCCATTTCCCTACTTTCTTAGGAATCAGAACCTCTGGTGGCATGTGCCCAACTTTGAGGGGAGCATGCATTCATGGCCCACTCCATTGGGCAGGGCCTCACCACACCACCTCTTCTCAAGTCTACTTTTCTCTAGTTCAGGGACTCAGGGACAGACAGTACAGTGAATCTACCAGCTAATCAGGTGCACAGCAGGAATCAAAATCCAGTCCCACTTTATTGATGGCACTCAAAGTTTTGGAATAATTCTCTTGGGGATCTCCCCTCACCCCGGTAGAGTGAGGAAGAAATAAGCTGTTTTCATGAACCAAACACAAAGGCCCAAAGACGACCCGTGAGCTCTCCTCATATGTGGAGTGGTTGTTCATTGGGGTGGGGGTGTGGGTGGGGCCAGTTCCTAGGGAACATCCCTCTCAGTGGGCTTGTGGCTGGTGCTCAGCATGTTCTGTCTTCAGCCTCAGCCTCTGCTGAAGATCTTGAACAAGAGGAAAGATACTGTGTGGCATCTGACACCATATTTTCTAAAAGAACTTCTGGAAACCAAAGAAAAAAGACAATAGAAAAATGGACAAACAATATAAACAGGAAATTCAAAGCCAGAGGACACCAAATAATCAAGACCCATAGGAGAGCCCAATCTCACTAATAATAAGGGACATGTCATTACACAATAGTTACTGCTTTATATCTTGCAGATTAGCAAAGTTTAAAGGGCCTGGCAATGTTGGTGAGGTCATGGGGCAGTAGGGATGCTTCTCTGTTGAACTTACTGCTCACTGGTAGAATCACTGTGGAGAGAGCATTTAGCCATAATGCTCATAGCTGTTCTAGGCACATAGCCTAAAGAAGCTCTCATTCATGCAAATAAGGGCATGTGCATACGAATATTTATTGATGTGTTATTTGTAACTGTGGAATTTTGGAAGCAGACTAAATATGTCTGTGGATAAGAGTACAGAGAAGCTGTGTACATCCCCCAAATCCACTATTATCTGCAGTTTAAAAAGAATGAACTTCAGATACATGTATGAACATGGGTAAACTTCAAGCCATGTTGATAAAAAGTTTCAGAATAATATGCACAATATTTATATTAGTTATATATAGCAAAATATAACATACAAAACAGATTCTAAGATTGTCTCACAAGGTTACTTGTGAGTTTATCATAGTCTTATTCACTTCCAGCTTTAATGTAGGATGCTTTTGTTACCTTATTCTGGGCTCAAGCTTTTGGGAACAGCTTATATCTGAAACACCAAAGGCCATTGATTCTATGTCCCAAATAAAAGCCTGCTATTGGCTTGAATGACAATAACAGACTTTTATTATTGACAACAATAATAAAATTGATGCCTATTGCTTGATACTGTGTCTCAGTTAGACCTGGCTTTCTATATAGGCAGTTACCTACCCAGTAACATTTTAGAGATGCTGAAAAGCTGTGTTGCTCTAAAACATCTCTGGGGGAGACCAGTCTACTACTACATACATTTCTAGAATTAAAATTTTAAAATAGTTAATGTATGCAATCAGCAAGAGTATTTTATTAATGTCTCCAACAGCTTCATTCACACACTTGCAAGGGTACATTTATTTGATTGCATTTCAATTTGATGGCTGAGATAGAAAGGAGACAAAATGGAAGCTTTGTTATAGGAAAGGAGTACAGAATTGACATTTAGTGTGGGCTGCTGTGGGAAGAAGGCATAAGTGGGCACCACTCTGGGGATGACGTTACAATGTTCTTTGGACAAAAGGACAAGGAAGGACAACTTTGAATGAATGCAGGTGTTTTGTCTAAACATATAAACAAGTCACAGCAAACTACACTCGGCATCATGAAATGGTGCTGCTGACCACTATAGGGATTCATGTTTTGTTGAGCATTTAGTATGTGCCAGGCAGTGGCTGCACAAGCCTTTACAAGAACCTTCTGAGGTATATATTGCACATTCCTATATATCAGGCTTTAGAGAGTTTTGATCGCTTTCCCTAGTACTCCATAGTATTTGAACCCAGGGCTGGCTGACTCCAAAATTCAATAAGCCATAGTGCCCCTAAGTGACAGTTTCCCTCCTACTCTATAGTTTATTCCCGGAGAATGTGTAAGTTTGTAATAGACTACACTTTGGGTATGAGCAGTACATTTTCTCACCCTTCCTTTGATTCCACTAGGAAGCTTCCTGTGTGCATTTGGCTCCTGTGAGTCCATGCCCAGGCTTGGTCAACCCTAACATGGTACAGCTTGCACAGTTTGTAGGCAGCTTTGCAACACAGGATAGATGAACCTAAATCCTCGGAGATTCTTTTCAGCTGGATTAGGTGGGAAAAATTGTCTCTCTCTTGCTCCCTCTCCTACTCTGTCTCTGAAATGTGGGTATAGCTTTGCTGGTAGCAGTCTTTCCTTCCACAAGGATAGATTTTGTTAGCGTCAAGAATGAATCATGTCAAAAGTGAAGAGTCAAGAGATAAGCAGAATCAGAGAAGGAAAGAGAGACCAAGAGAGATCTGTGACATTGTTTGAGTCCCTGGATCCTGTCATGCCTGAATTCCTTGGAACTCTGAAGTTTAGGAGTTAACTATTTCTCATTTCTGCTTAAATTTGGTTTCTGTTTCTCACAATGGAAATAATCCTAACAAATACAAGCCTCAATATGTTAGTCTTTTCCTGCAGACTTCTTTCTGATTGATATCACTGTAGCAATGTGAATTTTTCTATGAAATCATGTAAGTTTCTCTCCTTGGAAAAGAGATTAAAAAGCCATACTAGGTTTGGGGTTCCTATCATAAGTGTGTTTGGGTATAAATTATACAATGGCTCAAAAGTAACATAAAAAATTTATTTTTGGGGGCAGTGCACACTTAAGGCATGAAATCCGGCGCCTCAGTCCACTGCTGGGATGCCACTGGTGGCCATCATCTCCTCCCAGGCTCCACATCTGAGCCTTGTACAGAGCGATGTCATTGCAGACCCTGCAGTGGTTCAGCCTGCAATCTGGGCATTCTGGGTTGAGGGGGGGGCACTGAGTCCCATGCACTTTCCTGGTTTTCGGTCTGTGTCTGGGTCCCTCTTCCTTGGTCCCTGGGCAGCGTGGTGAATGAGATTCCGAAACCTGGCGTCTCCAGGCTCCTCCAGGTTACCATGCCAAGACATGGGCTTCCTGGTGATCTGTGGACCTCGTGGAGGGGTTCACGTGATACCGCGCATAGACGTTCTGGGCTGGTAGCCCTTTGAGGTACAGCTCCTGCAAGATCTGGTTCTGACGGACCTCATCCTGGATCACCTTCTCCCTGGGGTGTCCCGCCATGGCCTTGGCATTGCTCCATCGGGTTCGATGCGCTCTCTGCTCCCTTGTGCCTCTCTCCCTGGCCCCGGGCTTCTGCCTTCTCCAGGCAACGGTGTCCCACACGGTCTCCAGGCTACAGCACTCCCACAGCCCCAGCTCCTGGCGACCCAGCCCTTACCCCAACCGCCCGTGGACACCTCCAGGAAAGGGCTTCCTGTCACGGGACAGACCCGGAGGTCATGGGCATGTGGTTAGGCCTCACCTTGGCCAGTCGTTTCTCTCCCAGCGAGCAGAGGCGCTGCTTCCTCGTGCTCTCCCTTCTCTGTCTCGGGCCTGCAGTTTGCTCCGTGGTTCCAGACCAAGGCCCACGGGGAAGCCATTGCCAAATGCAGAGGCTGGCGCGGCTGGCTGAGCAGGCAGCGGAGGCCGAGGGTGGGTGTCCGTGGTCCTGCGTCCCCGTGTCCACAGCCAGGCCGCGGGGACCCTAGGGTCCGCTCCTTCGCTGCCCGAGCACGGTGCCTGCAGGGGCCCCTCCGTGGGGTCGTGGATCGTCAGGGCCGCGTGGGTGGCTGGGCGGGGGCGGGCTGTAGGCAGCTTCTAAAAGCAGGGGCTGGGCGGGGGCGTGGGGGGATAGGGAGGGACGTAGTGGAAGTTGGGGCCCCAACGGACATGAGGGCGGCAGATGCAGATCTTATGAAGATTCAGGCAGGAAGAGCTCGGCAGGGCGATGCCCAAGACGGGGTAGTGGACGGGGACGAATTGGTTCAGAGACGGGTAGCAGATGGGGCAGAAGGACGAGTAGGTGGGCTGGAACAGGAGCGTAGTCTGCGGGTCCAGAAACGGGGGACGGATGGGAGGAAAGAAGAGCCGACTGCCAGGGAGCTGCGGGGTGGCGCCGAGCGGGCGCCGGGGTTGGGAGGCGGAGAGGCGGGGCAGCTTTCGAGTCATTTTCAGCGAGTGCAAAGCTCCCTCGTCGGAACGGTCGGAGTGCGCGGCGAGCGCGGGGCCTGCGCGGCTTTTATCTCCTCAGGGCGTTCCAGGGCGGAACGTGCTTTGTGACCTGCGCCCCCCGTGAAGCCGGGAGCCCCTCGCGAGTTGGCACAGGGCCCCGTCTCAGGGTTTAGGAGCGAACGGGGAAATGGAAGACAAAGGAAATGGGGGGACATAGCAACCCCTATTCTTGTACCCTGTAGTTTTGCCCTCAGTAGGCAAAGGCTGATCAGAGGGCTAGGATACAGTTAGAGGCCGGGGGCCTGGGGGAGCGGCTCTGAGCAGGATCTGGGAAAAGGGGACGAAGTCAGTGCCCCAGGCACCTTCCCTTAAGACAGCGCAGCGTTCAAAGCCCTTCAGTCCTTCACATCACTGCGGGAACATGCGCAATTAGACATGCTAGGTCCATTTTACCCATGGGACAGGAAGGACCAGAGAGGGAACTTCCATAGGCTGGCGGTGGTGACAAAGCAGGTGGGGCTAGAACTTGGGTCAGGAGAGGGCAGGTAGGAGGGAAGGCAAAATGCCCCAAGCGCGCACCAGCGCCTTGCCTCTCCTGCATGTCTGGACGGGGTCCTGCAGGGGGCGCGTCAGAGCAGACCTGGGCGTTTCCTAGCTTACCCTTGGTCCCCGTATTCCTTGGTTTGAAGCTTTACTCTTTAAAATACTTTTTTTAAATCTTTAAATATTTATTTTATTTCATTTTAGATTCCTGGGTACATGTGCATGTTTGTTACATGGATATATTGCATAATGGTGAGGATTTGGCTTCTAGGGTACCCATCACCAAAATATGAACATTGTACCCAATAGGTATTTTTTATCCCTCACTACCATCCCACCCTCCTCCATTTTGAAGTCCCCAATGTCTGTTACTTCCATCTTTATGTTCATATGTACTCATTGTTTAGCTCTCACTTTTAAGTGAGAACATGCAGTATTGTACTTTCTGTTTCTGAGTTATTTTACTTAGTATGATGGCCTCCAGCTCCATGATGTTGATTCAACGGACATGATTTCATTCTTTTTTATGGCTATATAGTATTCCTTACCATATTTTCTTTATCCAATCAACTGTGGCTGGACATTTAGGTTGGTTCCATGATTTTGCTATTGTGAATAGTGCTGCAATAAACATCTGAGTACAAGTGTCTTTTTTAATGTAATGATTTCATTTCCTTTGGGTAGATTCCCAATAGTAGGATTGCTGGGTCAAATGGTAGTTCTCTTTTTAGTTAATTGAGAAATCTCCACACTGTTTTCCATAGAAGTTGAACTAATTTACATCCCCACCAGCAGTGTATAAGCGTTCCTTTTTCTCTGTGTCCTTGCGTTGTTTTTTTGACTTTTTATTAACAGCCATTCTGACTGGTGCAAGATGATATCATTGTGGTTTTAATTGGCATATCTCTGATGATGAGTGATGTTTCATGTGTTTGTTGGCCGAGAAACAACTTTTAATGTATCTACTTGGCATAACCTAGCCAGACAAATGCTTTCTATAGTTATGAAAGCGGAATTAAATTTGAACCAATAAATGTCATAATCCTCTACTACTCCATCACTTCTCCCCACTCCTAGACACATAAGCTTTAGGAATAAGTGAAAGAGTGAGGGCTGATCCCTAATGAGGCAGTGTGGAGCAGATGGGCTATCAGTGGGTCTCTTCAGGCTATTGGCTGGTGCTAGAGAGGAAGGGCACACCCAGGAAGGGACTGGGGCTGTCACTGGTACACTTGGGTTGTTCTGATGGTGCTTCAAAACACAAGAACAAGCCAAGCAACCACACAAATGGGGGCTAAGCACAGCCATGCTTTGGGTTAAGCGGGCATATTGTCATCAAAGACCTCTCCACCTTTCTCTGTCCTGAAGAAGTTTGCCCAGATTGTGAGCACAGCCCGTCCTGGTTCCATCTGGGGAGTTTGGGATGCTTAGAAAATTTCCTTTTCATACCTGACATGCCCAAATAAAGAGAGATCTCTTTCTTTTTCTCTTTTTAAAAGGCCTGATTTAAAGACTGCTTAAATCAACATAGATGAATTAGATAAGTCATTATGCAACAATGCCTTTTCCATAATGACTCAATTTCTGAACATGGTGTGACTTGGTGGGTTGCGTTTTGCTCTGGTTGTTCTAAGGAGGGGAGCTTAGGGCAATGACCTGGGACAGCTCTAAGATTTTGCCTTTTCTTTTAGCTGGAACCATGTGCTAGAACTATCAGAGTATGACCAAGTTTTCCTTTTTTGCTTGGTTTGACATTGCTGCCTAAGATAAGACATACAGTACAGGCTGCAGAAACACACAAAAATTCTGCTGATAATACACACTTGTTTCTATGGCCAGGAAGCCCTGATTTGCTCACCTCCTCACCACCATGACCAGGTGTGAATTCACAGGTAAAAGGGCAAGTTTGTTTACTCCTAGTTGCTCTTGAATAGAGAGTTGACTTTTTCACCCCCTTGGCTTGTAACTGCTGAGTTCACTAATAAACCCTTCCTTTTAAAAGGGGGGAAAATAAAACTAATGAGAAAATATCATAGGAGATAAAGAAGAATCATAAGAACCCATTGTGGAAGTTCAAAAAGAAACCGTTGAAGGTCTAAAAGCTCAGAAAAATATTTAGATCACTGATGCTATAATAGATTTAAGTAAAACAGACAGGGGCCACAAAGGGTAACATTCTAGAATATTTTGAACAATAAAATTTAGTGTAAGCCACTTGAGGGCACCCTTTCTGCTCTGCATATCTCAATAGAGGCTCTACTTATAAACGTTTTTTAAAATCTCTGGGCTTTAAATTTCTTTATGCCAATTTTCAAACAGATTATTGAAATCTGACTGAAGAATAAGCTTATAAACATCCCTAGTAATATATCCATATTGTGTTTAAAAAGTATTTTTGAGTTGAGATCAATAAACTGGTTTGAAGTCTAAGGTTTCAAACATAAGTAAGACATGAATCTTGAAAATAACTCAATTAAGAAATAAGTAGAAAAGATTTCAACATAAGGCAATAAAAGATACCCTCCTTCCACAGCGAAATATCACCTTCAACCAAAGTTTCTTTTTCTTGAATCAATTTTATTATGTTTAATTTTCATATGGTGTAGGAAGGGCAAGGGAAATGGGGCATGGGAGGTCAGAGAGAACTTTCTGGAGAATGTGATCCCCACATAAAGGAATGTCGGCTGGAAACGGTGGATGGGGTGGAGGTGGATGTGGCCGAAGACCTTGTCTCACACGAAGAAGAAGCATAAAATCATGAGAAGTGTTCAGAGCCCCACAAAGACTTCAATTTCTCAAAACATGAAGTCAAGAATGAAGAGGGGACTAGAAGGTGGAGGTTGGGGTGAAGAACTCAAGAACGAGGAGAGGGAGAAGGGTGTGGGAGCCTTGAACAGGCACAGCTGGAGAAAGACTTAGTGGTATTACATTTTTAAAGATTTCTCTGCTCATAAATACTTGAAAAAAAACTTGAAAATGCAAAAAGCACAAAGAAGTCATCCCCAATCCTGGAATATAGGCATAAACACAGACTATTTTTATTTTATAATGTATTTTAACATCTGACAATACCAGCCACCTTTATCGTTATACTTTTGTCTACACTTTCTTGACTCTTTTTGTTCATTCATTAGTGTCTTAAGTTTCTATTGGTATTTTGATTTTAATTGTTTTGAATTTATGCTAACTTACAATTTTATGCCTCTCTAGAAACAGGTACTATCTCTTAATACAATATTTCTCTAATATCTCTTAATATAACAGTACTTTTTCACATAGATCCTGGCTTAAGTTTCTTTAAAATTTCTTCTCAGAAATTGTTTTGTTGTTGCTATTGGGAATGTTTTTTTCCATTTTTTTTTCTCATAGTTACTTCCAGGCTGATGAAATCCTGGTTTTTCTACTTTTATTTTAACTTGTCAACTGCTGTTTATTTTATTTTATTGGCAGATTTATTTTGTTTATATAGACAATCATAACCGGAAATAGTAATAAACTTGTCTTTTTCTTTCCATTATTTGTGGAGTTTGTTTCTTTTTTCTGTCTAATTTTTAGACTGTCTAAAATTTTGCTTAATAGGAATGAGAGGGGACATATCTCTATGGTTTTACTCTTAGCTATGATGTTGGCTGTTTTTATTTTCTTTAAAAATTTTAATTATTTTACATTTAAATTGTTTTAAATTAAATGATCTTCTAGGCTTAGTTGACTAAAAGCTTTAAGTTTTGAAAATTTGTATTGAATTTTGTCATAGGAGTCTTCGGCATATATTAAGATGATTATATGATTTTTCTTCTTTGACTTTTTGGTATGATGAAGCATATTGATACATTTCCTGATATTAAGCCATCTTTGAATTCCTGAGTATACAGTGTACTTATATTTGTTAATGTGCTTCATTTATCTAATTTTATTTGGAATTTTCATTTATATTTGCAAATGAAATTACGAATGAATGTTTACATTTACTAACTCTGTCCTGTAGAAATTATGCTGGCTTGCCAGGTGTGGTGACTCACACCTGTAATCCCAGCACTTTGGGAGGCTGAGGTGGGTGGATCACCTGAGGTCAGGAGTTCAAGACCAGCCTGGCCAACATGGTGAAACCCCATCTCTACTAAACAAAACAAAACAAAAACAACAAAGAAACAACAACAACAAAGTAGCCAGGCATGGTGGCAGGCACCTGTAATCCCAGCTACTTGGGAGGCTGAGACAGGAAAATCGCTTGAACCCAGGAGGTGAAGGTTGCAGTGAGCTAAGAAAGCACCATTGCACTCCAGCCTAGGTGACAAGAGTGAAACTCTGTCTCAAAAAAAAAAAAAAAAAAAAAAGAAAAGAAAAGAAATTATGCTGGCTTTATAAAGCAAATTACAAACCTTTTCATCTTTTAATAAGCTCTGGCAGTGTTAATATAGGCTGGAAATTATTTCTTCTTTACAGATGTGAAGGCAATTATCTGAGTCAGGTACTACTTTGGTGATTATTCTTAAATTATATTTGTTATTTCTAACACATTTATTGATTTGATTCTTTTTTATTTCTTTAATAATAAATAAAAGTTTGGTAATTTACTCTTATCTAGAAATAATGCACATATAATTTTCTAATTAATTACTATATGGAGATATAATCTTTCTAAAAGCAGTTAATGTTCTGAATGTATATTGTTCTTTGTTTCATCTCTAACTTTGTTTACTTTCACTTTCACTTCTCCCTCCTGTGACTTAACTAGGCAGAGATGCCTATTTTACCATCTACCCTCTATTCCACTTGAATTTATCAATGCAAACATTTTCTCTTAACCAATTAATTTTATCTTTAAGTCCTTCTCCCTCTTTTTTTTCAAGTTTATTTGTGACTCTCATGATTGTTTTCTAAATTCTCAGGATAAGTACTTAGCAACTTCATTCAAATACTTTATTTTTTTTTTTTAAGAATTAAACAATTGCCCTCCCAGTACAGCTTTGGCTGTATTCCAGAAGTTTGCTATGCAGCGTTCTTCTGGGTATTTTATTAATATTGAGATACTTAAGTTTTGATTTTTGATTTTTGAGTTTCATTTTAAACAATGTTGTTGCCTTTCTTTTTTCCTAGCGGTTCAGTTTGTTTGCATGTAACATTGTTAATTATTTCTAGCTATATTTCATGGTAATCAGAAAACAGAGTCTTTACCAATCATAATATAATGTTAAGTAACCTCTTGGCATAACTACTGTACTTCTACTGGCATTAGAAGCAAGATGATAATTTTCCTATTATAACTTTAGTGTCCAGTTTCCACATTCTCACATTTCTTTACTCACCAATTGTTAACTGTACGGGACAATGTTGAGCCAAGCATGACGGGGACATAATTGAGGACTGCAGTTAATGTGCTGTTGCCAGAGAGCAAATGTAAAAGGGATCTTCACCATTAGCCTGTCTCACCCTTTGCCCCTCCGCGCTTAGGGGCTGGTAAGGGTACTGTCACCTCAGGGGCAAGAGATGATGAGGATTTGGGCTATAGGTGTTGAGGATTTGGGACTCTGTTGTAAGTAGAAGCTGGCTAGGATGGCTGAGGGTTCAATCTCCTTGGTGGAAGACCCAGGGAGACTGTGGCAGTGAGGGGTGAGTCTCAGGGAGGTGAGTTGCTACCCATACAAGCAAAGCTGCTTCTGGAGGGCACACTCAGGATATCACAGAGGAGTCTGGGGTCCCCGTCTTGGTGTCTGGAATGAGCACTGGGTCAGGAGCTGATCGAGTGTATGCCTCTGTCTGCCCTGGTCTTGCTGGCCATTAGCAATGCCACTATGTGGAGTCACTCTCTTTCCTTAGGGCAATCAACACTTTTTCCCTTTTTCCCCTAAACCTACCCTTCTAAGGAAGACACTGTTGGTGCTTCAGAGGTGGTGTGACTTTCTAAATGAGGATGGCCTCTCAAGAAAACCCATGTGATTTTTTATCCTAACTTATCTTACATCATAGTAGAAACTTCTCTCATTTTAAAGGACTGCTGCTAGCACACAAACTCAAGTTCAATTTCTGGGTAGTGTCCCTCTGGTAGGGTCACTCATTACAAAAGAATAAAGAAATATTTCCTGCATCTTTATTTTCTCTTATGTTGGGGCCACAACAAAATAATCACATTTATGCCTTTAAGCTTCTAACTGCACCCTAGTTGATTTGCTATTTGTATATTCTTCTCTAATATTGTATGTGCCTGTTTAACCATCTCTGAGCACTCTTTTCCTAAAATGTACATTCCTACACAAAGCTAATATCCCATTGCCTATTAAAAAGTATCCAAAATTTATTGAGAAGAATGTCATTTGCATTTAAAAAGTCAACTCCTTGCCTGGCAATCTAAGACCCTTCTCCCTTATCCTGCTCATAATTCTACTGTCTATCATTAGTTCTTTTCAGCTAATCATGCTCCAGGGGACATGATGACATTTGGCAACTGGAGATCAGTTTCATGGAGGTCGGGTCCTGTTACATATCCCACAATGTGCAGAACAGCTGCCGCCCACAACAAAGAAGTGCCAGGCCCCAATGTCAATAGTTCTGAGGCTGAGAAAACCTGCTCTAGACAATGAGGGAAAGGGATGCCCTCAGAACCACCTGGGGGATTCCCACCAAATGATTCTGATGTGCCCCATTCCTGGTTTAGCATAACTGTCCTGGAACAGAGTAAGTTCATCTCCTGAATGAAGTTACTCTCGTTTCTCCAAACACCATTAACTGCTCTTTCCTTTGGCTTAATTATATCACTGTAGAATGGTTTCCAGGAATGGCAATTTTCTTTGATTCTCTCCTACATGCACACTCTTTCCATTGGAGGGTCTCCTTTGGGAAGATTAAGTGATGTGAGAAGCATGCAGAGCACCTGCCTCGTCACCCAGAGTGTGAGATCCTCCATGAAAGGGAGTCTACTCTCCTTCCTTTTTCTGTAGTTTAAGCACTTTGGAATCTGAGGCCATGCCTCATGCAACTCACAGCAACACAGGAAGGCACTCATCTACAGAGTCACCCAGTGAGTCATTCATACTAAAGTAATATCTCTTTTCATTTCACCATCAGGAGTAGTAATGTGGATTCAGTAACAGGCAAGTAACACTCTCAAAACCACAAGTATCTCCTGAGAGCAGCAAATAACAGAGTTAAAAACTTTCCTTTCTGAGAACATTGCCTTTCTCAGAAACGAAGGTGCTAAAATCACTTTTTCTTGTAAAGTGGTGATTGGAAGTAACCATTGATCACAAATGCTAATTCAGCTTCTCTAAAAGACATGTCATCTCAGACATGGTCTCTAGGCTATTGTACCCTTCCTCTCACCAAACACACATGCAGGTAATCCTCTCCATGTGCTCAAGTCTGGAGAAATGATATATCTCACAAGTTTACACCTTTTCTTTAACTGAAATAAATGTAACCTGAAATCAACACAAAATCCAACCATGTCTTACTGTTATTCACTAAAGGTTCTTAGAACCACAAGATTACAGTATTTTGTGGCTACTGGGAGGTATTTTCATTTCTTTTTCACAAAAAGACCCAGTTATTTGACTGGTACCATCAGGGTTGATTTTTGTGTAAAATTGTGTTTTAGTGTCTCTTACACCCCACACATACATAGTTAATTTATCAGGGTCCTTGTTATTATCTCCTCTTCTTTGTAAAGTTAGACTTAAAAATATACAAGTTTTGAAATGAACAAATGGCTGTGAATTGATTGGCTGAGAATGGTTTCTTCATGGAATAGAAGAAAGACAAGCGCTCTTTTCACTCTGTGTTCTTAAACAGTCTTCATGCTTAGAATATGATTTTAAATTTAAATACCTAGTTCTCCTATCCATAATTAACTTGAAATGATTACTACTTAATTTTCCACCTGAATACATCATTTTCTTTTCCTTTATCTTTTGGATACATTTTTATTTGTGTACCTTCCATGGGTCAATTTAGGAAAGTTATGTACCTTCTTTGGCCCTTAGTTTCCTCAAATCCAGAGTGAGGGGTTTTGACTACATTAGTGGTTCTCAAACCTGACTGCACAGAATAATTAACTGAGGAGCTTGAGGAAATACATAATGCCCAGTTGATTCTGAGTGAGACCCACGGGGCAGATCAACTCTTAGATTATTTCCAACCTTAAAATTCTGTGCTCTGACAATACCCATTCTGGCGAGGCTGGTGAAATTGGCGAGCCATTGATCTCAAATGGAATGGTTAGCTTGGTGATTCCAGTGGCCCGTTTCATTACAGGTATCAAAAAATCTTTAAAAAGTACCTAACTTTGGGCCAGGCATGGTGGCTCACACCTGTAATCCCAGCACTTTGGGAGCCTAAGGCAGGAGGATTGCTTGAGCCCAGGAGTTCGAGACCAGCCTGAGCAATATAGTGGGACCCTGTCTCTACAAAAAGTTTAAAAATTAACCAGATGTGATGGAGCCCGGGGTATCAAGGCTATAGTGAGCCATGATTGCACCACTGCACTCCAACCTGGGTGACAGACAGAGTGATACCCTGTCACAAAAAAAAAAAAAAAGAAAGAAAGAAAGAAAAAGAAAAAAAAAAGAAAAGAAAACAACACCTAATTTTTGACCCTGCAGTTCTACTTCTAGGCATTTATTCTTAAGAGATTATTAATGGTGTGCCAGATATCTAGTTATAATGATGTTGACTCCAGTGTTATATAAAACAGAAAAAATGAAATTCGGTAATATTTAAATAAATTATGGTACAAGCATACAATAAAATATGATGCAGACATTAAAATAATGTTAAAGAAAAGTATTTATGTCATGGGAAACTATTTATAGTATAACACATGAAAAAGTTGGTAATTTATTTTAAAAATTAATAATGTGGCCAGGCACAGTGGCTCATGCCTGTAATCCCTGCACTTTAGGAGGCCAAGGCGGGCAGATCACCTGAGGTCAAGAGTTTGAGACCAGCTTGGCCAACATGATGAGACCCCATCTCTACTAAAAATACAAAAAAATTAGCCGGCTGTGGTGGCATGCGCCTGTAATCCCAACTACTCGGGAGGCTGAGGTGGAAGAATCTCTTGAACCTGGGAGGCGGAGGTTGCAGTAAGCCAAGATCACACCACTGCACTCCAACTGGGACAGCAAGAGTGAAACTCCATCTCAAAAAAAAAAAAAAAAAAAATATATATATATATATATAGAATAACATTTGTAAGGTTATAGAGCAAAATGATGACAAAGGTTTGAGTGGTGGGATTACAAGTAATTTTGATTTCTCTCTTTTTTGGTTATGTTTTCTATGACTACTATTATTGCTTTAATTAGGGTTATTTTAAAATCATTCTCTAATCTAGCTCCTTCTAGATATGCATGTTTAAGCCTTAAACTCTTCTCTACACCTTTGTGTCCCAAACTGCACCGCTATAGTGCTTAGCTACAATCCCAGGTTTACAAGAAGTACTGAACTCAAACCAGCAAACATGGGTGGGCTCCACTCAGGGTCCTGACCTAAGGTCATCGAACACAAATGGAGGAGGCAGATTCCTTATCAAGAGTACAATCCAAGACAAACTGACATAAGTGCTCTATAAATGTGTAACCAGGATGCAGGACTCAAAGGGAAGTCCCAAGCCAGGAGGAATGCACAGAGCCCTCCCAAACCAAGTGACATCGGAGAATGAGAAGGTTTCCCCTGGCAGAGAATGGGAGGACAAAGGGCTGTAGAGATAATGGGAACATAAACACTGATTTCTTAATGTACACGGCATATTTGGGAAAAATAGAAGATTTGGGCCCGAGTGTCAAGTATGAGGATAAAATGCATGTGTTGAAGAAGAAATCTGGGGAAGTCCCAGCCCTTACTGTACCTTTGTGTGAAAAGAAAGGTACCTCCTTTGCAGAGAAAAGTACCTCCTTCTCTGAGCAGACTCAAGCTCAGCCCAGGTCGTGGGACGAACTTAGTGATTGGAGGATGGGTTGGGTTTTAGTTGCCACTTGCTCCATCAGCTGGACACACTCCTGCAGTGTACAAACTGAACAACGGCTCCTACCACAATGCTGTGAGGTAAGGATACAGAGCTCAAAGAAGGTAAATAATTTGCCCATATTTTGAGCAAGGACATGCATCCAGAGTGAAGACTCTTAAGCAATGAATGTGGACATGATTCCATGGGCTGTGGGAACCATTGCTGGTTATTGAGGAGGAAATGAAATTGAATGCACTAAGACTAGGGCACACATGGAGAATAAACAGGAAGCTATTGAACGCTCCTGGTGAGACATGATGAGACCTGAATTTGGACAGTGGTAGTGAGTAATGAAAGAAGTGAAGAAGTGTGATGGATATTTTGTAGGTAGCATGAGTGAATTTGCAGGTGAGGTGAAGTGAGGAGGGGGAGAAGGAAGACTGGCTTGATATGGGTCTTGAAGCCATCGGCATTTGCTGATAGTTGAAATTATGAGAATTTATGAGAGTCTCTAGAAAGAGAAGGAAAGACAGATCCTTAGAAAATGCCTACATTTAAGAGGAATCAGTGAATGAACCCAAAAATAGCAATCAGAGTGAGGGAAGGGACACAAAGAAGAAAGTAGGGTGTCATGGAGGCCAAGAGTAGAGTGTCAAAGAGGAAGTGGTCAAAGTGTCAAATGGCACCAGTGTAGAACAGATGAGAGCTGAGAAGATTTCATTAGCAAGTCAGTCAGAAGGCAATCCATTACCTTCAATGAGCAGTTCAAACCCCAAGGTTCCAGGGGGTAGGTGTGTGGTGGGGGCGGTGAAGGCTGGAGTAGAGCTCTTTTGTAAGAATTTGGGTAGAGAAAGGAAGGAGAGAGGCAGGGCAGTGGTTTCATAGGAAAGTGAAGACCAGGGAAGGCTTTAGTTATAGGGGCATGTGTGTCTAGAACATGCTTAGAGAGCGAGTGATACAGACATCACTATCTGAAGCTGATAGATACAGACGTCAGAACTGAGACATAGAAGAACCCTTTGAAAGGTGAGACTGCATTGGGAGCTGGGAGGATTGAGAAATCAAACCTAGAACACAAGTGGAGGGGCTGAGTTTGGAAAAGAGGCATGCTTTTCTTAGGAAGGAGGAGTGGGGATGAGGGAGGAGATGGGTGAAGGTTCTGGGAAACGTTGAGTTGTGCAAGAGAGGTGGTGATGGTGCACCAGCAAGAGTCCCTTTTCTCAATGGTTAGGAAATGAGAGCAGTGGCTTATAGCAACGGACATGATGATGCATTTTCACATCTGAGCCAAATAGAACATCTGAAAAGATGCTGTTGGAATGGAAAGGAAAGAAGCTTTGGGTGAGTAGAAGGGTCAATCAGAAGTGTGGCAGGCACTCTGACTGCAGTTGGATAACTTGAGGTTGTTAGATTTGTGAGGAGAAAAGTCATCTTTATCTTGTTCACCATTCCATTCCCGTGATATAACACAGTGCCTCGCCGAGCAGATGTTCAATAAATATTTGTTTAATGGATGTCTTCTGTACTTGTGCTAATCAGTAAAATGAGGTAAATTTCACCAGCACATATTTCGTACCCAATGGAGAAAACAAAATTAGGGAAAGAGAAGACAGGGGCCATCACAAAGGCAGGGTCATTTTGCTGTTGATGCTGGTTAACATCCCCCCTTATCACTTTCAAGTGATAAAAGAGGGAGATATGTCACTCTGGGTTCAAAGACATTTTCCACTTCAGTCCTTTTGTCAGTTTCCTGTTCTCAAACCTGTCCACCAAGCTCAGTGCAGTCCATCATACGCACAGACAATTTCTGTTACTTGGTGGTGGGGGTGCATGACCAGCACGGGCTACCTCGGGATGGGATGAAGCATGGGCAGGGGACCTCCCACCAGCTCAGCAGACCTCTGAGGCCCATCCATAGCCCCAGTCCTGGGACTGCTCTTCATTAGGGGCTGCCCTTGGGTATCCTCTTTGCAAAATAAGATTTTTCTCTTTTAGTTTTCAGTTCACCTTTAATTTCTATCCTGTAATTCTATACCTATCTATTCTCTTTGGCATCATCACTGCTCCTCCACTCAACCCCCATTTCTTTTCTGGTCTTTGAAGCATGAAGACTTTTCCCCTGCCTGGGGTCTACACTGGCTTGTGGTCAAAACATTTGCCCCAGGGACCCATGGCTTCACCAAGGTAGCTGCTGTTCCCTGGAGCTCATCTTACATGAAAATGTGTGAATCTCATTTCCATAAGGGGTATTCTCACCCTTGTTCAGTTTTCCTGTGCTGAGTTACACATTTCCAAAATGACTTTTAGGGCATGATTCTCCTGATTGAATTTCCTGGGAGGCCCCACTGATACTCTTCTAGCAAGTGAGTGATTCTCCCAGCCCCTTTTCTTAATGCCAGGCTGGATGTCTCTCCGGCATTCTCTGGACTCACACCTCCACCCCCAGCCCTCTGCATACTTTTGAACTCCTTTCAGGTCATCAGCTTTTCTGTTCCATCTTGAAGGCTACATTTTAGAATTTCCGATGTGTCTTAGAATGGAAAAAAACAATGGCTGATTTTTCTACTTGTTTTTCTGAAAAGCAATCATTATATACAGATTATGGCACCCACAAATGACAGTGTTCAACACAAAGACATGTGTAAGAATTCCTCTGTATTTGAGGTCAGAGTGTCTTGCAATTTTAATAAGGAGGCTGGTGACTTCCAGGTGGTGGAAGCTCATTTATTGGGTCATGTCACTCACTCTGTGAGTCTTTTTCCTCTCCTAGTTCCATGAAGCAGCAGGCTAGAGAGAAGCGATTCACGTAGTTGGTGAAGACATTACATTTTTATGGTGCTGCTGGGTATGAGAGTTTGTGCAGCTTGGTTAGAATAAGGTGAGGCCAGGTGCGGTGGCTCATGCCTGTAATCCCAGCACTTTGGGAGGCCGAGGTGGGTGGATTATGAGGTCAAGAGATCAAGACCATCCTGGCCAACATGGTAAAATCCTGTCTCTGCTAAAAATACAAAAAATTAGCCAGGCATGATGGTGTGTGCCTGTAGTCCCAGCTACTTGGGAGGCTGAGGCAGGAGAATTGCTTGAACCCGGGAGGCAGAGGCTGCAGTGAGCTGAGATCACGCCACTGCACTCCAGCCTGGTGACAGAGCGAGACTCCGTTTCAAAGAAAAAAAAAAAAAGAATAAGGTAAATTGGGCCAAGGAAACCACAGACATGCCGGTTGTAGTGTTGTGTTAGTGGAAACTCAAAATGTTGAAAGAACGTCCTTTGCCTGTCCTCATGGTGGACTTAAAACCCACACCTCTCTCTGTATGGTACATAAATGTAGACTGCCAGTGACTACTGTCCTCCTTGCCACAAATAAGACTGAAAAGGCATTACTGCCAGTGGGAGAGGCCAGTATGTGACAGTTCATCCTATCTTGTGACACAGAGATCCCTGTCTGTATTAATCCACTCAGGCTGCCATAACAAAATACCACAGTCTTTGTTGTGTAAATAACAGTTCGGTTTCTCCTGAGGCCTCTCTCCTTGGCTTGCAGACAGCTGCCTTCTTGCTGTGTCCTCATGTTGTCTTTCCTCTGTGTGTTCCCATCCCTAGTGTCTTGCGCTCTTATGAGGACACAAGTCCTATTGGGTTAGGATTCATCCACATAAGCTTATTTTATCTTACTTACATCTTGAAAGGCACTATCTCCAAATACATTCATATCCATATATACTGGGGGTTAGGATTCCAACATGTGAACTTGGCGGAGACACAGTTCAGTCTTCACACTGCCCTTAGTGGAATCAAGAGTGTAGGCCTAAGTAGCAGAGTGGCACAGAGGAAAAACACCAGCCCCACAACCCAGTGGTCATGGCATTGAAAACATTCTCTCCCATGACTCTGCCTTACCTTGAGGACATTCTGTTAAGTGAAATAAGCTGGTCACAAAAAGACAAATACCATATGATTCCACTTGCGTGAGGTCCCTAGAGTAGTCAGATTCAGAGACAGGAAATAGAATGGTGGGTGCCTGGGCCAGTGTGGTGTATAAGGAATGGACGTTACTGTTCAATGGATGCAGAGTTTCAGTTTAGGAAAATGAAAAAGTTTTAGACATGGATGGTGGTGATGGTTGCACAACAGTGTGAATGTACTTAATGCTACTGAGCTGTACACTTACAAATGGTTAAGAGGGTCAATTTTATATTATGTGTATTAGTCCTCACAAATTTTTGAAAAGGTTACGAGCTGCGGAATCAGACCTGAGTTTTAGCTCCTTGTCCTCCTTCAACAATATGCACAACTCTTTATTTTTCTCTAGTAAGCCTCAGGTTTTTGAACTGCAAAATGGGAATAATGTTTCCTCCCTGGGGACTAAAGGAGATTGTGAAGCTAAGATGTTTGATAAAGTCTTTTGTCATATAACTAGCATTTGGCCAATGATAACTAATAATAGTAACAATGATAGAAGAAGAGAAAATTCAGGGTTCAAGCAGATGATGGCATTTGCTTTTGAGTGTTTTGTCTCTTCATGGGGTCAAAGTAAACTGGAACCTTGCCTGGGCTCAGAGAACTAGGATCAGCCTCCTTGTCACATCAGGGGCCCCTGGGACTAAGACTAAGAGTCTCCGGCAAAACTTCAAGGGAGGTTTTTCAGCACTCTCAAAAGAGTATGTTGCTTAATCATGCAGGCAGTAAATCCAAGAACATGCTGGAAGAGTTTGACAGTCCCAGATGACACTCTAGCTGCATTCTGGTCTCTCTGCTTCTGGCTTCCACAGCTGCTCACTGGGTCCTCTGCTGGCTCCAAGGCCAGTCCTGCCAGGCCACAGTAAGTGAAGAACTTGGCCTCCTGCTGGGACATGTTGTCTGCCAGTACAGTGGGTTTTGAGGCCCCAGATCTGGGCCCATGGAAGCTTCAAAGTCCTGGCTCTCTCCACAACTTCCTTTTCCCTCTTCCCTTGCCATGGTGGGCCACCTTCTGAGCCCTGAGCTGCCTCAGCATCCCAGGTCTTGGCTGTGGACTGTTACTGCCACCCTGCCCACAGTTTCTAAGAGCCAGCCCAGAGCCTGACACAATTCACTCAGTAAGGAGTTTATTGGGATATTAAGAAATGCAAATGTTCTTGATAAGAATGCAACCCAGAACTTCCACTTGATACTAGAGGAGTGGCTTTCAAACACTGGTGCAGAGCAGAATTAAGCATCTTTGGGTCTTTTTCCTCCTTCCCATATGAGGTTAGGTCCTGATAGAGGGGGTTTGGTGGATCCTGAGAGGAAACTGTCCTGGGGAAGGCAAGGTGGGAGAAGGCCTGGATAGCTGGACTGGGCTGGGCTGTTCCTGAGAACATATTGCTGTGGGGTTCCTTCTTTATTGTGGGCACCACCCTTTAATGCCATACTGCTCCTCCAGGGCTCCAGCCATGGCATGCCTCCTGAGAAGTCCAGGTGGACCCTGGTCCCTGCCCTGGGGTCAGGCGTCCTTCCCCTACCCCCATCCACGCAGGCCCAGCTCAGTTTTGCAAAGGTTACAGCTCCAGTGACTAGCGAGGACTGCTAATGGTGCAACTGCCTTGGGGACACCATGGGAGGATGCATTTGGGAGTGATCCCTGAATGCCTCCCCCATGGCCCTGACAGTTCCTTGCACCATGTGTGGGGCAACCTTTATAGGCCCTCCAGCCTCCTGAGCTCCTTGGTTCAAGAGCAACTGAGCCCAGCATAGTTAGAAGAAAAGCCTCCTCCCAGGCCTGCTGACCTCCATTCACAGGGGCACGGAGGGTCCCTTGGGCTTGGAGTAAGATGGTTTCTCCTGCCTCCAAGCCTTCTATGAGGCTCCTACTCTCCTTCCCCTGCTCTCACGCCCTCACCACCATGGTCTTCATTGAGACCTCAAGTCTAAGCTTATGATCCCTTTTATCCCTGGAATGCCATGCACCCCCGGATCACCCCTCATCTCCCACTCATTACATTACCCTGCTCTCAAAATCTCCGTAACACTCTGGAAATACACAATTCCATTTCTGTCCTCCTTCCCTCCCTCATTCTCAGAAACCTTCTCCAGTTTCTCAAGAACTCACCCTGCATCCTGGCAAAATCCCCTGCATCTCACACTCTTCTGTGCACAATTTCCCTTTTGCTGGGTCTTCCCTGGGTGCTGTGCCCTGCTGCCCTCTCAGAAGGACTTTTCTCCCCAGTCCTCCCATCACGGGGGCTGGAGGTGCTGCTGATGTTTTCCCTGCTGCTTTTGGTCACAGATGAGTCTCCTGGCATTGGGCAGCCGCACCCCAGCCCCACTCTGCCTGGCATTGCTCCTCTTCAGCTCTCAAAGGCTCTGGCCCTGGGTCACGGCCACTCCACTTGACATTCACTCTGCTTGTCGACTTCAAAAGCCACATAGATGATCCCCTTCATGTGACCTCTGTCCTGTGCCCTCCGCCAGTGATCTCACCCTCCATCCGGTCTCAGGCAGGCCTTGGATCTCCACAACCCCTGCCATCATCTCAGCTTCCAGCCTTGCTCTCTTCTACCTCTGTCTCTTTCCCTCCTGGCCCTTTCCTCTGCTACCTCAACTCCAACAGTCAACAGAAAATCCTCTGACCCACACATCTCTTCACTGTCCTTCCCCATTTCATGTTTTCAAGTGAACTTCCATCCTCCTAAACCCCCGTTGCACAAACCCCAACTCCCTCACCTGTGTCTTGCTTTCTGCTGCCCCTGGCTGAGATATCACCTGGTGATACCCAACTCCCACATCCATGTCTGCAGCTTCGTGGCTGGTGGGCCTGGAGGGAACCACGCATTCACCCTGAGGGTCGTAACTTCAAGTTCATGCTCACGGACCTCCAGGGCATCCCTGCTGTGGCATGACTGACCTCCTGCATGGACTGAATTCTTTTTCGCTCCCACCATCCTAGAGGATGAATTCACTACCACTCTTTCTCTCTTTTCAAACTGCCAGCACCTCCTCCCATCCTCACCCTGAGCTGATGACCTTCTGAGAAAGCAGAAGCCACTGGAAAAGTGCTTCTGCAAACTCCCTCCAGCATCTGCACCAGCTCCCAGCATCTGCGCGCCCTTGCTCAGCCTTCTCATCGCTTACCAAGGATGGTCCAAGCACATTTCTGCCCAGGCTCAGCTCTTCCCTTGTGCACTAGATTGAGGCCCTGCTCACCTGCTCCAGCACTTCTCCCTTGCCTCTGGGGCATCCTCTTGAGTGAACACATTGATTGCCATTTCTTCCACTAAAAGCAAACATTGCCTTCTGTTCCTATTCCCTACCAGATTTTCCTTCATTTCTTTCTTATCCTTTACAACAAAATTCCCTGAAATAGTTCTATTTACTCATTATCTTTAATTCCTCTCCCCCTACATTTTCTTGAAACCACTCTAAACAGGCTTTCATTCCTACCATTCCAGAAACACTAACTTCTCAAGTTTCCCATGGTATGGTGTTGCTAAATCCAGTGATTTATTCCCAGTCCTCATCCTGCTTGCTGATAGCATTTAATGTGGCTGGTCATTCCTTCCTCTTTAAAAGATTCCTTACTTTGTTTTTAGATTCTGCAAACTCCTGGGTTTCTTTCTATCTAACTGATCTCTCTGTCTCCCTTGCTAGTTCCTTTTTTTCCTACCCAACTTCTTAATGTAGGAGGGCTCATTTCTTGTTTCTCTATCTTGGTGATCTCATCTAGTTTCATGACTTTAAATAAAATCAATATGCTTATGATGTCCTTTTTTTTTTTTTTTTGACACAGAGTCTCGCTCTGTCACCCAGGCTGGAGTGGAGTGCAGTGGTGCGATCTCAGCTCACTGCAGCCTCCACCTCCCGGATTCCAGCGATTCTCCTGCCTCAGCCTCCCAGGTAGCCGGGATTACAGGCACACACCACCATGCCCAGCTAATTTTTGTACTTTTAGTAGAGATGAGGTTTCACTATGTTGGCCAGGCTGGTCTGGAACTCCTGACCTCAGGTGACCCACCCACCTCAGTCTCCCAAAGTGCTGGGATTACAGGCGTGAGCCACCACCCCTGGCCATGATGTCCAAATTTATATCTCTTGCTTGTACCTGTCCCCTGAGCTCTAAATAGCCCATTTAACCCACCACTTGGATATTTAAAAAACTCCTCAGACTTAATATATTCCAGATAGAGCCCTATGCCAAATCTCCTCTACCTACAACCTTTCTTTTCTCAGTAAATGCCAGTTCCATCCTTTCAGGTGTTCAGGCCTGAGATCTCCCTTTCCTCCTTCTTTCTCACCCAAACCCAATTCAATGACAAATTTCATCAGCTTTACTTTCAAATTATATCCAGAATGTTACCACTTCTTAGGACCCTACCTCTATCGCCCTGGTCCCAATCTGTCCTTCGGATGACACAATAGTTCCCAAATTCCCCCTTTCCATTTTTGACACCCTCCCCAAACCAACCAGCCAGAGGAAACTTTTAAAGACCTGTCTCAGGTTTTAGGTCACACTCCTCAAGCCTCCAAAGGCTCCCATCTCTGCTAGAGGAAAAGCTAAATCAAATCCTTACAACAACCAATGAAGCCTTCCCATTGCGTCCCCTTCAGCTTCTGACGCAGATCCTACTTGCCCCTCCCTCCCTCTCTCTGCTCCTGCCTCACCTGATTCCTGCCTGCATCCTAAACATGCCAGGGACTTGAACACTCAAGACCTCTGCATCAGCCATTCCTTCTGCCTGGCATGCTCACCTCTAGTCAATTTTTATGATGTGCTTCCTTACATTCTTTGTCCTGCTCAAATGTCACCTTCTCAATGAGTTTCTCTGGCTCTTTCATCTCAAGTTTGTCATCCACCCTCCTCAGGTTCAACATACACACACTCCTCACTCTTCTTCACTGTTTGACTCATCTCAGCACTCATCATCTTCCATTATTCCATTTTACCTTATTTATTGCCTCTCCACCAATCCATGAGGGGAGGTTTTGTCTCCTTTGCACCCTAGGGTATCATTAATACTTAGAAAAATGCCTGGCCCTCAATAAGATTTGAAGAGTGGACACTTAGATAGATGACTGGATGAATGGATGGATGGGTGGGTGAATGGACAGGTGGATGGATGTACAGATGGATGGGTGGATTAAAGGACAGGTGGGTGGATGTAAAGATGGATGGGTGGATGAAAGGACAGGTGGGGGGATGTACAGATGGATGGGTGGGTGAAGGGACAGGTGGGTGGATGTACAGATGGATGGGTGGGTGAAGGGACAGGTGGGTGGATGTACAGATGGATGGGTGGATGAAGGGACAGATGAACGCATGGACAGATACATGGATGGATGGGTGGATGGATAGACAGATGGACCTTAACTTGCTAGCCTTTAGCAAGGTCTGAACTTAATTACCAATATTGTGTTTGAAAATCTGGGCAAAGACCCTGGGACACCATTTGTACCATGATTAGTGAACATCATCCAACCCTGGATATTACTTGAAATCTTTGAAAGTATCAACACAGAACTTTCTTCAGACTGGAATTATAGGTAGAGTGCTGAAACTAGTTAATACCTTTGTGTCTCTCATCCAAGTTCTTCTTCATCCCAAACTAAATTCCATGTCCCTCTGAGTCACCCACTTTATCCTACTCTCATTCCCATACCTTATTTTGCCCACCAACCCACTCATTCTCCCACTGGTGCCCCCTGGACCAACCACGTGCACTCTGCTCTCTGGAATCCCTATGGATTGATTGATTCATGTATTCATTCCATAAATTATTTACTGAGTTACCATTATGTGGTGATACAATAGTGAATGCAGTAAATTCATTTCCTGGTCTCACGGGGCTCATAACCTAGAAGAAAAGAGATATTGAACAAATATATGAGTGAAGAGTGGCACAATGGGAGACTATCCTGGGTTATTGGAACATACAAAAAAGGAAATGCTTTGAGCCCAGAGAGTTCTTGAGGAAGTCATTTCAGCAGAACCTTGAAGGATCAGTAGGAATTAACTAGCATGGGGTACTTGGGAAGCAGGGCTGAGGGCAGAAGGAACACTTACTGTTCCATTGTTAATGGGCTTCCTTCACCCCTACATTCTTCAGAGAGAACACTCTTGACTTCGCTGAGACCTGCATCTCCTCTGAGGACTTGGTGCCTGCTGCAGGGATTGCTACTTCTGCCCCTTTTTATGCCTCTGAGGCGTGGTTGGAGAGGCCAGCAGTCTTTTTCATTTCACTGTCATTTTCCAAACAGCATGGAACTTTCTGTTTTCACTTTTTCTAAAATTCATTTCCAATCCCTGTGTCCGGCCCACACCACCCTCCATATCTCTGAAATAACTTTGAAAAGTCATTTGCGACTGTATTTATGGCTGATGGAAACTTTCTTGTCCTTTTCAAACTTCACCACTTGGAGGCATTACCATTACTGTACTTACCACCGCCTCTTATACCAGCTCTCTCTGCCCTCTCTTTGTGCTCTTTCCTGTCACATCGGCAATATTTTTACTTTCCTTTGTGGGTACCTTTTCTCCTCTGGCCTCTGAAAAGTTTCTGATCCCAGGGCTCCATTCTTGTCCCTTGTGTTTCTTGCTCTGTTCTCTCCGCCTGAATGACCTCAACTTTAACTGTAGTTTTTGTATATTGACAAAATTTGTATATTGGCAAATTACTAATGAATAGGTCTAGCCTAGAATTTAGCTGACATGTATTTCTAAGGGTATAATGTCAAGACAGCCCCTTAACATCATCACATTCAAAGCTGAACTCACCATGCCTTTTCCTTTTCCTACCAGGTGTTCCTCCTCCAATATTTGATATCTCTGGGAATGACTTTTTTATTTTTATTTTTATTTATTATTATTATTATTTTTGAGGTGGAGTCTTGCTCTGTCACCCAAGCTGGAGTGAAATGGTGCGATCTTGGCTCACTGCAACCTCTGCCTCCCAGGCTCTAGCAATTCTCCTGCCTCAGTCTCCCGAGTAGCTGGGACTAGCAGGTGCACACAGCCATGCCCAGCTAATATTTTGTATTTTAGTAGAGATGGGGTTTCACTGCGTTGCCCCAGGCTGGTCTCAAACTCCTGAGCTCAGGCAATCCACCTGCCTCGGCCTCCCAAAGTGCTAGGATTACAGGCGTGAGCCACCACGTCCGGCCGGGAATGATTCTTTACCACCCCAATTTGAGAGCTGTCCTAAACTCTTGCTCTTCTTTCCATTCCAATGCAAAATAAGTAAACGCATCCAACTGATTCTCCTTTTAAGCATAGAAATACAGTTTGTTCTTCCTTCCTTCTTTATTCTAACATTCGTTTTCTAAATTCTAGCCCTTATCACTTATTGATAGGGTTACTGAGGAAGCCTCCTAACATGGTATCCCAACTTCTTGTTGGTCACTTCTGATCATCTATGCTACTAACATAAAAATCTAGGACCTAAACTGACTCTTGCATTTAATTAGAATGAAGATTGGGTTGCATAGGGTTATGGGATAAAAGGAAAACTTGCCTCTATTTCTCTTCCTTCATCTTGATCTCTTTTCTCTATACAAATTCCTATCAACTGCAGTTCCTTGGATCACTATTAATCCTCAAATATTCTTCTGAGTTCTTCCATAGACAAACAAACAATGCCATGGATATGATTTCTGCTAAATACACTTAAAATCAAATTAAAATAAAAAGGTTAAACCTCATTTATATATTTCTCTTCATTTTAGAAAATCTACCTTTAAAGAATGGTGAGCCATAGCTGAACCTGCTAGGATTTTCAATGGGGATCCTGTCCTGCACAAATGTTCAGATGTGCCTCATCCCATTTCCCAACATATTGTTTCCTTCATATAGCTCTTTGTTTGAAGATCCACAGATTGTGTCGCACTTTTTATCATATAATTTCAACATGTAGTATGATATTTTGTTCTTTTAACAAAACTATGATTTAATTCATCTAGTTTTAAAATGTTCTTTTACTGGAAAAACTTTATACATTAATTTTTAATATTTTTTGTTATAATTCATCTGTAAGATCATCTTTGCTTTATACTTGATTCTGAATGTAAAATATCTCATAATCTCTTATAGTATTAGGTCAATGTGTTATTATTTTAAAGTGTTCTGTGTTCAACGAGGCTCAGAAAATGCTGGCCTCAAGACCTCTGAGGACCTCTGTCATTTCCAGAAACATGTGGACTTTTTGCTTCAAAAAGCATTCCTTGAGTAATCTGTTCTGCGGGGTACATGACATTTATACTTCTCTGAGAATATGGTGTTTGTTTTGAAATGCCTTATCTGTCTCTGCAAATGCTGTCAATACATCTGTGTTAGCACAGGACGTTCCAGAAGACAGGAAGCTTACATGTGATCTGTTCTCGTAATATGTCTAGGGCTATGACGTATTCAGTGCTAATGGACCTCAGTTACAGCACAAGGAGACAAGGTGGAGCAATAGCATTTTGTTATTGGGAACTAGGCTACACTTACTTCCTTATGCACAATAAGAGGCATCCACCTAAAGAATGATGCAAAATAGACAATCAACACAGAAATTAGGCAGACACTATCACTCTAAGAGCAGATGTTGGAGTCGCCTTGATTAGACTTTGGATCCTGGCTTTCGCACTTACTATGTGACCTCATATCTCTGTGCCTCAGTTTCCTATCTAATAAGAATAATTATGCCATAATCTCAGGTTGTTTATCTCATCGAAATGACTAATATAAAAGCTTAGCTCAGGGTCAGACACAGAGAAAGATCTCAGTAAATGGCAACTACTGTGATTAGAACCACGGTACTCTGTTAACCAAAATGAGAGACTGAGGCAAGAGTCTTAGTTAATTGAGACTTATTGAGCCAGAGCTTGAAGATGCACCCAGGAAAAACACAAGTGTAAACCAAAAATAAAATTTGGAGGTCCCTCACCCCCCAGCCCCAACCATCTGAATGGACTCCCTCCTCGGCCAGGGCACTCCAAATTTAACCTGAAAGACTGGTTCAGGCCATGACAGAAAGAGTGGTGGTCAGACATGCCTCATTATGTCCTTCTCCCTTTTGGAATTCAGGAAAAGCTGACCAGCATTAACATCAACACAGACCTTAAGTCTGATAAGAAACATTTACAATATATTTTCTTCAAAGACTGCCAACTGGAGACTTCATCAGCATGATAAAACTTTGGTCTCCACAACCTCTTATTGTCACCCATGATATAAAGTTAAGAAGAGATTATTTAAGCAGACAGTCAGGGTACGGAAATCCTTGATAAGGTTTTCCTTTTAATGAAAAGTGGCCCCCAAATCATTTTCTTTTTTTAACGAAGAGCAGCCTGTAAAATTGAGCTGCAAACATAGACAAGCAATCTAGAAGCTTGCATGGGTGAATACCAGCAGTTGTGCTAATAGGAAAAGGCTACCTGGGACTAGGCATGTTCAAAATGGAAGCTCCAACTTCCTTTCTCTTTGTCAGCCATGTGTGCAGCAGACAATATGGTGCTGGCCAAGTGGAAAGCCTATTTCCATAATAAGATTAGGGTGGGGCAACCTGCCCTCCCTGCACATTATGTAAATGTCACACCTGGTCCAACCAATCTGTGGGCCCTACGTAAATCAGACACCACCTCCTCAAGCCTGCCTATAAAATCCAGTGCACTCCCATTCTGGGCTGGAATTCCCATTTGGGAGCCCCTGTCTCTCACGAGCGAGAGAGAGCTGTTCTCCTTTCTCTTTTTTTTGTCTATTAACTGTCCACTCCCAAACTCACTCCTTGTATGTGTCCGTGTCCTTAATCTTCTTGGCATGAGACAATAAACCCCAAGTATTTACCCCAGTCAGTGACACTGCTTCACCGAGACATTCCTTTCTATTGATAACTCTTTCAACCAACTGCCAATCAGAAAATTTTGAAATCTACCTGTAACCTGGAAACCCTCCTACTTCAAGTTGTCTCGCCTTTCTGGACTGTACCAATGTATATCTTAAATGTGTTTGACTGATATCTCAAGTCTCCCTAAAATGTATAAAACCAACCACCACCCCTACCACCTTGGGCACATGTTCTCAGGGTCTCCTGAGGGCTGTGTTATGGGCCATGGCTTGTCTCAGAATAAATATTTTCAAATATTTTACAGAGTTTGACTCCTTTCATCAACACAAGTCACAGCAAACATCTGTGGCTTGAGCTCTCTGAAGAGGTTTTCAGGAGCTTAGTATTCATACAGTTCCCTAAAGGAGAGAAGGCTATAGGAAGAGGGGAGGGCACGTGTAAAGCAAATGGTTACATTTTTGCGAGACTTTAGTTAGTGCTCAGTAAATCTATATTTTATATAAGGTAAGGTGAATGCCTGAAGAAAAAGGGAGTAAATAAAGACTCAATTATGCACATGTCTCAGGGTAGGTGGAGGAATGATTGATCTCATCTTGTCTTCATTCTGTACCTGGAAGAGAAAATCCTGTACCTGGAAGAGAACAAAGACAAGGTGATGCTCTGGTATCTGGAAGATAAACTTGTAATCCACATTGTCAGTGTGAAATCTAACAGACTTCAGTTTTAGGAGCTAGACTTACATTGCAGACCTAAAGTTACAATTGACATGTCCTTGTTTTATGAGAGGATATACATCTTGAAAAGTTTCAACGCCAGCAAAGAACAATCTGTGAGGGCAGCCATCTGGCCATGCTTGAGGCTTTTTGCCTTTCCATGGGGGGTCTGGCTAATGTACAATGTTTTGATGCCAGTTTGTGCAATAATAGCTACTCACCTGGGAAAAGGATGGAGGTGTTCAGTGACTCCGTGTGCAGGCTTAACTCTCCCTTTAGCATAATGAGTTTGGGGATCTTGAGATTTTTAATTTTTTTTACAGCTCCTTGTCAAATATAACATTCTCCTTCATTGCCCTGACTTAGTTTTATATAAAGTGGTGGAACGCCAAATGTGGTGGCTCATGCATGTCATCCCAGCACTTTGGGAAGCTGAGGCAGGAGGATCGCTTGAGCTCAGGAGTCCAAGACCAGCTGGGCAACATAGGAAGACCCTACCTCTACAGAAAATAAAAAAATTAGCCAGTCATGGTGGTGCATGCCTGTGGTTCCAGTTACTCAGGAGCCTGAGGTGGGAGGATTGCTTGAGCCCAGGAGGTTGAAGGCTGCAGTGAGTGGTGTTCATGCCATTGCATTCCAGCTTGCATGGCAGAGCAAGAAACTGTCTCAAAAAAAAAAATGTGGAACTGTCTCTTTGTTATACTAATACATGTAGAAATATTGAGTATCTTGAATTAAGCAGCTGCTGTGATCATTAAAAAAATGTTAGCTTTTTGGATCTCTGTTGAGATAATGTGTGATTCTAGAGGAGGCGCTGCCTATGGTTGTGGTTCTTCTCAACTTTTCCTGTAAGGTACATGACATGGTTGTCAATGTCAATGCACATCAGCTGAACACCTGTCCTTTTATGTCAGGGTTTCTCACCCCAAAGAAGGTGTCAGGAAACCACTGGTCCTATTCTCCAGTTCCTAGAAAGACCACTTCCTAGGGTGTAATGACTGAAAAATGGGCATAGAAAAAAAATCTACACTCACCTTTTACCTTTTTAAACTTTCAGCTGAGTTTGAATCAATATAGGTGAATTGAATTTCTGACCCATTAATAAGTCTCTGGGACTGACCTCTCTTGTTGAATGCAAGGGTTTCCTCTCATGTCAAAACATGTGAAGTGGGGACAGTCTTGTTGCCTGTTTGCTAGGAGCTGTCCACTCAGGGATGCTGCAGTCATTTTCCCAGTGTTTTCAGCTGGATAGGTCTCTCTGGGGTTGGTGAGGAAGAGTAATCTTGGCTGAAGTTGAATGCTGGTCTGCACATGCTACATGCAAATGAGGAGCCACTGTCAACAGGGATTGCTCCAGTAATCTGACAATAGGTGCAAGACTATGACTGCCGCAGTAGATCTGAAAGGAGCCTGGGAGCACAATGAGCCATTGTAAGAGGGAATTCTCCTCAATGGCATTCCCATTGAATGGCCCTGCAAAATAAATGTGGATTTTTGCCTTTAGGTCAAAATTAGGTCCTTAGATAATAGTACATGTTTCTCCATTAAAAAAAATTTTCACAATTATTATAGATACTACCTGCTTCATCAACCCAGGGAGCTCAGGAGTGTTGCCACTGCTCTTCCCCACCACATGGGTCGTAATGGGAAATGGCCATTGCTGCCACGAGGCACTCATAGCCTTGGAGGTTCTCTCTTTTTGGTTTGCAATTCCAGATGAAGTTTCCATTATCGTTCAATGGACCACAACTGTGCTGGGGACTCTGGTGACCAGTCCACACTCATAATTGAGGGACTTGGGTGGGGTCACCCTCCTGCCTTGTAATGTGCCCTCTCTAACTTGGAACCCCTGGGAACAGTCTCTCTCTACCAAGATACCTCTAGGCTGTGTAGCACACAAGCAGCTTTCACTAAGCCCATCAAAATGAAATGCTCAGTTGTATTCTTCTCTGGGCAAGGAATGTCAACTCACCTAAGAAGGTTTCCGCTGTTGTTTCACAAGCCTCCGGGTAGTTGTTGTACATAGACAGAGCAAGCTTTCTTTCAGAGCTCTCTTTTTTCCTTTTCTTTTCTTTTGTTTTAAATGAACACCATTTCTTCTTTAGTGGCTAATCTAACAGCATTCTTAGAAACAGTGCGTTTCTATTCCCTGGGAAAGGTGACGCATGCCTGTAGTCCCAGCTACTCACGAGGCTGAGGCTGGAGAATCACTTGAACCCGGGAAGTGGAGGTTGCAGTGAGCTTAGATCGTGTCACTGCACTCCAGCCTGGGTGAAAGAGTGAGACTCCATCTCAAAAAACAAACAAACAAACAAACAAATAAATAAATAAATAAATAAATAAGAAAAAAACCCCAGTAAAACAGTGCATATCTTTTGAAATTTCCTTTAGGTTTCTTTTGAGGTTTTTTTTTTTTTTTTGTCTCTACCCAAAAAAATTGCTGACTTACTATGTGATAAGGTCATTCATTCTCTCTATCTGTTCTGTTCTGTGATAAAAATCAACCACCCCTAGTGTTTGAACCCACAGGTTAAGTACTTGAGATCCACAATCTTAATCAGAAGTTATACAATTAGTGATCCATAATTAACATAAAGCCACTAAGCAGAGAATGATTCTCTCTGCTGGAGGGATTGTGTACAGGCCTCCTGAACCCAAGAGGGAGTTCCTTCAACAATAAAGACTCTCCTTCATGTTATAAAGAGGAACAGAATGTGGGCAGCTAACCTCCTGTTGCCAGCCCTCACCCCTGCCTCACCCTGCAGCTTAAGAATACTAGAACAAAAAGTCTCAAGCACACATGCCCTGCAGCTTTTACAATTCACACTCCTAGAAGAGACACAGAATAAGGAGAGAAAAAGATGAATTTCTGCCTAAAATCTCACACACTAGTGACTCCCAGCCTTGTTTTCCAATGGGGGTAGAAGAGTACAGCCTTTAAGGCACTTATAGGTCAACCTAGTGTTTTGAAGTCTGCAGACTCACATGCTGAAATTCAGAGGTGACACCTCTAAGAGATGATTCCCAGTGAACTACTCACCCAGAGAGTAGGAATGCCGCTCAGCTGAGAGCACAGGAGACCAGCTGCTGCCACTCGCGTGAGTCAGGGGGTTTGGTTTCTCCTTTTAGGACTCTGCCTCTCAGATGTCACTATTGTCACTTGCCTGGCAGTCTCCCAGCTAAGGCAGTGCATGTTGGACATTTGGAAATGTTATTTGCATCTCTCCTCTCTAAAAAACCTCCCTGAGTAAGGAAAGAGAGTATAGAAGGGAATAAGTTTCCTCCAGGACATGACAAGCATAGAACCACAATTATCCTTAAGAGGAAATATTTCAACCAAATGTGATGATCAGAGGCTGAGGACATTGTGCAAGAATCACAGACTAGTTGGGGTCTTGGCAAGGCTAATGTGAGATGTTCTTTTCTTTGCATTTTCTGTCTATGCTCCCTCCTCTAGGCAAATTAGACTCTTTCTGTGGTCTTGGGATGACAACACACAACATGGGTCTGGAATGTGCTGTGTCCTGGGCTTTGAGAACATATAGCCGACCCTCTTTATTCACAGATTCCATCTGCAAATTTGTAAAATTTATTTATAATTATAAAATCAATAGAGGGAAACTTTTTTGGTCATGTATGGACATGCACAGAATGGCCAAAAAAATTTACTTGACCAACATGCACCTCCCCAGCTGAGGTGGAACAACGCTGGAATTGGGATATTATTATATTGTCTTTTGGGTTTATTGTTTAATTTCTGCTGGTCTATTTGGATATTGTAATTGGGCATAACAATATGAGAATATTAGGCCATGAATTTTTGCCCCAGTTGCAGAACTGCATTTAACGTCCCTTGGCGACCCATTGCAGAGTTATTTGGGAGCCAAAGCTGAACTCTCCCTTCCGAACATAGGAGTAGTGGGTGCTTTTTTAAGGAACAGCCTGAAAATGTGGGAGCAGGGCTTAGCCAACTAGCTACTGCTCTCTTCTCTCAAAGGAGACAGTCAAGTTCAATCTGCACACAATTTAATTCACAAAGAATCCAGCTTGCAGGGTAGGCGGAGCAGCTTCAAAACTTCCGGCCTCCTGCTTTATCTTCCTCAAGTGGGCACCTAGTTTAGTGCTTCGTGGATACCTGAGAAATAGGACCTGATGCTGGAGAAGTGGGCAGATAGTGTGAGGCGCATCTCAGACTCGGTGGCCTGATCAGTGAGTTGAGAATGAGGCTTCATCTGCAGGGGGCACCTGAGGCAGGCAGGCACCTGGTTAGAAGGTGCCGTGAAGGGGTGCGGTGCTGTAGGAACTTCAGCCTGATGGTCACATGCACACCCAAGGAGTTGCTTCCAACCAGCTCATTGTGCGTGAGAGCAGAGGTAATTTCTAGATTCTCCCTGTTAGGGAAGAGGGGCCTCTTCACAGCCAAGGGTCTCACCATTCCAGTTCCTCTTCCATAAGTTGACAAACTCCTGTCTCTTAGAAGAGGCTGAGCTGGGGCAAATAGACGGATTCCATGATCAAACTCTTCTCAGACATGCATTAACACGTGGCAGGATGAGAAGTGGTTTTTATTTCTTCTTTGCATTTTTCATTTGCATATATGATACATTAGAGATTACAGATATCATTTTATATTAAAATACATATGTTATAAGTTATATTACATATTTTAACATATTATGATTTTTATTCATTAAAAATATTTAATGCGTTATACATACCATTTTGTATTCAGGAAAAACACATTTAATTTAAAAATAAATAGAGTACAGCATTTGCGATTCTGCAAAAGGTAGAGTTGGCATGAAGTTCTGAAGCATTTCATGGGCAATAGAAATTTAAAATTAGGGGGCTAAAGTTTTCAAAGAGTGATCAATGTTTAGTCTCTGCATGGGTCCACTGAAATCAAACTAGAATTAAACCTAGTCTGGTTCCACAACAGCCTCCTTCCAGATCCCACTGCAACGTATAATCTTCTAGAACATTCCAAAACCCACTAGTCCACTCAAACCCACAAGCCATCCCTTTATTTCTGTGAACATTACAGGTTTGAATGCTTGTTATTCAGCCCTCTTCAAACAGAAGGTAGAATTCTTAAGAACACACTTCACTTTCTTATTCTGCTTCTACTGTGCTGTCCTCAGACTTGTTTCTGTCTGATTCCACTTACTTTCAATGCTTGGCTGAGACAGTCTGTGCAAGCCAGTGGATAGACGTGAGTGTTGTCAGGAAGTGTGGTAAAGTGTTGAAAATGAAGTTTGGAGCTAGGCTGTTTGGTTTTATACCCCAGTTCCATTCTTTACTAACTTCATGACATTGGGCAAATTATCTGTATGTAAGTTTCCTTGTCCTACAAAGTGTCTACAATGCCTACCTACAGGTAGGACTAATCTGAAGAAAGCAGATAATGCCTGTAATATGCTTGGCAAAGAGTCTGCCCTACAGCAAGCTCCTAAGATTTGGTCCTTCTCATATATTTAACCAGGACAGAAGAATAATTGATGAGTGATTCTATCTTTAGTAAATGGCAGAACTTTTTAAAAAAGAGCATATATTTTTTATGCACATATATTTGGGCGCCTCATATGGGCCATGCAACTTGTGCTTCCTATAATACTCAAAGAAAGCTTTGGGAAATCTGCTGAAAAGTTTTCATAGGTAAGCTATTCCAGCAAGACTAATCACCAGTGGGTGAAACCAAGAGGCCACTGTATGCTTTCAGGGGTACCTAGTGTTTTACTGAAGCAGCTATTGCTCCATGGGCAACAGCAATTGAGTTAATGCCTGTACAAGGAAAGATTGTACATTAGTATCATTAACCTTGAGTGTAAGTCTTTAAAAATTCATGTGGAATGTTTTTATAACCAAATTTGGATTGATAGTATCACTGTGAGTTAGCATCTATCATGCACCCACAATGATGTTGCAGAATTATAGTCCCTAGAAACACCTTGTCACAATTATCTGACTGTGAATCTCAAATCCCGCTCTCTTCTGCTTTGTACATAAACAGGATTGCCAGCCGAAAAGTGTTTGGAGCTGCTAAGAGAGTTTGCTTCTCAAAGGGTGTGTTTTCTCAAGGTGGCTCTTCTTTTGGAAGATTCAATGTATATACTATTGTTTGCATGGGCAAAAAGGGTAACATCAGAACCCAAGGAGGTATTGGTGGGATAATTGATTCATCCATTCAAATGTTCTGGGTCAGGCATTCCTTTTCAAACTATTTTCTTTTAATCAGAAATAGCTCTAGAAGGCAACCATAGCTATACAAAGGACAGAAACTAATAACTTAAAAGGAGAAAAGGAATAAAAGTTGAAACATATCATTTCCTAATATAAATTAGCAAAATCACAGTTATGGAATTTTTAGAATTTCTATGGAATTTCCTAGCTCTTTCATTGGGATTAAAATAGAGGCTTTTTGATATTTGGTCTAATGTTCTTACCAAGGATTGCATCTGTCCTGCTATTTAGGCTTCCAATTCCATCCCCTATCTTACAGCAAATAGCACCAATCCATCATGGAACTCTAACACTGAGCCTGAATGGATTTTCAGTATCCCTTTCAACAGTGCTTCAGGGAGCCCTTGCCAAAGGATCAGAGTTGGCAACAAGTGAATCTATTAGTCATTTTGATTTTTCTTTCGTCTTCCCTTTTCTATTTTAATCAGCCGACCACATATTAGTATAGCAACATGTTAAGAAGATGATTTTGAGAAACTGCTATCAGGGAACTTGGTATGTGGCTCTTGGAGTGACAGAGGTCTGACACTGAATGTGGTTATTGCTGTGAAAATGGAGATGACTGGGAATACAGGAAATTTCTGGTCTGGGTGTGTGTGCACTTGAGAGGCTGGAGAGCAGGGTGGGTGCAGAAAGCAGGGAGGTAACAAGAAGAAGATGACATCAGAATGTGAGATATAGGGAACTTGAAATAGAGAACAATGGCAAAGAGAGCATATAGGAATGATTTACTTTAACTTTGGATATGATAAGTTGTTAGCTTCAGCAAGAAACTCATCTGTATTTGGATTTCAAAATAACCAGCAATAAAAGCTTAGGTAGAGGAAAAAGCACTTGGATGGGCTCGAGAAATGCATTGGGAAGCCATCTACCAGGCGGATATGAAATCACGAGGTAAGTGAGACTGTGAGTGGGAACAGCCAGGCTGCAAAGGAGAGACCTGAGCTGGAAAAGTGAGACCCATGGCTCCGATTGAGTCCTGAGGGATGTCCACAGGGAAATGCTGGGTGGAGGAAGACAGTCAGCAAAATGAAGCAGAGGAGAGTTTTCTGAGAAGTATTGGCTGCTGAGGAATATATGCAAAAATAGAGTTACTCTCTTTAGTAAATACATATTATAGAGTCAGAGTGATTAAAAGTGTCCATATCAGAGAAATCAGCAGAAGAGAGAGATCAGACAAATTGGTCACTGGATTTGGCCAAGTTGAGATCGTTGGCGGTCATAGAATGAAAGACTTGGGTTGCTCTCCATCTTCTTTTCAGACAAGCTGCCTCCATGTTCTCATTTTTCCTGATGTACCTGTTAACTCCATAGAAACCATCTCAGGGTAGGCAATAATCACCTCCCTGCACTAGATCCTTAGGCCTCTTCTCATCTAGCCTTTTATCAGCATTTGACACTGTTGACACTCTTTTTAAGCTCTTTCTTTCTTGGCCTCTGAGCTGCAAAATCTCTTTGTTTTTCTATTAACTGCTTGGCTGCTCTTCCATGCATCTTTAGCCTCTCCGTGGCAGTTCTGTGTTAAATCTGTCCAAAGCTTTAGGTGCATCCTTCTTCTCACCTTATATTCTCTCTTTGACACCATTTGCATCTGGGGTTAATATCACCATTTAAATACTAATAACTCCTATATTTATATCTCCAGTCCTAATTTCTCTTTGAGTCCATTCAGCTGCCTACTCACCTTTTTGCTTGGATGCTTCAAAGTGTCTCTCAATTCAACATTCTCAAAGGCAAGTTTAAGTTATCCTTTCCACAAAACACAGTGAGCAAATTGGTCCACTTCCTCTGTCTTGTGGCTTAGTAAGTAGCACTGGCATCCATTCTGTTGCATAAGCCAAGAACCCAGTAGTCATCTTCACCATCTCTTTTTTTGTCTAATATCAATGTTATCAGGAAGTCTCACTAATTTTATCTCTTACCTATCTTTTCTCCACCTCTACTACTACCACCTTCATTCAAGCTATCATTATTTCTCGCCATTGCTACTACAATAACCTTATTACTGATTTTGCTCTTTCAAACATTGTTCTCAATTCTTTGATACATTTCTCATTGATCCATGAAGTCTATGCTCTATTCCCATGAATCTGCATGCACTTGGGACTGCACTGATCAAAAGAGTATCATTAAAGTAGCACCACGTGACTTTGGAGCTTGGTCATAAAAAGCAATGCAGCTTTATCTTGCTTGCTGGAGCATTCACGTTAGGAGCCCTGAGATCGCCATGCCATCAGGAAACCAAGCCATACGGAGAGATCATGTGTAGGCATTCTGGTTGGCAGTTCTAGTCTTTGTGTTATCTTAGCCAAGGCCCAGACAAGTGAGTAAGCAAGCTTTTTGATAATTCCAGTTCCTGGCCTTCAAGTCACTCCCAAGTTTTTGATTCTTCCCATCTCAAAGCCCCAGACATTATAGAGCAGCTATCCACTTTCTCTTTCTACCTTTCACCCTCATGGCCTGTCCAAATTCCAGAAGCATAGAGTCACTTTGCATAATAATAAAGTTGCTGTAAGCTGATGTATTTTGAAGTAACTAGTTACGCAGCAACAGTAAGTGAAACACTGATATATCTTATTTATCTTTGTACATTTCTATTCCTCTCAATAACTTCCCTACTTAAAACTCTTCAATTATGTCCCACTGCTCTTAGGCTAAAGATCAAAATTCTGAACCTAGCCTAGAGGACTCCATAAGGCTTCTCCATCCCCATCTTGCAGCACATACTGTTTTCCAGCCACACTGGCCTGCTTTTGAGTTTTCTGAATTTGCCATACTCCTTCCTGTTATAGCACTTTGCACCGTTCAATGCTCTTTGCTCCTCTCTCATGCTATTAATGGAAACTCATCTTCAGCTCATGGATTAATTTGGCTTCCTTGGGGAGACTTCCCTTGACTGCACAGTCTAGGTCAACAGAATCTAAAATGAATTGAAATGAGAAGCATGAATACATTTTACATGTTGGTTTTTTTTTTGTGTGTTGTTGTTTGTTTGGTTTGTGTCTCTTTCTCATGCAAAACTGCCTTACTCTACTAGGGCAGATATCACGTCTGCTTTTGCTTCCAGTAATATTCTTGCTGCATTGCATGGAGCTAAATACATAACACATGACACAAACTCAGTATATATGTATTTGTAGAATGAAGGAACAAACCTTTGTGGTCTATTTACAAGGCCAACATCTTTAACCATTGAACTCTATTTAATAGACGGAGGTTGTGGGAAAGATAGAGAGATGAATCAGTCATAAATCCACCCTTGAGGAAATTGCCAGCCAGTTGGAGAATTAGAAAAGGTACATAAATACCTCTGATGGTTAAGCTTCTATTACATAACAGAGTCTATGCTGGGTGCTTTATATAAACTATTCTATTTATGCTTTAAAATCCCTACAAGGTAGGAATTGATATAACTCTTATTTTACAGATTAGAGAACCAAAGCTCAGAGAGAATAAATAACTAGTCCAAGGTTACATAGCTAGTAAGTGACTCAGGTAGGATTCAAAACAAATCTCTGGTTCTAATAACTGGGCTGAAAACATTAGTTTTGTTTTTTTTTTTTTTAATAGAAGATACTTTGAAAGAGCAGAAGTAGGAGATAAAGTAGATTGGATCCAATTTTCAAGCTAAGGAATTTTGATTCTATTCTGCAAACAGTAGTAATCTATTAAATGATTTTGAGCAGGACACGGTCATAATCAAAAGTGATTCTTCAGCACCATGATAGAATATCTGAGGTTAGACTAGACTTCTCACCATAAACAACTGGGACACTGAACAGCACACATGAAAAATCTACCAGACTTTGGACAACAGGCACTGTATTCCTTGAAAGGAAGGAAGTAGGTAACTCCCACATTACCCCAGCTTTTTGCCTGGAGGCACTTTCTGAATTGTGCAGGGCAAGGAGCAGAGCACAAACATTACAGTGGTCGTGCTTATCAGAGAGGACAGCGATCTGAGTTTGAGATTATGGAGGTAGCTTATATTTTTAGGAAAGGATACCAGAGAGAAGAAAACTAAGACAAGTACCAGGTAAGTACCAGAAATCTGCATAAGAGTACTTTTGGGGATTTGGACAAATATTAAGCTGTATATGCACAGGGTGAGACTCCACAGTGCTAGGCAAAATCCCACTATCAAGCAAAGAACAATGACAAGGAAGCTGTGAGCTGAAAATAGAGTCTAGTGTTCTCCCAAAGGTAGAATACATTCAAGTTCTAGCAAACCAGAGTAGAGAGACATTATTGAAATTTTGAGTATTCAGAGGAGACCCTGAAAGAAGCATACATTAAGAGAACAGTTAATGTACCATGAGTAAATGTTGCTCCAGACTCATCCTAGTAAAGCTATATAAAAAGCTTTCAAAGGATTAAATTGATCCACAAGTAAATTACTCCTTACTAGAATAAGATTCAAAATTCAAGGAAAATAAACTTCAAACACACAATAACATAGCATCTAAAATGTGCAACATACAATTAAAAAGTACTAGACCCTCAAAAAAGCAGGAAAATACAACCCAAAACCAAGAGAAAAAATCAGTAAATGGGAATAGACACAGATAGAGATGATGAAATTAGCAGACAAAGATTTTTTAAACAGTTATTTTAATCATGTTCAAAGATTTAAGGAAAATACGATCACAGTAGAGGATCACATAAGGCATCTAAACAGAGAAATAGAAAGACCAAAGTAAAAGAAGCAGGTGAAAATTTTATAACCAAAAAATAACAGTATCTGCAATGAAAAAGTTGCTGAATGTGCCTAACAGCAGAATAAACCACATAGAATTAAAAAAAATCAGTGGACTTGAAGACAGGGTAATTGAAAATAAGAGACTGTAGTGTACAGAGGGGGAAGAAAGGCTGGAAAACTAAATAAAAGAGATCCAAGGACTTGTAGGACAATATTAAGGAGTTTAACGCACCCGCAGTTGGAGTCTCAGAAGGAATAATGAAAGATTAAGACACAAACAAATTTTTTTGGAGAAATGATCAAGGAAAAATTTCAAAATTTAGGCTGGACATGATGGCTCATGCGTGTAATCCCAGCACTTTGCGAGGCCGAGGCGGGTGGATCACCAGAGGTCAGGAGTTCCAGAGCAGCTTGGCCAACATGGTGAAACCCCATCTCTACTAAAAATGCAAAAGTTAGCCGAGAGTGGCGGGCTTCTGTAGTCCCAGCTACTCGGGAGGCTGAGGCAGGAGAATCACTTGAGCCCAGGAGGTAGAGGTTGCAGTGAGCTGAGATTATACCACTGCACTCCAGCCTGGGCAATAGAGCGAGACTCCGTCTCAAAAAATATATATATTGATTAAAAAATCCTCCACAGTTTCAAGAAGTTCAACAATCATACATAGATTAAAAACAAAAAAGTTGCAGCATAATCAAATTGTTGAAAACCAGTGATTAACAGAAAATTTAGGCCTGAAAGGAGGAAAATACATTGCATGCAACAGAAGAATGATAAGATTGATTACTGCATTGTTGCCAGAAACAATACCAGCCAGAAAACAATGGAACATCTTTAATATACTAAAAAACAAAGAAACGAAAACATCAGTAAACATATAATTTTATATTCAGAGAAAAAAATATTTTTAAAATTAAGGTAAAATAAAAACATTTGTGCAAATCAAAGATGAGAAAATTTATTACTAGCAAAACTTCAGATAAGAGAAGTTAAGGGAATTTCTTCAGGGTAAAGTAAAATGATGCCAAGTGGAAACTCAAGCCTCCATGAAGAAATGAAGAGTACAGGAAATGGCAAGTAAGTAAGAAAATATAAAATAAATTTTGTCTGTTTATAGTTGATTTAAAACATAAGTGACTATTTAAAGTAAAAAACAACCAGCCATGCACTGTGAGATCTTAACATATGTAGAAGTAAAATGTGTGATAATAGCACAATGAGGAGGATAAAATATATTGTTTTAATGTTCATTCAGTTTATTTATGTGGCAAAATACTTACATGGTATAATACTATCTGAAGGAAGATTATGATGATTTACAAATGCGTGTTGTAAACCCTAGCAACCAGTAAGAACAATACAAATAAAACAATGGAGTTGAGATGATAAGCCCAATAGAGGAGAAAAACAGAATGTAAAAATAGTTAATCCAAAAGAAGTCAGGAACTGATGAAAAAAAAAACAAAAACAGAAGACAAATGGGAAACCACAGCAAGATGGCAGACAGAAGCCAACAATATCAATATTTACATTACAAGTAAATGGACTAAATAGCCCAATTAAAGACAGAAATTGCCAGACTGGATAATAAAAGCAAGTTCCAACTGTATACTGTTTTTGAGACATACTTTCAATAAAAAGACATAATTAAAAATAGAAAGATGGTAAAAATATACAATGTATACCACATAAACTCTATTTGTTAGAAAGCTGGAGAGGCTATATTAATAGCAGACAATGTGGATTTTAGGACAAGCAGTACTGTCCTGTCAGAGAAAAAGGAAGACATTTTATAATATTAAATCGGGGCGATTCGTTAAAACAGGAACAATTCTGTTGAGTACATGTACTTAATAACAGCTTCAAAATACAAGATATGAAGTGAGAAATAGACAAATTGCAATTATAATTAGATATCATTTAAATTTTCTTTCAGTAATAATATGCAAAAAACTCTGCCTAATATAGAAAACTTAATAGACATGGATAATTGACTCAAACTAATTGACATTTACAGCACACTTTACCCAACAACCATATAATACATATTCAAGTGCACATGGGCCTTCTCCCTCACACCCCCGCCCCCACGACTCTCATCACCCACTTTGGGGGAAGCCATGCCATGAGCATCTATACTGAAGCGCAAGATGAGCATCAAGCGAATGAGCTTGGGAGTGAATCCTCCAGTTCCAACCAAGTCCTTTGAGACTGTGGCTCTGGCCACCAGCTGGACTAACAGCTTATGAGTCAGCCAGATCCAGAACCACCCACCTCGGCTACTCTCAGATTCCTGACCCTCAGGAGCCATGTGAGATAATGAAGCAAAATGCTCATTGTTTCAAATATCTAAGTTTTGGAAGATAATTTGTCATTCAGCAATATATAATTAATATAGGTAGTCACAGGGGAGCTTTTGGGAATAATGGAAATGCTGTATATTTTAACAGAGGCATTGGTTATACAGGTTTTTGTCTTTGTCAAAAAATCAGAGATCTGTGAATTTCACTGTATGTAAATTGTAACTCAATACCATAAAATCTATATATTAAAATATTTAGATTTGGAAAATTTCATCCAATGGAAAAGTTCATGAAAAGGTGAGCATTGGGTTTTTAGAGACGAATTTGTGGAAAGTTTTGCATATTTCAGAAATTTCCCAGAATTATGCATGAGTGATTTTTCAAAAAATATAGGTGCAGGATTTGTATGTAAGTATCCAACAGACAACACCTGGGGTGATCCTGTGAATGTAGAGGAAGACGTGATCTTAAATGGACCAGGGAAGTAAGACCTTAGGATGTACCAGCCAGCTGAGTGGCAGGTAATATTGATTCTCATGTTTCACCCCATGTTCGGTCACTTGTGAGCAGATTCTTCAGTTCAATTCTCTGGCTAGTTAATTTGGTCTGGGAGTCACACCAGAAAATGTTTCTGAAAATAGGTACCTATTGTGAAAAGTATAATCCTCTTTGCTATTGTGAGTAGTGCTGCAATAAACATACATGTGCATGTGTCTTTATAGCAGCATGATTTATATTCCCTTGGGTATATACCCAGTAATGGGATGGCTGGGTCAAATGATATTTCTGGTTCTAGATCCCTGAGGGGAGCGGGGAGGGATAGCATTAGGAGATATACCTAATGTAAATGACGAGTTACTGGGTGCAGCACACCAACGTGGCACATGTATACATATGTAACAAACCTCCACGTTATGCACATGTACCCTAGAACTTAAAGTATAATAAAAAATATATATAAAGTATAATCATCAAATTGTTAAAATCATGATTCTCATGAAGTAGATTGTGTCTGTTGAAGTTTAATTAATGAAGGAAACAACAGGATGTCAGGACTGAATCCATAAGGATCTGAGAAACTGGTATTTCCATAAGATGTTAAGATAATATTGATAACTGGGATACAAAACTGCTTAATGTCCTACAATGTAATAAAACAATTTCTGTTGTGTTTTGCATGAGATAGAAACAAAAATACCTCCCATTGGTCAGTTTTCTACAAGATAATCTTTAACTTTACAGGGTTGTAAAATAGCTATGCCTGAATTGTTAGTTAAAACCCCATTTTTTTTTTTAGAGAAAACAATGATCCTTAGACTCACTTACTAGAAATATGTTCTAGTTTTTTTATAAAAATAAAATAAAATAAATATTTTTATTATAAAATAATAAATATTTTTATAATAAAAATAAAAATAAAATAAAAAATATTTATTTTAAATATTTTTTTCAAGCATCAGTATACCTTATTCTTGTTCAACTTGGGGAATGGCCTTATTCAAATTGGGAATCCTCAGCTCATCTTTGTCTTTGGCATTCCAGAGAATGAATGTGTTTGGGAAATTGTGTCAGCTGAGCAGTGTATACAGAAAGGGACAGGAGACCACTGAAATGGTTCAGGTTATAGTTAGATAGTTCCTGCCACTGGTTAGATCAGGAGAGTTAGATGGTTATAGTTAGATAGTTCTTTATGCTGGCAGTGGGAAACAAGAGAAGAGGACATATGAGGGAGATGCTCATGTTATTGGGAACAATATTTGGCTCCTGGTAGAATGTTAGGGGCGAGGGAGAAGATTCTAATGTGTTGAGTTCGGGAGCCGCTGCGCCATTAATAAAACCAGAAACCTTCTACAGTGCTCCAGGTGGGAGCCATTAGCATCAAAGGCGATTCTAAAATCAGTCCTGAAAGCTATTCTATCCCTTGTTCTGCATGCAGAACAGCTCCTGAGGGCCTGTTGAGGGCCCAGGGAAACTTTGGCCCAGGGCCAAGGAAGGACTGGTGTTCCCTTTTGGTTTAGCTCTGCTCACAGACAACTGCCCAGAAGGTCCAGGTTCCAAGTCACTGTGCAAGCTGACACGTGTGAGACATAGGAAGCTGTTGGGACTACAGAACCCAGGGACTCCAAACCCTGTTTAAGTACCACACCTGAGGGGAAGAAGACCCTGCTTCCCAATTAGTCAGCTGGGTAGAAGGCTGAGGATTTTTGAAAAGAGGTAGTTGGTTTAGCCTCAGCTTTCTTTAGAATAATATTGTGGTTTGAAAGTGTGCAACCTCCTAGTGTCATCATTTCCTTTTGTCCCTGACAGAACTGTCTTCACGCTGGAAATAAAAGTATGGGACAGGCTTGAAGCAGAGTTGTGAAGTAGAAGTTTGCTAGGAATCCATTTTTTATCGAAAGCCCCAGGCAACTCTGATTAATTTGGTCTGGGAGTCATACATGGAGAAATACTGTTCTAGGAGCTCATTCAGCTAACACCTCTCTCACCTAGAGGTCATGCGGGGAAAGAAATGTGTATTGCATTATAATTCATAGTAGACTGTGAATAACTAATAGGAAAAGATTCCTTTCAGCTTCTCCTGTCTAGTTAAGTTCCAGCAGGGACACACCTTTAGCTTAAAGGAATGCATTTTAGTGGTGATGGTGGTGGTGGTGGTGGTGATGGTGGTGGTGGTGGTGGTGGTGGTGTGTCTTCCTAGGTCCTCTCAAATCACATCACATGGTGGAGGGATAAAAAGAGGCAGGTAAAAAATAGCATTTGTTCTACAATTGATGAATGACTAAATGTCCTCTTGAACATAAAGAATTTATATTGGTAAAAGCTTCTCTGCTATGTGCATTAGTAAAAACAACAACATCGTGCCGGGCGCGGTGGCTCACGCCTGTAATTCCAGCGCTTTGGGAGGCCAAGGCGGGTGGATCACAAGGTCAGGAGATCGAGACCATCCTGGCTAACACGGTGAAATCCCGTCTCTACTAAAAATACAAAAAATTAGCCAGCGTGCTGGCAGGTGCCTGTAGTCCCAGCTACTCGGGAGGCTGAGGCAGGAGAATGGTGTAAGTGAACCCGGGAGGCGGAGCCTGCAGTGAGCCGAGATCAGGCCACTGCAATCCAGCCTGGGGGACAGAGCAAGACTCTGTCTCAAAAAAAAAAATCGTTTGCTGATTTAGAACTCTTCTTAAAGAGCCTCCATATGTTTAAAGAGCCATGCCTTATGACTGTATGACTATAATTTTATAAAGCGCTTTCCCTACAGTATCTTACTAAATCCTTTCAGCAATCCTGGAAGTACCATCATTATCTTTATTTTGCATATTCAAGTTCTGAAAGCCTGGTTTGCTCCAGTAAGTAGTAGAGCTAGGACCAAAACCCAAGTTTTGGTTGGGTTTTCAGCCCTGAATCTTTCAGCCCTGAACCTTTTCATAGCTGCCTCTGACTTCACAGCTCACTGCATAAAGCCTTCTTCAGACCCATCCTCTGTCAGCATCGTCTAGTCTAGCCTGTCAGGTATTTTGGCCTCCACAGGAGATCCTATTCTCAATGTTTGTAAATATTTAGCTAAATCTGTAGCAGACATCTGGTTTCATAATGAGAAAGAGCATTTTTGTTTTCATTAGGGAAAAAGAGCATGACTGGGCGCAGTAACTGCAGTTTTCATCGTGGAGAAAAAGAGAGTGAGACTTGAACTTGAAAAAGTGAAGCCAAGCAGTGCAGTTGGCAGGTGGAGGGTGGGGAGGAGGGAGAATAAAGACAAGTCAGGAGGAGAGAGAGGAAAATGATGCACAGAGAAAGAGGGAAGAGGCAAAGAGAAAGGAAGGGAGCCTGGACAGCAGAGGGGTCTCCTTCAGGAAACAGAGTTGAAGTGAAATAGTGTAATCCCCAGGTGGCAGGTACAACATTTCTCAGCACAATGACTCTGAACAACTTAATTCTTTCTTAGGGGAAGTAGTTACACGGAAAGTGTAATGTGTGCTGCACATTTGTAGTTGTGATACCATCAGAAAGAGGTACTTGCTGTGGAAAGAACTTCTCAACCCCTCCATGTAATGACCCTTGGAGAATGCATTATCAAAGCAGAGTCCTGCAGCCTGAAAGTAAACAGCATCTACTTAGAAATACAGTGACATGTAAACTTTCCCCAAATCAACAGTGAAACCAGTAGCAATAACTTTGATGAAACAAAGGGGCATTGCCGAGCTGTCAGGACACAACAGAGCACAACAGAACAGCCCCAGGTAAATATTGATAAATTAGGTTGATCTGTGTATTCTTAGTCATGGGAAGCTGGGGCAGATAACGAAACCTTGTATGTGTCCTTTATAGCTCTGTCTGATGAGTTTGGGCGACGGAGTCTTGCTCTGTCGCCCAGGCTGGAGTGCAATGGCGTGATCTCAGCTCACTGCAACCTCTGCCTCCCTGATTCAAGTGATTCTCCTGCCTCAGCCTCCTGAGTAGCTGGGATTACAGGCACGTGCCGCCACGCCAGGCTAATTTTTGTATTTTTAGTAGAGACAGGGTTTCACCATGTTGATCAGGCTGGTCTCGAACTCCTAAACTCATGATCCGCCCACCTCAGCCTCCTGAAGTGCTGGGATTACAAGCCTGAGCCACCGTGCCCAGCCTTGTTTTTTTTTAAGTGATTTTTGAGGGCAGTTTTATGGGCAGAAAAGACTCTTCGTGAATTTATTTTGATTTTAAAATTACTATTCAATTTTTCAAAGTTAAAAATGTAAAAAATCTAGTTTATTATAAATTGAAGACCAGCTTAAAAATCATATAATACCATTTATATGTCTAGCACATTTTAACAAACTTCAACACTAGGTTACTCCACTTACAAATTTGGCAAACTAAATATTTTAAGGTATTTTAAACCGCATTTATACATTTACTGTATTTGATTTTTCTTCTTAAGAACTTTGGCTAAAACCTTCCCAAGTAATGAATTAATTCTTATAAATTTAAGTTCTCTTAGAAATTTTGACGCTACATATAAGCTTAAATATTGGATATAAACTTAGTAAGGATTTCACTTAAAATCGTAAATCTAAACAATTTCCAATTATACCTTTTTAAAAAAGAGTTACATGACTTATTCTAATGGGTCAATATTTTAGGCATCACAAATACATAATTGCAAATATATAGATTCCTTAAATTATACCATGGTCTTGATTCTTATTACATAGATGTGTACATACCTTTCTACCCAGGTCTAAATACCACTGAATTCAAAATGAGTCTTGCATTCTAAGTACTTCGAAATTCTTAATGGGTATTAAAAAGTGACCCAGTTGCTTATGGATAAACCTCATAATTTGCCTTGATACTTGGTCACAAATTAAAGGTCATTCTACTGACAAATTACTTGTATACAATCTACAAAACAAATAGCATGCAATTCTCATTACAGCACACGTGTTCAGACTTTAACAAAGCTGTTTGAAGTCTACATCATCTCCTGAGTTAGAGAAGCCCCAATTGCCACATACAGATACTTAGTACTGTCATACAGAGTCACATATCTACTGGATTCTACCTGGATCTTAGGATCAAGATGCTTGTACTCAGACAAACAAATTAGGAAAGTAGCCTCCTTTGCAGAGTGGTCTAGGGGTGTTACGAGCCAAAAAATCATTCACGGTTTTATGGTTAAGAAGTGAGATGATCTGTAATGAAACCTCACAGAGATTCTGTTAAATAACAAGTGCCCAAAAGCTACTTGGAAAAGGAGTAGACTGAAGAGAAAATGAGAGAATCAAAAATAGTTTTAATTTCCTGTTAGAATCATCTCCTTTACTTTACTCTTGCATGTGTAACTGTGGAGGAGATTGTAAACATTCCCTTAGCTAACTGTACTTGTTACTCTTGATCAACATCCCTTAGTAACTGTGTATATGTGATGCTTCATGCATTAGTCAGAGTTGAGAACAAAAACAGAGTAGCTCAAACAAAACATAGGTTTATCTGTCCCTCATGTAACAACACATGGGTAGCCAGGTGCTCTAGGGATGGTAGATGGATCTGCTTCATGAAGTCACTCAGAATCCCCAATTCCTCCTACCTTGCTGCTCTGCCCTGTGTGGTCCTCATCTGTCTCACCGCTGAAGCCACCTTGCAGTTCACCTAGAAGAGAATATGTACTGTTTCTGCCAAATCTGTGCTATAGATACTAGATGCTTTTAATGGAGAGGTTAGCCAAGAAACATGACATTTCTCTTATAGGTAATAAAATACTTCTCTCTAAAGAAATACTTAGTTTAAAATTTTATTCTGCTATAGTTTTAGCAGTAGGATAAAAGCTTAGTTTGCAGAAGCGGAAATTATCCTATATTTAGGCAAAGTGAGCTATCTGTGTGTTATGATTAGAGAGAATACCAAGAAGTGATTTCCTTCCTTAAAATAACTTCTCCAAATTTCCACCATTAACTACCCATTCTTCAACTCTCTCAATTTTTCTTATTCCTCCCATGGAGGGAGTGCATGTATTTAATTACTAACTTTACTAGTATTATATAATCTATGCTCCAAAATGGTTAGTCTACAATTAGTAGAGGGATAAGTCTTTAGGGTTGGAAAGAAAAAACAGTTATTAAAGATCTACTATTGCTGGATGTCATACTAACTCTTCTTACTTATTATGTTATTTATACCACCTAACAGTTTGATAATATTACCCATCCCCCCGCTTTTTTTTTTAAGAGATAAGGCATATATGACTTATATAGAGTTTAGGGGATTTTCCTCAAGATTAGACAGTTAGAAGTCTCTTGGGTGGGAGAGCAGTTCTAGGGGAAAAGGAAAGATCAGAAAGACAAGTCAACTACTTTGAGTAAAGACCTCTGGCTGAGCAGGTCATTGTGTATTCCCAGAATTTGTCACCAACTAGTTGTGTGGTTTTGGACATACCCCTTCACATCACCTCAATGTCACCTTTGGTAAAGTGAAAGAATTGGTTGTAGATATTCTTTAAATTATCTTTTATTCAGGCTTTCTACAGCCCAATTCTCTCAATTGTTGACTTTTACTTAGAATTTTGGGCAAACACTAGCTGATACAATCCATTTACCAAGATGTTTATCTGATGACATTTTCATCAAGTTTCTAAAGATGCCATATTGTCTTTCTGGCAGGCTTTTGGAAAGTGTTCAAGATCTCCTGTTTTATTTTCACAGTTGGCCCCTGAGCCTCAAGTGTAAGCAGAGCTGGGCTGAGAGGCTTAGGTCCTCCTGGCTGATGTCACTAGGCTGAGGGGCCTTGGGGAAGAAAACAAATTTCTCCCAGATTCAACCCTCCAACCAACTGCAGGTCCTGGAACAGTGAGTAACTCCTTTACTCAGAAGCTGAACATTAAAAGTCTTTTCTGATTCTTACCAACTTGGCACATAAGAAATACAGTCATTTCCTCAAATACATTTTTATTATGAGGGTACTGAACATTGTATTTATTGGTCATTTGCATTTTTTGTAAATTGTAGATTTTTAAAAACCTCTTTGTCTGGGTGCGGTGGCTCACACCTGTAATCCCAGCACTTTGGGAGGCCGAGGAAGGTGGATCATCTGAGGTCAGGAGTTTGAGACCAGCCTGACCAACATGGTGAAACCCCATCTCTACTAAAAATACAAAAATTAGCTGGGCTTGGTGGCGTGCGCCTGTAATCCCAGTTACTCCGGAGGCTGAGGCAGGAGAATAGCTTGAAACCAAGAGGTGGAGGTTGCAGTGAGCCAAGATCGCGCCACTGCACTAGCCTGGGCAACAAGAGGGAAACTCCATCTCAAAAAACAAAAACAAACAAACAAACAAAAACATTTTTGTATTAACTAGTAAAGTCTCCTGATACATTAAGAATATTAAAGACAGGCATATAGTGAGGTTTTTTTGTTTAGTTTCCATATGCCTTTTAATTTGTTTAAGGATATAGTCATTTGTTTAGACTATAGGTAAGGAATAGTTATATCTTTTGTTCCAGAAAGTTTCAGATTTTGAGGGAATATTACTATTCCTAAGGTTTTATTGACATATAAATTTTAAAAATATTATGTAATGAGAGCTATATATATATATTCTTTTTTTGTGCATTTTATCATGGGTACTAGGTTAAGTGTCTGTTTCTATGAACATACAACTTACTTAACATATGACTTGGAAACAGAACATGCATAGTAAATGTTTCTCAAGTAAATAAGTAAAAGTATATGAGAAACAAATGTGCTGTTTACATGTTGTCATAGGAATCATCTTAGCACTAAATGGATAATTAGGATCCAGGTTCATCCTTGGGCTTGGCACAAATGAGCTTGGACAATCTGAAATATGGATGGTTGATAATAGGTAATTAGGTTTAAATTATACCAGGAAACTGAAGAACATTCAGAAAATGGTTACAGATAATTACAGAAGGTTGCATTACAGAGGAAAAATTTCTCACAGTGAGAGACAATTGGCCTCACATGCCTTTACTGAGGCATACATTGTGTCATAATTTCCTTTTATTGCACCTTCAACATTTTGAAGGGAATTAATTGTCTGAATTAGGCTAGATGTCATTTTTTTCTTGGAATTAGAAGAAAGATTGAGTAACCCCTTATGTTTATCTGGAACATGTCTTTCTGTGCATTTAAAAATCTCAGAGCCCTTCAGAACCTTGCCCGTGACCCGTCATTGGGAATATCTTAAAAATGTGTGTGTGTGGGTGGGTGTGTGTGTGTGAATATAGGAATGAGGGAACACTGTCGTAGACAGATATATCTGAAGCTTATCTTTTGGTTTAGGGCATTTGGTCTTGCATCACCTTTTAAGTCTTATGCTATCCTTGACTTTTGAACAGAACAAACTTCTAGATTTTTGTATGTTCTAAGTTCTGCCTTTGCAGTATTAGAGGTCTATTTTCCCAGACTAGGGACTGGAGTGTTTAATCATCACTGTCATGTAGACCTAATATAGAAATACAAATGCAATAAGAAAAATGTTGAGAAATTAAAGTCAGAAACATATTTGTTGTGATACATGTTCAAAAATAATATATTTCATTGCAGGAAATAGCAAATCCAGAGAAATAAAAAGAAAGAAAAAAAATAATCTGCATTTCTACGCATGCAGCTAACCATTGCTGAGATTTTGGAGTCCTTGTTTCCTAGGCACGTTTTCCTATGTCTGTGTGCACACATGTATGGGATGTTGCATATGTGTATGTGTGCATGTGTTTACACATGTATTTGCAGGTATGTGTTGATTATTATACATTGAGTCATAATGTATATTACATTTAAAATTTCCTGTTTTTACGGCTTTATTAAGGTATAATTGAGATATGAAAAATTGCATACACTTAAATTGTACAGTCTAAGTTTTGTCATATGTATACACACCAGTGAAACCCTTACCACAATCAAGATAATGAACATACCCATCCCCCGTAAAGCTTCTACACCCCTTTCGAAGTCCATCCTTCAACTTCTCCTACCGAATCCACAGGCATCCACTGACCTGATTTCTGTTACTATAAGTTTGTTCACATTTTCTAGAAATTGATATAAATGGAATAATACAGCATGTGCTTGTTTCTCTCTGGCTTCTTCTATTCTGCGTAATTATTGTGAAAGTCATCCATATGATTGCATTTATCAGTACATTCATACTATTGCATTTATCAATATGTCATTCTTGTTGATTGTTTATCATATTCCCCTATTATCTTCTTAACATCTATAGAAACTTAGTGGTGTCAACTCTCTTTTTCTTGATATTAGTAATTTGTGTCTTCTTTCTTTTTTCCTCAGTCAGTGTGACTAGAGAGTTATCAACTTTATTAGTCTTCTCAACAAACCAGCTTTTGGCATCATTGATTTTTCTTTATTGTTTTTCTGTTCCATCTCACTGTTTTCTGCATTGATTTGTATTATTTCATTTTCTTCTGTTTTCTGTGCTTTCTTTGCTCTTCTTTTTCTAGTTTTTTAAGGTGGTAACCAATATTGATTTATGACTTTTATTATTTTCTAATGTATGCCTTTAGTGTTGTAAATTTCCCTCTTTAGTGGCATATCCCAAATTTTGATATGTAGTGTTTTTGTTTCCATTTAGTTCACAATACTTTCTAACTGCCCTTTTGATTTTTTGTTTGCACCATGGGTTATTTAAAAGTGTATTATTTAGTTTTTGCACATTTACAAAGTTTCTATATATTTCTTTTATTGATTTTGTGATTTAATTCCACTGTTGTCAAATAACACACTTTGTATGCCTTGATCCATTTAACTTATTGAGACTTGGTTTTGGGACTGGAATATGCTCTCTCATGGTAAATGATCCTTGTATGCTTAAGAAGAGTGCTTATTCCAGTGCTGTCAGGTGGAGAGTTCTATAAATAACAATTAGGTCTACTTGCTTAACAATGGTTTTCAAATTTTCTATATCTTTACAGATTTTTCTGTTTCTTCTATCAATTACTGAAAGAAGAATATTGACATCTCTGACTGTAACTCAAGATTTGTCTATTTCTCCTTTCATTTTTATCAGTTTTTTCCTCATGTATTTTGAAGCTCAATTATTAGAAGCATAAACAGTATTGTTATATTCTTCAGATAAATTGACCCCTTTATCATTATGGAATAACTCCCTTTATTCCTGGTTATATATAATATATGGAATAACTCTCTTTATTCCTGGTTATACATAATATATGGAATAACTCCCTTTATTCCTGGTTATATATAATATATAGAATAACTCTCTTTATTCCTGGTTATGTATAATTTTAGAGCAATATATAATATGCATATTTTTTGTCTAATCTTATTATAGCCACTCCAGCCACGTTTTGATTGGCATTAATATGGAATATCTTTTTTCTTTCTTTTGCTTTGAAACTTGTTGTGTCTTTGTATTTAAAGTTGGATTCTTGTTGGCAAAATGTTGTTGGGTTTTCCTTTTTAAATCCAATCTGAGAATCTCTAGCTTTTAGTTGGGGTGTTTGGAGATCATTTATGTTAATGTGATTGATAGTTTGGGCTTAAAATTCTTCTCTTGCTATTTGTTTTCTATTTGTCCCATCTGTTCTTTGTTCCTCATTTATCCTTTTTGTGTCTTATTTTGGATTACTTGTTTTTTTTTATAATTCCAAATTTTCTCCATTGTAAGATCGTTCTCTATAGCTCTTTGTTGTGATATTGTAGTGGTTTCTCTAGGGTTATCTGGAGTTAGTATACATCTTTAAATAACACAGTCCACCTTCAAGTGATATTGTACCAATTCACTGATAATTTAAGAGCTTTACAACAGTGAACTTCCATTTCTCTTCTCTGGTCTTTGTGCTGTTGCTGTCATACATGTTGCTTCTACACCCCTATTATAAAACCCACATTATATTGTCATTACTTTTGCTTCGAACAATCAATTATCTTTTAAATAATTTAAACAATAAGAAATAAAAGTCTTTTTATTTACCCCATAGATGCCATTTCTGGTGCTCTGCATCCCTTCCTGTGGATCAGATCTCTGTCTGGTATCAGTTCTTTCTACTTGGAGGACGTTCCTTTCACATGTCTTGTAGTACTTGTCTGTTACTGACAAATTGCTTCAGCTGTTGTATGCCTGAAAAAGTTTTTATTTCGTCTTCACTTTTGAACAATATTTTTATTAAGTAAAAAATTCTAAGGTGACTTTTTCTTTCAGTCATTTAAAGATTTTATTCTGCTTGCATTGTTTCTGATGAGAAATCTGATGTCACCCTCTCCCTAGTTCCTCTATAGTAACATGGTTTTTTCTTTTCTCACTTTTAAGAGTTTTTCTTTATCACTATTTTTAGTGTTTGAGTTTCTGGGTACTTCAGGGTTTTATACTTTTCATCAAATTTGCAATATTTTGGCGTTATTTCTTCACATAACTTTTTTTCTGTCCTTTTGTTCACTCCTTTCCTCCTGGAACTTCAATTATACTTACATTAGATGACTCGAAATTTCCCCACAATTCACAGATGCTGTATTTTTTTCAGATCTGTTTTCTTTCTGTATTTTATTTTGCGTAGTTTCTATTCCATACAATATATTTTTCATCTGAAATGTAGCTTTTATCTGTAGATGTTTTATTTAGGTCTTTTTAAAATCTGCCATATCTCTGCTTAACACAATATTTCATATAGGTTTTTTTTTCACATATGGAATTTGGATATAATAGCTGTTTTCATGTCCTTTTCTACTTATTCTATTTATCTATGTTAATTCTTTGCTAGTTTTGATTGATTGATTCTTCTCTTTATTAAGGGTAGTATTTTCTGCTCCTTTTTATGCTTGAAAATTTTTTATTGTATGCCAGACAATGTTAATTTTAACATATTGAGTGCTGAATATTTTTCTATTTCTATAAATATTTGAGCTGTGCTCTGAATTACTGTTATGTTGCCCTGAAACAAGTTTGACATTTTTGGGTCTTCCTTTTAAGTTTTTTTTATGTGTAACCAGAGTGACATTTAGCCTGTGGTTAATTTATACTACTATTGAGACAAAACTCATGAGTTATGTCATTTTCCATTTTGAATAGTGGGCACAGGTACTATTTCTGACCCTGTAAGAGTTGTGGTAATTGTTCCCTCTGATCGTTTTGGGTGGTTCTTTCTTTGACCACAGATCACTTCCTCAGAAGCATGAACTCGTCAGTACTGAGCTGAGTAACTGAAGAGGGCGCTGCAGATATCTCTGTAGTGATCTCCTCAGTACTCTGTGAACTCAAGTCACCTTAGCCTTTCCAGACTCCCAGCTCTGATTCCTCATCTCGGAGAGACCACTGGACTTCATCTCTCTTCCTCTTCTCTTTGCCAGAGTTCAGAAACTCTCCAGGCAGTAACCAGGGCAATTGCCAGCCTCTTTTTTTGCTTCCCATCTCTCAAGGTTCACCGTCGTCCACTGCCTGATGCTTATATCTTGAAAGCTGTTGATTCATACGTTTTGTTCAGTGTTTAGTTATTTAAGTCAGGAGGGTAAATCTTATTCCTATTACTCTATCTTGGCTGGAAGTAGAAATCACAAAACTTGCCTCTAAACAAAGTATATCACAAACATTTTCTATTTATTTAAATATTATTAGTCTACATCATTTTGGATGACTACAAAGTATTTTATTATTTAAAAATACCATATATTAATTAATACTTTATTTTTTATATTTCGTTTTTTCCTGCTATTGTTACAATGTTGTGAATGAGCAGATAAATATTTTTGAATATCCATGATTATCTCAACTGTATTAGTAGAAGAGAAATTGCTGAGTTAAGGGGTATTTTGATGCAGATTTCCAAATTATCGTCTAAAAAGGTTGCACCGATTTATATACTTATTATCTCTCCAAATATCTGGGTATTATTATTATAATTTTTTTAAACCTCCAAGCTTCATAAGTAAAAATGGCACATTTATTGGTTTTAATTAGCATTTTTATTTCTTTTGATGTATAATATTTTAATTAGTTTATTGAAAATCTCTGTCCTTCCTTTTTGAATTTAGTTTATATCTTTTGCATATTTTAAAGTTTAGATTGTTGTCTTTTCTGTTATTAATTTATAAAATATTTGTGTTGAGTGTGTGAGTGCATGTGCATGCATGTGTATGCGTATGTGTGTGTTTGTAACATTTTCATCAGTTTTTTGCTTGCCCTCTATTTATGGTATTTTCAGATGTGATTAGATTTATTTGGTCTTTGACATTATGATTTCTGTCTCTATCATTGAGTTTAGAAGGCCAATATTATTCCTACCTCATTACCAAAGAAATACTTAATTCTATCTGCTTACAGATTTAACTTTTTTCTTTTTCCTTTTAAATCTCTAATACATTTGGAATTTAATTTTCTTACTGATTAAACTTTACTTGTATATGTTTATATTTTATAATGATAATATTAAACCATTTGTAATGCTTAAATTAAATATTAAATGGTCATAACACCATTTATTTAAAGCCTATTCTTTCTTTCAGGTTTGATATACTGACTTTTTCATCATGTTGATAATCTTGTGATATATTCCTGTTAATGCTCCATTGGTTTCTACATTTTTTATCCTGTTCTTATAAGTTGTCTGTCTCCTCCTGTGGCTGTTCTATTTTATTTTAATTACTGAAACTTTATTGGACAATAGTAAGCTCAGAAGAGAATATCTGTAGGACAACAGTAGGCTCAAGGAGAAATCATCTGTTCTCCTAATCTTTTACTATTTTTCGTATTTTCCTGACTGATCTTCAGTATTTCTGGAAAATTGACAAGCAATGCAGATTTTGGATAATAGTGCAGGCTTCACTTTCATTGTGCCTGGGTTCAAATCCCAGCTTCTTAGCTGACTGGCAATGTGACCCAGCAAATTTATTTACTTTGGCATGGCTCAGTTTTCTTATCTGTAAAGTAAGGGTAATAGTAGTCCCTATATTATAAGTTTATTATGATGATTGTGTGGGTGGAACCCGTGTGTGGCACACACCGGCACTTAGTGAGAAGTTAGCTTTGCCATTTTCCTTTATTCTTCACTTTAATTTTAGAATTATTTTGTCAACTTCAAAAAAGTTCATTATGAATCTTATTACTGAGTCTTCTCTAGAAGCATGACATGACTCTTCATTCACTTGTTTTCTTTTGCGTCTCTCGGGAAGTTTTGCATTTTCTGTTGTGTATATATAATATTTGTACATTATATCTAACTATCTATCTATCTATCTATCTATCTATCTATCTATAGATATATATATATACTTGCACAATTATATCCACATACACTCTAAGAAATAAGGCCAGCAGAAAATATGTGGGTATGTTAGACTATAATTATCTCTGAGTATTAGGTTATGAGAATTTTTTCATTTGTAGTATTCTATACATTTTAAAACTTATTAACTGAGCATTACTGATATAAATCAATAATTTTTAAGTGACTTTTGTGCCCTACTACGCTGGTGCTGTGTGCTTCAGACTGAAGGGCAGTGCCTGTTAGATCTTATGTGCTACATGTTACACAAGTACTTTGGGAAATAAGCTGTTGTTTTAAAAAATGTGTCATCAATTTCTAGAGAACTGGACATAACTTTGAAGCAAAACAATTTTAAGTGGATGACTAAAATCCTTCCTGAAAACGCATGCCTGTGGTCCCTGTGAAATCACCTTTTCTCCCCCTTTCCTAATCTCCTTTCCCTCCTAAATCTAAATTTTCTTGTAATGCTTCAAAATATCTGGACTTGATCTCAGAAGATATTCTGTCATGCATATTGACAGGACTGGGTACTTTCAGCAAAACAAAGGACATCTTTAAATTTTTACCAGCCCCAGATAGAAGTGTCTAGAGTTCTAGATTTTAGGAGAAATACAGCCATGAAGGAAAATGTTGACATTTATTTCAACGTTTCAACAGGAGGAAAGAATGAGAACACAATGTACAGATCAGCCTTTCCTCTCATGTTCTTACAATGGGAGAAGGAGAGAGGGTATTTGAGACACCAAAGCATGAAAGCCATGACACAGGGAAAATACTGAGAACATAACCTACAGATCAGATTTTCCTTTTATGCTCTTACCATGTCATAAGGCAAAGTGCTTGTTTGAGATTTCAGGGCACAAGAGCCACTACAGCAGGAAGGCGTCGCATCATCGGAACATTTGTGATCAAAGAGAAGACTGTCTGCACAAAGCACGGACTGCAGCCAAGGGGTCCTTCACCCACTGTTCTCACAAATGCTTGCCTTTGCTATCACAACTGCTATTGCCAGCTGGACGCTGAGTGTCCCCTCAGGGTTCATAGAGATCTGTCTCCCTGAGGTCTCTTAGGTGCTGCTGCTGACCAGTAGTAACTTGGTGAAGACCCTCGATTGTGAGGACATTGTGGTGAAATGTTGCTTTCTTGACAAAACAAATGTGTTTCCTTCTGATCCATGAACAAAGATCTGTTGAATAAATATTATGAGCGTGTAGAAGGGAGAGACTTTATCTGATCAGACTAGGGAAAGGGTGCTTTTAATATCTGTGGAACAATCTGTAAGATCGGACGTTTCCTCTGATAACAGAAACTCCAGAGTTACAAGAGAAATGGCTTCCTGACATCACAGACACTAAAAGGCCTTCTGAGTAGGAGTAGCAGTTGAATTTTTGACTACTATGTAAGGGAAATACAGTACCAAAAAAAAAAAAAACCCATGGAGATCAAGTCATTTCTTACTAGCAAGTACCCCTGACTTCTACGTATTTGTTGTTAGATCCACAAAGAATATAGTATAACTTCATTTTCTATCAACTATTAGGGATCTATAGTGCCATAACAAAGTACTCTAAAATTTATCAGCTTAAACAGTAAACCTTTATTATCTCACATGGTTCCTGAGGGTCAGGAATCTGACAGTGACCTAGCTTGGTGATTCTGCCTCGGGGGTGCTCATGAAGTTGTGGTCAAGCTGTTGACTACACTTTTTCATCTCGGAAGACTTGACTGCAACTGAGGGACTTGCTGCTAGGGTCACTCATGTGGCTGTTGGCAGGAGGCTTCAGGACCTGTCTGTGTGGAGCACTCTCTGGGGCTGCCCTCGAGATGGCTTCTCTCAGAGGGGGTGATTCAAGAGACAGAGTCCCAGACAAGTACAGGATGCCTTACATAACCTAATCTTGGAAATGGCACGTGATCACTTATTCCATATTATATTGATGACATAGACCTGACCTGGTACAGTGAGGGAAAAGACTACACAAGGATATAAACACCAGGATGCAGAGATCAGGGGGCCATCTTGGAGGCTGCCTGCCACAGCTATTAAAGGTAATTTGTTGACAACTCACAATTTCTAGCTACCCAGTTGCTCATTCTTTTGCTTAAACTATTCAAGGCTGGTGGGGGACATGTGAATCCTGTTAAAATGTGGAAAGATCTAAATGTGTTTTATAGAAAAAATTGAGTAAACTTTTTTTGCTTAATAAGCAAAAGAATGATGAGGAAGGAAGGGGCAATTGTGTGTGTGTGTGAGAGAGAGAGAGAGAGAGAGAATATAAAAATCTAATTTTTTACCAAAATTATTTTTTTTCTTCCGGGTGAACATGTGGCTTTAACATAACTTCTATTCCACAAACTCAAAATCAAGCACCTCTGTTAACTCTTAACTAAACATAGACTTTTTCTGAACTTTGGAATAGGAGTAAGGGGGAAGAGTGAAACACACTAGCTTTCATGCCTTGTTTAATTTCTAATTTCTTAAAGAGTGGACAAGAAAGAGAATGAATTCAGCAAAGTCTTTGATCCCTACAGTTCATATTCAGACAAATAGGAGCCAATTATTAAGGCTAACTGCCTCAGTAAAATAAAAAACAGCCAATTTAACTTCTGAACACAGGAAGGTTTTTTACCCATTATGGAATCATGAAAGATCTGAATGCACATGATATGGTGTAACCATAAAATAAGGTTGAGTTTTTGCTTCCTGTTAAATCTCATGAGAACAAGCATTCTGAGTGAGGGGTGCGGTAAAGACACACAGGGCTAGTCTTAAAAGAAGGTAAAGTTTCTGGCTATGTATTAGGCTTGATTAGAATTTTCTGGTTAAAACGAATTCTCCTTCAGTTTTGTTTCTTTCATAGATGCTGGAATTCCTATAAAAGCCATTCAGACATTTATATTTATGACTTTTCTACTTTTTAAAAAACTATACTCCTCGAGAGAATAAAGGAGTAGGTTTTACTAGACACCATATTTAATGGGTTAAAGCAACCAAGTAAGAAGAGGGAATGTTCTAGAAGTGAGGGAAAGGGGATTCATGCAGACATGAAAGTGAAGCAAAGGTAAATGTGACAGAGAAAAATGAATTTGCCATCTCTTTCTTTCTTTCTCTCTTTCTTCCTTCCTTCCTTCCTTCCTTCCTCCCTCCCTCCCTCCCTCCCTCCCCCTCTCTCTCTCTCTCTCTCTTTCTTTCTTTCTTTCTTTCTTTCTTTCTTTCTTTCTTTCTTTCTTTCTTTCTTTCTTTCTTTCTCTCTTTCTTTCTCTCTTCTTTCCTTCTTTCTTTTTTTTAGCCACAGTTTCGCTGTTGTCGCCCAGGCTGGAGTGCAATGGCAGGATCTTGGCTCACTGCGACCTCTGCCTCCCAGGTTCAAGTGATTCTTCTGCCTCAGTCTCCTGAGTAGCTGGGATAACAGGCATCTGCCACCACGCCCGGCTCATTTTTGTATTTTTAGTAAAGACGGGATTTCACCATCTTGGTCAGGCTGGTCTTGAACTCCTGACCTCAGGTTATCCACCCACCTCGGCCTCCCAAAGTGCTGGCATTGCAGGCATGAGCCACCATGCCTGGACTATCTGCCTTCTTTCTAAAAGAGATAAAGCTTTCTAGCTGCCTAGTACCTTGGTGAATTTGGGCTGAGGCCATTCAGCGACAAGCACTGGAAAGAATTGAAGTGCTCCCAAGTACCTCTGCAAGGGAAGAGGGGTGATGAGCAGGGGAGAGGAGAGGAGGAAGAGGACCTGGTGGATGGTAGGAGGCCATCAGGTCTTCCATGTGATGTGCGAATCTTTAGCTAGGTACACCGTATTTTAGAAATGTTTGGTGTAAATGGATTTCTTTTGCAAACTGGAGAGGGGACTGAGTTTTGGGCTGATGCTGAGTGGAACAGAGATGGGACTCCTGGAGCTTGAGACACAGGATCTTGGAGAAAATGAGCCCCAGAAATCAGCAGATGTCATGAGGGGACTCTGGGTTATCATAAGCTGTGGAATTGGTATCGGATCTGAACTTGTTTCTTCAAAGTGCAAGGAAGACCAGCTAATCTCTTGGTTTTGCCAATTTAGGGCAATTTTCAACATTACGAAAATTCATTTAGTTTGGGTGCAGAGCTCAGATGTCCTCTCCATGTGGACACAACCCTACATGTGCACACACAAACAAGCACTTGAGCACACATGTGTGTGCACAAACCCCACTTTTCTGCTTTTCCAGGAGCACCGTATGTTATTTCAGACAAATAAGTTTGGCCAACTTTGATCTTTCCATTCAGGTCACTGATTGCTGAATTGCCACAGATGTTGTTCTGCCCTCCTTAGGTTCTAGGGCATTTTCATTAAGGAGAGTTACCTCCAAGAGGGGTCATGGCAGGCGAGCAAACCATACTTGGGGTGCACCATTAAAGACCTCCACCCCTGGGGAGCGATCCTCACAGCGGAGCAGGACTTGGCCCCTTACAAGTTTGCCTAGTCTCTCCCTGACAGGTGGGTACAGCAGCAGGAGTCTGAATTCCACATTTTGCAGAGCCCTGGCATAGACGGATCATTCAAGAGAAACTTCCTTAAGCTGCCCACGGCTGCTCAGGTCCTCATGTCTGCATTCAGATGTGGCCTTCTTTATTACTAACTCAGGAGGACCTTGATGGATGTTAGTCTCCCTGGATTTGAAAACTATTTATGGGAGCACTGAAAATGGCATTATTCGTTTTGATGGCAATCAAGTACATAAATGCCAATGATAGAGACTGAAGGATAAGTTCCACAGCGGATGTGGTTCAAGTTTCTAAATACTGCTGCCATGATTCTCATGTGATGTGAAGGATATTAAGAGATCTAGAACTAGGATAGAACTGTAGCTCAACCATGCTAGAAAAAAATTTTTTTAAGTTCCACTCTATTTAAAAATATTTGTGTAGAGACAAAATCTCACTGTGTTGCCCAGGCTGGTCTCAAACTCCTGGCCTCAAGTGATCCTCCTGCTTTGGCCTCCCAAAGTGCCAGAAGCCACTGTGCCAGGCCAAAAAGTTATACTCCTGAGTAAAGACTACTTTATAGTCTCTTGATAACCTACCATAATTTAAAGAATATTCTGATTGCTGTAAATTTCTGTATAATTTAAATCTTAAGGCCGGGGGCAGTGGCTCATGCCTGTAATCCTGGCATTTTGGGGAGCCAAGGAGGGAGGATCTTCTGAGGTCAGGAGTTCGAGACCAGCCTGACCAAAATGGAGAAACTCCATCTCTACTAAAAATACAAAATTAGCTGGATGTGGTGGCAGGTGCCTGTAATCCCAGCTACTAAGGAGGCTGAGGCAGGAGAATCACTTGAACCCGGGAGGTGGAGGTTGTGGTGAGCTGAGATTGTGCCATTGCACTCCAGCCTGGGCAACAAGAGTGAAACTCCATCTCAAAAAAAAAACCAAAAAATCTTAAATTTGCAGATTTGTAAAATCCTACATCCCTGTCCCCACCTCTCTTTTCCCATGATCTTTAGTTTAGTTCCTCAAGGTCAGGAATGAGTCTCATCTTCTCTTGCACCTCTCACAGTGCCTGACACAATATTGGGGACATTGATAAGTATTGTTTTGTGTATTACTTAGGCATATTTTCTGTGGTTCTCTAGCAGTGGAGAATAAATGATTGATGATCTTATGAAGTCATAGTCCACCTAAAGACTGCGTAGTACGCAAATGAGTCTACCATTATCTCCTCGATGTAGATTTTCATCTTTTATGTATGGTGACTCTAGGTAAGGAGAAGAGGTGATCTAGCTCACTTGGTGGGACGAGCGTCTTGACACAAATCCACAAAAAAAGGAGAGTACACACAGCTGTTCATTTGTCTGTGTGTTGAGGTGGGGGTGGGGGAGGTGAGGTTGTATTCACACAGAGAAGACATCTTAGCTCTGCACCCAAACCAAAACGAGCGTCAGTGATGTTAAAGATTGAAGGTCAGGTGCTACCCAGGTTTTGTTAGTCTCTTGACATAAACATGGTGTCTAGATATGGTACATATTATGAATCATTCCATCTTTTCAAATACATTTTGAAGGGTTTTTTTGTTTGTTTGTTTGTTTTTGAGACAGAGTTTCGCTGTGTCACCAAGGCTGGAGCACCGTGGTGCAGTCTTGGCTCACTGCAACCTTTGACTCCCGGGTTCAAGCAATTCTCGTGCCTCAGCCTCCTGAGTAGCTTGGATTAGAGGTGTGCACCATCACACGCAGCAAATTTTTGTATTTTAGTAGAGACGGGGTTTCACCATGTTGGCCAGGATGTTGGGATTACAGGCGTGAGCTACCATGCCCTGCCAGAAGGTTTGTTTTTATTTTAAACACAATTGTGCTGGGTGTGATAGGATGGGTATATGATAGAGCAGAAAATCACTAGTATTTCATCAATATGGATAGCATCCTCCATAGGTTACTGATTTAATATTGACAACAATACCCTTCACACGAGAGAGAGGTTAGAGAATTTGCCCAAAGTCAAGCAGCTGGGAAGAGGAAAACTAGGCTGTGCTCTCCCTAAATCTCATGCTCTATTATATTAGGGAAGACTCTGGCAGATGGCACATCCTGATTATTTGAAAGTCACCAATATTTTTAGAAATTGCATAGATAATTAAGGTTAGTTTATCCAGAATTCTAATAATTGCAGCACATGTCCATAAATCTCTATTACAACCACCTGAGATAGGCCATCTCGGGCATGTGGAAAAAGCCCAGGTATAGACACTTTGGATCCTGGATTTCCCTTGTACTGGCTGCTACCTTGGGTAAGGTAATTCTCCTCTCTGAAGCTCCTGTCAGCTTCTGAGGATTGCGTGGGATAGCACATACCAAATTACTGCACACAGAGCCTGGTGTACACTTAAGCACACGAGATGTGTCAAAGTTTTCAAAAACATTGCCAACGAGGCATCAGTTACAAAACTTGCTGCAGAGTGAGCTGATATTGTGCCACTGCACTCCAGCCTGGGTGACACAGTGAGGCTTTGCCTCAAAAAAAAAAAAAAAAAAAAAAGAAAGAAACACCAAATAAGCAACTTGCTGCAGAAATGGGTACTCTTGTTCTAGAAATGTGACTATAGGGAAGTTACAACTACCAACTCGCGTTAAGGGAAATGAGTGACCTGCCACCTACATGGTGTTAGGGAGGTTTTGCTGAGAAAGTCACTCATGAAGAAGGCAAAATATAGTTAAGACAAAATGTAACTATCTATAGAGATAAGGTAAAAATTGGAAATAGAACTTCATTAAAGATCTTTCAAATAGGGAGAATGTGGTGAAAACTGCAGTTAACATTTGTTAACAGTGTGATCATCGGGTTCAGCTTATCAGTAACCTGGTTCCTGTCTCTTAACTGATAAAGAAAATGGGAGGTTTTTAAAGAGAGGCTGGCTGTTGTATTTAGTAAAGCTATAAAGCTGTAAGAGAAATTGGCTTTCTGAGTTGTGAAACTGTGGGCAGAAAGTTGAGGAAGAAAGAACTCAAGTACAACCCAATGAGGGTAAGTGGCTTTGGGGTATTTTTCAAAAATACTTTTATCTCAAAGGGAACAAAATTTTCACATACGAATTTAGGTCATTATAACAATAATATTCATTGTTATATTATTATAACATTATATGTTATAATAATATATAATATATATAATATATAATTGTTATAACATTATAACAATTATATATTATATATAATACAATTATATAATATATATTATATAATTGTAATATATAATATAATTATATAATATATATTATATAATATAATATATAATATATCATATATGTTATATATTTTATTATATAATATATATTATATATAATATTATATATAATATATATTATATATAATATTATATATAATATATATTATATATAATATATTTATATATATTATATATAATATATATTATATATTAAATATTATATATATAATATATATAACATTATTGTTATAATGTTATAACATTATTATATATTAAATATAATATATATAATATTATATTTATATTGAGGAAAACATTCACTCAATGACAGAGGGAAGACTTAGCTTTCCAAACAATCTTCTGTTAAAAGAAAAACTTTAGCTGAATTAAATTTAAAGGAGTTTAATTGTGTTTTGGTGCCTTATGCAAATGAAGGGCCTATAATATAATATATAATGTAATATATATAACATTATAACAATAATAATCATTGTTATCAATTTTGCTTGTGAGAAAAGTAGTATTACCAATGGGAAAATCATGGTACAGATTGATGAAATCCCTTGAAATCTTGTTTGTGTAATATGGGACTTTGGTCCAACGTGTTGGAAAAGACCTGGTTGAGGGTAAGAAAGGATGGGAGCTTTATAGTATACACACAGAGTGCTCATATTCTGGAGTTATTCTTTCTGAAATCCACAAAATCCAGCAGTGTAATCTACTCAGATGGAGATGAAGGAAAAAAACAAAACAAATGAAGCAAGAAGCTGCTGGCCAAAAGGGGTGAGGAAGCAGGGTCATACCCATCTGCAAGAAGAAAATAGAGAACGGACATGAGAGGGGTGGATATGAGGATATGAGAAGGCCCTCTTGAGTGAGGGCCATTGTTTCTGGAGGGGTGGGGAGTGAATGACTGATGTAAGTTCAAGTTTGTTGCGGGTGCCTGCTTTGATCCTCTGCTTGGTGGCTCCATTCTTCTTCTCTCTGAAGGCTACTTCAACAGAGGGTGCAGAGGTAAACATAGCAGAACTGGCCCCCAAAGCTTTATCCACTGAATGTCAGTTTTTCCTTTAATTTCTTCCAGGCATAAGGAAATCGGAGGCATGTTTCTGTCTGGCTATAACAGTTCTCCTACTAGATCCTGAGGCCAAACTATTCACATGCCATTGTTCCTGAATACCATTGTGGACATAATCATCTAATTTTGGCTATTCCATGCAGAGGTTTGGAGACAGAAAGCTCTGGACTAATGCAGATCTGCATTTAATCCCTGCTCTTACACTTACTTGTTGCATGACCTTAAGCAACTCATCTATGTCTTTAAATCTTGAGTTTCTTGCTTACAAAGAGGTGACCAGCATATTAGTAATAATATCATGTTTAGAGGGTGGTTTCTGAAGGTTAAATGGGTGTAAGTGTTTAGTGCATTACTCAGCCAGCAGTCAACACTTAATGATGTCAGACCTCATCATTGTCCTTATTTTTTTTGTTCCACACTCTGGGAACTTTTATCTCTGCGCCCTGTAGATATGCTGCTGTGACTGCTGACTTGAATGTTACGGGATCCCCAGCAGGATCTGGGATTCTCTCTGTTCTTGAATGCGTTGTTTAGGTGAGGAGATTGATTCCAAGTTACTTTTCTACTTGGGTGCCTCTGTGTTTGGAGATGTGGCCGCATAGCTCAAGTGTATCTGGGGTGTCTTCAGTTTTCGGATACCTGTTTTTCCTCTAGGAGAATTCTTCCTCTATGTCCTTTAAAATATTTGTCCTATAATCACAAGGGTTTATATTTCTCTGCCCACTCCTCCATACTTCCTGGTTTTCTGGGAGTGCAGAGGCAGACAACTGCAAGGGAGAGCCCCGCAAGGATTTGGGTGATGACTTTGAGCCAGGCTGACATCCATGTCCAAGGGCAAATGCAGTCTGGTTGGGAGGATACAATGCAGGAGTCTTACAACAGTGGCGATGCCAACATTGTGGGAGCATGCATGTGTGTGTGCACGAGTGTGTGTGTGTGCGTGCACTTGCATGCGCGTGCATGTGCAGTAGGGTCCTACTACAGGTTGGTGGAAAAGATCCCTCTGGTTCTAGAACAAAAATCTAACAGCAACCAAGAGTCCAGTTCCAAGAAAGAGAAAGGAAAGGGCTAGTTAGGCAGGGCGTCTGGATTCTGAATAGGGGCTGAGGCCTTGGCTCAGACACAGAGGAGAATGGAGAAATGGGGTGATGACAGAGACATCTTTAAAATATTTGTGGGCCAAGGGTAGGATGGCTTCAACTTGTCTGGGATGTATTTGTCCTTAGCACGCTTGGAATAACATAGCAGCAGCAGCAGCAGTCGACACTTACTAAGACTGCTATGTGCCAGACCCTGAGACAAGCACTTTCCACACACCACATCCTGCCATTCTTATGATGATAGTGCTGTGAAGTAGGGATGAAACCAAGTCCTTGCTGACTCCAATCTTGTACTTCCAACCAATGCTTGTGAGGGCCCCAGGCCCCCTACAGCAAGACTAAACATGGACATATGTGTGGCTGGGCTGAGTCTGTGGGATTGGCTCTGGAGTTGGGTGTGTCTGAGCCCTGGGTAGAAAGGGATGCTATCCTAATGAAAAAACACAGAATAAAGATAGTGTCCACCAAGATGTAACTGAGATTTAAAGAAGACTTGATAACTTATCAGTTGGGTGGGTAGTCTTGAATTTCAACAACTGCAGATCCTATCTAAGACCACTTTTGTCTTGTGACAACTTAGTTAAACATGACTTTAGTGTGGATATCAGTGGCCAATTTTGAGCCCATTCTATGATTGGAACAAAGGCTTCCCTGTCATAGGTGAGTGACAACTATCTGGTCTGGTGGTACAGGGGTAAAAGAATTTACTAAGACAGTTGTAGATAAAGAAAGGCAGATTTATTAGAGAAAGTATGAAAATACATTACAAGGTTGCAATGGGCAGCACAGCCAGAGAGGAGCTGACTGCAAAGAAACAAAGGCTTGCTGGATATTTATAGGATAGTTCCTGGGCTCCAGGGGGCTATATGCAGTACTGATAATGCCAAGGTTGTAGTGAGCTAACTTGCAGGTGTCTGGTGATAGTTGGGTGCTGGAAGATTCTGAGTTATTTGCTCAGAAGAGCTGTGTGTCCTGGGCCATGAAGAAAGGCAAACTTACAGTTTATCTGCTTTCTGTCTTTGCTTTCCCTTGGTACTGCTAGTCTGACTTTTTTTTCCCTAATTAGGATTCCGCACATCCTATGCCTGTCTCTCAGGAGCCTTGCAGTCAAAGTGTGATGGAGTGTCTGAGGGCCGAGTCATTGAGTAATGGGGCCTCTGCCCTCTCAGCCCCACTGCCACCCAACTGAGGCTTCCTGGATGAGGGTGTATGCCGTGGGGAAAAGGAGTGGGATGATGTGGATCCCCCTGGGGTTGCAGGTCATCCTCCCAAATCCCCACTCTCCCTGTCTACCCACAGGACCAGTCAGCATTTCTCTAATTCCTCTTCACTCTGGGGCATTATGATCAGAAAATATCATGTACCTTTTGCTGCAATCTTGGCTGAAAGAACCTCACACTATACTTGAATGTCTTTGATTTACCATCTGAGCAGAGATCTCAAACTATAAAGAAAATCAGAGTCTCTTGATGCCCATGTTCAGGACAAGTTTTCTTGGATTTCATGACTCTTTAGGAACAGTGAGCTTATGGGTAAAGACCGAGACTTTAGTGAGGAATTCCCTCATCATTTTTCTCTTCTTGAGCAAAACCTTGTCTGATTTGGGGTTGTAATGTGCAAAATTATTTTCTTTTCATTTCACCTTTTTTTCTTAAGTAGTGGTTTCTGGAAATCTGAGCTGCTTTGTGCACCCTGACTAGTCTGTGCCAGATCACGAACGTACACACCAACTCTCAAGACACCAGAAAAATCACCCTTTAGAGGAATTATCTAGAAAACTAGCCCCTATGCAAAGTGAATAACCTTTTCAAAATATAATCTACATTAAGACTTTTGAAACTAACACATTCCTCAATCATAGCAACCAAATGAATTACTTAAAGTGGGTTTGGTTCCTGCTTTCATTAAGGGAGTATTTTCAGGAAATTAGAGGTCTAATGTAAACATGGATCCTTTAGGTTTTTCCATTTTCTTTGTCTTCAGGCTGTTTGCTGCCACTTTCATCCTCCCCTTATCTCAGTCTGCCAGTGATGGTTTGTGCCTCTGGTCGCTGGGTCAGATCCAGGACTAATTCACTCACCTCTGATTTCTAGTTCCACCCTTATGACGAAAGCATTCTTAAATCTGATATTCACATAAAAAAGGATTTGATTGTCTTTGGCATGTCTCTGCAGTTAGTTAATCATGTCTTGAGCACAGAAAAATGGGAAGAAAATGGAAATAAGATTTCTTTGATAGGAGGAGTCCTGCTAAGACTTGTCTGTCCCTGAGCTGAGATATGCTAATTTACCTTAAATCTTTCCATAAACCACATTCTGAATTCCAGTTTATAAATCTTTATCTTATTTCCCGAACCTCATCTCATACTTTTTATGTAATCTGGTGGGCATAGATATTCTCTTGGTGAACCTGAGGAAATCTAGAATGACAAAGGATCTAAAATAAGTAACACAGTTGCTCAAGTTCCTGGGCCCTATGGTAGAATTTCCTTCTTCAGAGAAGGGGAGAACAAGGTAGATAAAGAAAGGAGCATTTCATCTTGCAGCAGCTTGGAAGATAGCTGGGAGTTTAATTTTTATAAAAAAGAAAGCAATCAAACCATCCAATACAGCCCATTTTCAACCAAAAGTATTTCAGAATTACCTGGAGATTTATCTAAAATTATGTAAAAATTACCTAGAATTACCTAAAAAAATTGTACAATTTCATTTCCCTTCTGTTACATGATATGGATACCCAGCTACTATTTATTAGTAGTAGATACAGACTATTTAAGAGACAAAATATTATATTCCAAAAAGTGTGACCCTTAGAAACCAAAATTCCAAAGAAGAGTTCTTGTAATTGGCAAGGCTGGCTCTGATTGAGTGTCAAACTTCCTGTACAATGATGGATCAACTTAGAAATTTGATAGATTCAAAGCATTCTGAAATTGTACAACTCGCTCAGCACTTGTATTATTTACATGTCTTCTGTTATTTTCCATTGAATGATGTTTTCATGTATACTCAGCTGCTTATAAGGGCAATATTTTAAAATCAGAGCAATTTCTTTAAAATTAAAATGTTTCAGCCCAGCATGGTGGCTCACGCCTGTAATTCCAGCACTTTGGGAGGCCGAGGCAGGTGGATCATGAGGTCAGGAGATCGAGACCATCCTGGCTAACACGGTGAAACCCCATCTCTAGTAAAAATACAAAAAATTAACTGGGCGTGGTGGTGGGCGCCTGTAGTCCCAGCTACTCGGGAGGCTGAGGCAGGAGAATGGCGTGAACCCAGGAGGTGGAGCTTGCAGTAAGCCCAGATGGCGCCACCGCACTCCAGCCTGGGTGACAGAGCCGGACTCTGTCTCAAAAAAAAAAGTTTCAGCAAAATACTTTTTAAAATGCACTGTAATTACCCTAACAATATTACACTGTTACAGATAGTTTAAGAATAATAAAAAATGTAATTCATAAACTCACTCCTTTAATACAACAAACCTGATTAATGTTCTGTGTTCCTTATTAGACTTTCTCCCATGTATAGCTTTACAAAGTGGTAGTTGATGAGTAAGTACAATTTGTGATATTTTTTTCACGTGAGAACAAACTCAATATGTCAATTACTTCATAGATTTTTAATTTATAAAAATTTTCTCATATCTCTTATAAAAATAAAAAAAGATTTGATTTCAGTAAACACACATTTGGAGAGAAAGTTGATCCTCATATAAACTCAACCATAGACCATTCAGTGTGTTGCAAGTTATAAATGCCATGGAGGAAAAAAATCAAGCAGAGTTAGGAAGATTGGGAGCACAGGGTTAGTTGGTCAAAGGGTGGGAGAGGATAGACCTCATTAAGAAAGTGGCAGACCTCATTGAGAAAGTGAGGGAGTGAGTCACACAGACACCTGGAGGAAGAAAATGCAAGAGAGGGTAAACAGTTGCTGCAACACCCTGAGGTGGGAGCAGGCTCGGGAGGCCAAGCAACAGGAAGGACAAAAGTGCACGTGTTGTGTAGTTAAGATTGGGGGTGTAGCAGGATGTAAATCAGAGAGGTGAGAGGTGACAGACCCCCAGGGGGTCTTCTTGTTCATTGCAAGCAATTTGGCTTTTGTTGGGTAAAGCAGAGGTTTGAAGAGAGGAGTAATTTGAAAGGATCACTCTAGCTTCTGCTTTGAAAATCAATTATAGGGGACAAGGGAAGGATCAGTGCAAAGACTAGTGCAATAATTCAGGCAAGAGATGGTGGTGGCTTGGATCAGCAAAGATGGCCATGAGAAGTGGTCACATGGCTGAGTTCTGGCTGTATTTGGAAAGTAGGTTCACTGGGACTTATTGGTGGCTTGAGATTGATGTGCTGGAGAAAGAGAGGTATAAGGATACCTCCAAGGATTTTGATATGTGCAGCTGAAAAAAGATGAAGTTGCCATCAACCAAGATGAGAATGATGGTTGGAAGAGCAGATTTTGGGAGAAGAACAGGGATTCATTCTTGACAGGTTATTTTTGTGATGTCTGGAATATAGACAAGTGAAGGCATTGAGTCAGCAGGTGGACATGAGAACCTGAAGTTCAGGGGAAAAGTGTGGACGGCAGGTGTAACTGCAAGAGTGTAATCAGTATAGAGATGGTGTTTCAAACCAGTTAACTGGATGACATCATGTGGGGAGTGAGTGTGGACAGAGAAGAAAAGTGCTTCAAGGACTGAAACTTGAGGTGGTGGAGAGAAGAGGAGATGTGAAGCAGTAGCCTGTGGGTCCTGAAGAAAGATGTTGGAGAAATTGTTCCACTTTGACAGAGGCTGCTTATAGCTCAAGGTAAGGGGAAGACGCAGGACTGAGGATTCCTAAGCAACATGGTGGTAATTGACGATATTGATAACAGCATAAAGACATCATAATTTAAACTAATTATTAACAAAATTGAAATTTAAAGAAACAAGTAATGCAATGTTTCCAAAGTGGATTCAAATTCCATAATATTATTGCAAAACAAACAAACCAAACAAACAAGGAAAACAAAGAAAGAAGGGATTCTAACATAAAAGAATTTAAAAATAAGTAAATCAGCTCGGAAAACTCAGCAGGCTATATCTTCCTGGTGGTTAGAAATATCTGCTTATTAAAAGGTTTCAAAGGTCCTTTGGGAATAGAACTTATTGCAATGTGTTTGGCTGTACATTTCTTACACTTTTTTTTTTAACTGAGGAGTCAATTAAAATATCCTGAAGTGACTGTCCATAGAACACATTTTGAAAACACAAATGCTATATAATCACAAATATATCTCCCTCCCCTTTGCTAGTGATTGTTACCAAACTGCCTCTGCTAGCTAGGATTCAACTCTTTCTCTTAACAACTATGCTTTGATGGAACAATTTTTTTAGATACAAATATTGTCAATGAGAACAATTATTATACAGTGCAGTCACAGAAGAGAAACAGAAAAGAAAGGGAGGTGCAACAAAATGAAGGTAAATATTAGCCTTCACACTTAAATACATTTGATGAGGGGATAAAATGTACATGTAGGTGTGGATTTATGGGCTGTGTTTTTCAAACAATTACCAAATATTTATTAACCACCAACTCAGTGTAAGCTAGTACACTAGGTGCCTATAGTGATCCAGCAGGCTATAAGGCAGGATTTCTGCCCTTATAGAATTTTGGGGCATATTCTCAGTATCTTTTGTATCTCTCGCCCTCTTTTCTTTTTTTTGTGACACAAGATGTCATTCTGTCATCCAGGCTGTAGTGCAGTGACATGATCATGGCTCATTGCAGCCTTGACCTCCCAGGCTCAAGCGATCCTCTTGCCTCAGCCTCCCAAGAAGCTGGGACCATGGGCATGTGCCATCATGGCAGACTAATTTTTAAATTTTTTGTAGAGATGGGGACTTACTATGTTGCCCAGGCTAGTGTTGAACTCCTGGGCTCCAGCAGTCCTCCCACCTCAGCCTCCCAAAGTGCTGGGATTACTGGTGTGAACCATCACTCCCAGCCCTTTCTTTTGCTTTGTTATTTTAAAAACTTTTCTTTATTCTCTTTCTGTTACCTTTTAATAAACTATAAGAAGTCTTTCAAAACAAAAATGTCTTAATGTCAGTGGGTTAGGTTTTGTCCTGCATTATTTTCTTTTACCCCATGGTGGGGAAAAAAGCAAAAAACTGTTTGGTGCCTATACAATGCCTTATCGCACAGCTTTGGTTTGTGTTTACTCCAGTGTCGTCTTTAAGGTGGTGAGGTCAGTGCAGCTGGCCTGGGTCAGAACTCAGGGTCACTTCATGCCAGATGCTCACCACCTCTGCAGTGTTGTATGCAGAGATCCAAATTCATCCTTCAGGGAAGGATGAACACTTATTCTCTGGGATGTTTTACAGTGAAAATCAGAAGTTGCTCTATTGTGCCCTCATGGCCTAGCTACTTCCACTCTTTTGAAGATCTTACCTGGTCTCATGGGTTTAATTTCATCTATACAGTGACATATCCCAAATTTGTATCTCTAGCCCAATATGTCTCCTGAATTTCAGAAGCAGATATTCATCCTACTGATGGGTTCACATCTCCAGTTTTATGTCTAATGAGGTGTCAAGCTGAATATGGCCAAAACTAGTGTAATCCTACTCTAAAACCTATACCACCTGCCATTTCCTAATTCAGTAACTAGCAACCCTATTTGACCAGTTACTCAGGGCCCCAAACCTCTCTTGACTGCTCTCATATCCTGTCCATCAAGAAGTCCTACTAGTTCTACCCTCAAAATCTATCTGCATCCCAATCATGTCTCACCACCTGCACTTCCCCGCCCTGGTCATAGCCACCGTCTCTGTCTCACCTGGATACCTCATCCCTTGCCATTCTTAAGAGTGTTTTCACATTCAGAGTGTTTAATACCTACGTCAAGTTTGAGGTCATGTCACTCCTTAGCTTGAAACACTCCAGTGGTCTTCATCACACTTAATAAAAGCCAAGGTGCTCAGGGTGACTCACTCGCAATCTAGTCTCTACCCCTCTCCAACCAGCTCTCACTGCTCTGGAGTTCCTCATGCCCTGTTGGCCATGTGGCTTCCCTACTGGCCCTCGGACACACCAGGCTTGCCTCCATGGCTGGACTTTCATGCTGCCTGCCCTTTCGACCTGGGCTGTTTATTAAATGTCTCCTTCCTAGTTGGCCTTCCCAGGACATCTGGCCTGAAATTGCTCTCCTCCTGCTGTATTTTTCTCCTTAAGTGGATCACACTCTAAGATCTTTTGTAACTTTTTTTTATTTCTTTATGTTACTTATTGTCCTCCTGTAGGACATGAATTCCACAAGGGCAGGAGATTTTTGTTTCCCTTTGCTCTGTGTGGTGCATTGCTGTATCCCCAGCATCTGAAACAGTGATTGGCATGAAAGAATAACCCTCACTGGTTGTCTGGGTTCAGTATTTTGCTTTTCTAAGCTCAGTTGATGCAGAACAACTGGTTTTCTGGGTTCAGTATTTGCTTTTCTAAGCCCAGTTGATGCAGTGTTGGTATGTGCGGCCATGTTAGATGTTAGAACACTGACATCCTTACCACTGATGAGTCAATAGCCACTGCCCCCGACCCTCCTGATATTTTATGGTCCGAGTAATTACTAGATGCATCTACATTTAAGGCTGCAAACATGAATTTACTGGAGGAAGCACAGTGGTGGTGGATGACCCAATCTCTCTCTCAAACTTACCAAAATCACCAAGGAATCATAAATCCACCCCTCTTTGCATCTTCCAAGCAAAGGAAATTGTAGAAAACACAAGTGAAACTGTTTCACAGAGATATCAGCAATACATAGCAAATTTGAGATGATGGAGATTAAGAGGAAAATTAAATCATTCTTAAGTGGTCAAGGTAAAAACATTATTGTGCGGTTCGCTATAGTTACATTTAAAACAGTCCGAAGTCAAACAACTCTAGTCTGATTAGTCTTGTCATTGATATGTGCTGTCTTAGAATTCTCCAGAGAGACAGAGCTAATAGGAGATTATCTATCTATGTATCTATGTATCTACCTAATCTATCTATACTCTCTCTATCTATTTTAAGGAACTGACTCATGAGATTGTGGGGCCTGGCAGTCTAAAAGCTACAAGGCAGGCTGGCAGACTGGAAATTCAGATAAGAGTTGGTGTTGTAGTCTTGACTCTGAATTCCATAAGGCAGCCAGTCGGAATTTCAGGCGGGGTTTCTGTGTTGCAGTCTTGAGGCAGAATTCCTTCTTCTTTGGGAAACCTCAGTCTTTGCTCTTCAGGCCTTCTGCTGCTCACATTCCACAGTGCTGTCCTTCTGGCCATCCTTCATGCTTTTGTGTTGCCTGTCCCATTGCCCTTAATCTTATATGGAAAAATGGAAATAAATTCAGAGCGGAAACTTATCTAAAAGTTTTGAGGGAAAAATGATCGAAACCAGAATTATTCACAGGACAACTTGTTCTATGAATAATTTTTGAAAAGGAACCATTTCCTCTACAGCTGGCTTATTATGAGGAGCTTGATGATAAAATATTGGCAAGGCCTCCAGTGGACATTTATCGTGTTGTGACAGATCCCAGAAATGAATCTGGGTCTCCCGACTTCAATACAGTTCTCTTCTTATTACATAATGAGAGAATATGATTTTCTACTCTTTTCTTTTACTTTACTTGTTGAGAAACAACTAATATTCAATTAAAAGCATCAATCTTACATATTCAGTTGAATGAGATTCAGCAATCATATCCCCCATGTATCATCATCCATATCACCATCCCAACAGCACAGAAAGCATTTCTTCTTCCCAGAGAGTTGCCCTCACACCTTTCCAATCAAATTTCCACATACTCTCTAGTTTCCAGCATGATAGATTATAATTTGCCTATTGTTGGGCTTCCTATAGGTATGATATGTAATATGTAGTCTTCTGTGTTTAGTTTCTTTTGCTTAGCATAATTTTTCAGGAGCAAGGCTTTATTATTTTTTTGTTTGGAAATGAACTCAGAGTTACATAACATGATGTTTTTGACAGTCATCCTATGGTTATATCAGTATTTCCTTCCTTTTCATTGCTGAGTAGTTTACATTAAAAAAAGGATCCATTCTCCTGTTGATAGACATTTGGATTATGTTTAATTTTTGGTATTATGAGTATGGCATTTATGAACATTCTTTTACAAGTGTTTTGTGGATATGTTTGTTAATTCTCTTGGGTAAGGGGGGAGTTATTGAGCCATACAGTAGATGTTCTTTAACTTTTTGTTAGGTTTTATATATATATATATATATATATATAGTGTGTGTGTGTGTGTGTGTGTATATATATATGGTGTATATAATTTATATACACTAAAATACACACATTTTTAAGTGTAAAGTTCAATAAGTTTTGATACATGTATACTCCATTGGCTTTGTTTTGTATTGCTATAAAATAATACCTGAGGCTGGGTAATTTATTAAGAAAAAGTTTATTTGGCTCATGATTTTAATGGCTGCAAAGTTCAAGACTGGGCAACTGCATCTGGTGAGGGCCTCAGGCTGCTTCCAATCCTGGTGGAAGGTTAAGGGGAGGTGGCTTGTGCAGAGATCACATGGGAGAGAAGAAGCAAGGGGTGGGGGAGTGCTAAGTTCTTTTTAACAGCCAGCTCCCATGGGAAGTAATAGAGTGAGAACTCACCACCAAGGGAGGGGATTGAAGGAGGGAATTAATCTATTCATGAGGGATCCACCCCCATGACCCAAATGCTCCCCCTTAAGCCCCACCTTCAATATTGGGGATCAAATTTCAACATGAGGTGAGGAGGGTACAAATATCCATGCATACCACCTCTGAAACCATCATCTCAATTGACATATTCCACAAATCTCTCTCATACTCCTTTATAAGTAATTGCTACCCTTCATCTTCCATTCTAGGTACCCACTCACTGGCCTTGCAGTTTGGGAACATTATATAAATGGGACGATATAATATGCATTCTTTTAAAACTGGCTTCTTTCATTCAGTATGTTTCTAAGATTCATCAGTAGTTCTTTTTTTTTTTTTTGCTGAGTAGTGTTCCATTGTATGAATATAGAATAGTTTAGCCATATATGTGCTGACGGTCATTGGTCTTGTTTCCAGTATTTGGCTATATGAATTGAACTGGTATGAACATTTGTGTACAAGTCTTTTTGTGTGCATAAGTTTTTATTTCTCTTAGGTAAATCCCCAGGAAGAGAATTTCTGGAGTGTAACACAAGCACATAATCAGAAACTGCCAAACTATGTTCACTGTATCATGTTACACTCCATCAATGATGCATGAGAGTTCTAGGTGTGCCACATCCTTGCCAAAATTTGGTATTGTCAGTCTTTTTTATTAGCTATGAAATAGAATCTCGATATTGTGGAGCCAAGATGGCCAAATAGGAACAGCTACAGTCTACAGCTCCCAGCGTGAGCGACACAGAAGACAGGTGATTTCTGCATTTCCAACTGAGGTACTGGGTTCATCTCACTGGGGCGTGTCGGATAGTGGGTGCAGGACAGTGGGTGCAGAGCACTGAGCGTGAGCCAAAGCAGGGCGAGGCATCGCTTCACCCAGGAAGTGCAAGGGGTCAGGGAATTCCCTTTCCTAGTCAAAGAAAGGGGTGACAGATGGCACCTGGAAAATCGGGTCACTCCCACCCTAATACTGTGCTTTTCCAATGGTCTTAGCAAATGGCACACCAGGAGATTATATCCTGCACCTGGCTTGGAGGGTCCTACACCCGTGGAGCCTCGCTCGTTGCTAGCAGAGCAGTCTGAGATCAAACTGCAAGTTGGCAGCGAGGCTGTGGGAGGCGTGCCCACCATTGCTGAGGCTTGAGTGGGTAAACAAAGCAGCCGGGAAGCTCGAACTGGGTAGAGCCCACTGCAGCTCAAGGAGGCCTGCCTGCCTCTGTAGACTGCACCTCTGGGGGCAGGGCATAGCTAAACAAAAGGCAGCAGAAACCTCTGCAGACTTAAATGAACCTGTCTGACAGCTTTGAAGAGAGTAGTGGTTCTCCCAGCACGCAGCTGGAGATCTGAGAACGGACAGACTGCCTCCTCAAGTAGGTCCCTGACCCCCGAGTAGCCTAACTGGGAGGCACCCCCCAGTAGGGGGCAGTCTGACACCTCACACAGCTGGGTACTCCTCTGAGACAAAACTTCCAGAGGAACGATCAGGCAGCAACATTTGCTGTTCACCAATATCCGCTGTTCTGCAGCCTCTGCTGCTGATACCCAGGCAAACAGGGTCTGGAGTGGAACTCCAGCAAACTCCAACAGATCTGCAGCTGAGGGTCCTGACAGTTAGAAGGAAAACTAACAAACAGAAACGACATCCACACCAAAACCCCATCTGTATGTCATCATCATCAAAGACCAAAGGTAGATAAAACCACAAAGATGGGGAAAAAACAGAGCAGAAAAACTGGAAACTCTAAAAATCAGAGCACCCCTCCTCCTCCAGAGGAACACAGCTCCTCACCAGCAATGGAACAAAGCTGGATGGAGAATGACTTTGACGAGTTGAGAGAAGAAGGCTTCAGATGATCAAACTACACCGAGCTAAAGGAGGAAGTTCGAACCCATGGCAAAGAAGTTAAAAACCTTGAAAAAAAATTAGATGAATGGCTAACTAGAATAACCAATGCAGAGAAGTCCTTAAAGGACCTGATGGAGCTGAAAACCATGGCACGAGAACTACGTGATGAATGCGCAAGCCTCAGTAGCCGATTTGATCAACTGGAAGAAAGGGTATCAGTGACGGAAGATCAAATGAATGAAACGAAGTGAGAAGAGAAGTTTAGAGAAAGTAGAATAAAAGGAAACGAACAAAGTCTCCAAGAAATATGGGACTATGTGAAAAGACCAAATCTACATCTGATTGGTATACCTGAAAGTGACAGGTAGAATGGAACCAAGTTGGAAAACACTCTGCAGGGTATTATCCAGGAGAACTTCCCCAATCTAGCAAGGCAGGCCAACATTCAAATTCAGGAAATACAGAGAACACCACAAAGATACTCCTTGAGAAGAGCAACTCCAAGACACATAATTGTCAGATTCACCAAAGTTGAAATGAAGGCAAAAATGTTAAGGGCAGCCAGAGAGAAAGGTCGGGTTACCCACAAGGGGAAGCCCATCAGACTAAAAGCTGATCTCTTGGCAGAAACTCTACAAGCCAGAAGAGAGTGGGGGCCAATATTCAACATTCTTAAAGAAAAGAATTTTCAACCCAGAATTTCATATCTAGCCAAACTAAGCTTCATAAGTGAAGGAGAAATAAAATACTTTACAGACAAGCAAATGCTGAGAGATTTTGTCACCACCAGGCCTGCCCTACAAGAGCTCCTGAAGGAAGCACTAAACATGGAAAGGAACAACCGGTACCAGCCACTGCAAAAACATGCCAAATTGTAAAGACCATCAAGGCTAGGAAGAAAATGCATCAACTAACGAGCAAAATAAATAGCAAACATCATAATGATAGGATCAAATTCACACATAACAATATTAACCTTAAATGTAAATGGGCTAAGTGCTCCAATTAAAAGACACAGACTGGCAAATTGGATAAAGAGTCAAGACCCATCAGTGTGTTATATTCAGGAAACCCATCTCACATGCCGGGACACACATAGACTCAAAATAAAGGGATGGCGGAAGATCTACCAAGCAAATGGAAAACAAAAAAAAGGCAGGGGTTGCAATCCTAGTCTCTGATAAAACAGACTTTAAACCAACAAAGATCAAAAGAGACACAGAAGGCCATTAAATAATGGTAAAGGGATCAATTCAACAAGAAGAGCTAACTATCCTAAATATATATGCACCCAATACAGGAGCACCCAGATTCATAAAGCAAGTCCTTAGAGATCTACAAAGAGACTTAGACTCCCACACAATAATAATGGGAGACTTTAACACCCCACTGGAAACATTAGACAGATCAACGAGACAGAAAGTTAACAAGGATATCCAGGAGTTGAACTCAGCTCTGCACCAAGCAGACCTAATAGACATCTACAGAACTCTCCACCCAAAATCAACAGAATATACATTTTTTTCAGCACCACACCACACCTATTCCAAAATTGACCACATAGTTGGAAATAAAGCACTCCTCAGCAAATGTAAAAGAACAGAAATTATAACAAACTCTCTCTTAGACCACAGTGCAATCAAACTAGAACTCAGGATTAAGAAACTTACTCAAAACCGCTCAACTACATGGAAACTGAACAACCTGCTCCTGAATGACTACTGGGTACATAACGAAATGAAGGCAGAAATAAAGATGTTCTTTGAAACCAACGAGAACAAAGACACAACATACCAGAATCTCTGGGACATATTTAAAGCAGTGTGTACAGGGAAATTTATAGCACTAAAAGCCCACAAGAGAAAGCAGGAAAGATCTAAAATTGACACACTAACATCACAATTAAAAGAACTAGAGAAGCAAGAGCAAACACATTCAAAAGTTAGCAGAAGGCAAGAAATAACTAAGATCAGAGCAGAACTGGAGGAAATAGAGACACAAAAAACCCTTCAAAAAATCAATGAATACAGGAGCTGGTTTTTTGAAAAGATCAACAAAATTGATAGACCGCTAGCAAGACTAATAAAGAAGAAAAGGGAGAAGAATCAAATAGACGCAATAAAAAATGACAAAGGCGATATCACCACCGATCCCACAGAAATACAAACTACCATCAGAGAATACTATAAACACCTCTATGCAAATAAACTAGAAAATCTACAAGAAATGGATAAATTCCTGTTCACATACACTCTCCCAAGACTAAACCAGGAAGAACTTGAATCTCTGAATAGACCAATAACAGGCTCTGAAATTGAGGCAATAATTAATAGCTTACCAACCAAAAAAAGTCCAGGACCAGATGGATTCACAGCCGAATTCTACCAGAGGTACAAGGAGGAGCTGTTACCATTCCTTCTGAAACTATTCCAATCAATAGAAAAAGAGGGAATCCTCCCTAACGCATTTTATGAGGCCAGCATCATCCTGATACCAAAGCCTGGCAGAGACACAACAAAAAAAGAGAATTTTAGACCAATATCCCTGATGAACATTGATGCAAAAATCCTCAATAAAATACTGGCAAACCAAATCCAGCAGCACATCAAAAAGCTTATCCACCATGATCAAGTGGGCTTCATCTCTGGGATGCAAGGCTGGTTCAACATACACAAATCGATAAACATAATCCAGCATATAAACAGAACCAATGACAAAAACCACATGATTATCTCAATAGATGCAGAAAAGGCCTTTGACAAAATTCAACAACCCTTCATGCTAAAAACTCTCAATAAATTAGGTATTGATGGGACGTATCTCAAAATAATAAGAGCTATCTATGACAAACCCACAGCCAATATCATACTGAATGGGCAAAAACTGGAAGCATTCCCTTTGAAAACTGGCATGAGACAGGGATGCCCTCTCTCACCACTCCTATTCAACATACTGTTGGAAGTTCTGGCCAGGGCAATCAGGCAGGAGAAGGAAATAAAGGGTATTCAATTAGGAAAAGAGGAAGTCAAATTGTCCCTGTTTGCAGATGACATGATTGTATATCTAGAAAACCCCATCATCTCCTTAAGCTGATAGGCAACTTCAGCAAAGTCTCAGGATAAAAAATCAACGTGCAAAAATCGCAAGCATTCTTATACACCAATAACAGACAAACAGCCAAATCATGAGTGAACTCCCATTCACAATTGCTTCAAGAGAATGAAATACCTAGGAATCCAACTTACAAGGGATGTGAAGGACCTCTTCAAGGAGAACTGCAAACCACTGCTCAATGAAATAAAGGAGGATACAAACAAATGGAAGAACATTCCATGCTCATAGGTAGGAAGACTCAATATCATGAAAATGGCCATACTGCCCAAGTTAATTTATAGATTCAATGCCATCCCCATCAAGCTACCAATGACTTTCTTCACAGAATTGGAAAAAACTACTTTAAAGTTCACACAGAACCAAAAAAGAGCCCACATTGCCAAGTCAATCCTAAGTCAAAAGAACAAAGCTGGAGGCATCACGCTACCTGACTTCAAACTATACTACAAGGCTACAGTAACCAAAACAGCATGGTACTTGTACCAAAACAGAGATATAGATCAATGGAACAGAACAGAGCCCTCAGAAATAATGCTGCATGTCTACAAGTATCTGATCTTTGACAAACCTGACAAAAACAAGAAATGGGGAAAGGATTCCCTATTTAACAAAGGGTGCTGGGATATCTGGCTAGCCATATGTAGAAAGCTGAAACTGGATCCCTTCCTTACACCTTATACAAAAATTAATTCAAGATGGATTAAAGACTGAAATTTTAGACCTAAAACCATAAAAACCCTAGAAGAAAACCTAGGCAATACCATTCAGGACATAGGCATGGGCAAGGACTTCATGTCTAAAACACCAAAAGCAATGGCAACAAAAGACAAAGTTGACAAATGGGATCTAATTAAACTAAAGAGCTTCTGCACAGTGAAAGAAACTACCATCAGAGTGAACAGGCAACTTACAGAATGGGAGAAAATTTTTGCAATCTACTTATCTGACAAAGGCTAATATCCAGAATCTACAATTAACTCAAACAAATTTACAAGAAAAAAACAAACAACCCCATCAAAAAGTGGGCAAAGGATATGAACAGACACTTCTCAAAATAAGACATTTATGCAGCCAAAAGACACGTGAAAAATTGCTCATCATCACTGGCCATCAGAGAAATGCAAATCAAAACCACAATGAGATACCATCTCACACCAGTTAGAATGGTGATTATTAAAAAGCCAGGAAACAACAGGTGCTGGAGAGGATGTGGAGAAATAGGAACACTTTTACACCGTTGGTGGGACTGTAAACTAGTTCAACCATTGTGGAAGTCAGTGTGGCGATTCCTCAGGGATCTAGAACTAGAATTACCATTTGACTCAGCCATCCCATTACTGGGTATATACCCAAAGGATTATAAATCATGCTGCTATAAAGACACATGCATATATATGTTTATAGCGGCACTATTCACAATAGCAAAGACTTGGAACCAAGCCAAATGTCCAACAATGATAGACTGGATTAAGAAAATGTGGTACATGTACACCATGGAATACTATGCAGCCATAAAAAGATGATGAGTTCATGTCCTTTGTAGGGACATGGATGAAACTGGAAACCATCATTCTCAGCAAACTATCGCAAGGACAAAAAACCGAACACCACATGTTCTCACTCATAGATGGGAATTGGACAATGAGAACACATGGACACAGGAAGGGGAACATCACACACCACGGCCTGTTGTGGGGTGGGGGGAGGGGGGAGGCATAGCATTAGGAGATATACCTAATCCTAAATGACAAGTTAATGGGTGCAATACACAAACATGGCACATGTATACATATGTAAAAAACCTGCACGTTGTGCACATGTACCCTAAAACTTAAAGTATAATAAAAAGAAGAAGTAGAATCTCATTGTGATTTTAATTGTTTACATTTATCTAATAACTAGTAACTTTGTGCACTTTGTCCTGTGCTTATTGAACATTGATATATTTTCTTTTGTGAAATATCAGTACAAGTCTTTTCCTCATTTTAAAAATTGGGCTATTTTATCTTTTTCATATGAACTTGTAAGAGTTATTTATGAAGTATAGATACAAGTCTTTCATCTGATATGCAAATTATGAGTATTTTGTCTGGACTGTGGCTTAGTCTATTCAAATTCTAATGATGTCTTTGAAGAAGAAAAGTTTCTAATTTTAATAAAGTCCCAGCTATGATTTATTTTTCTTTCATGATTAGTGATTTTTGTATCCATTTAAAAAATATGTTCCTACTTCAGGTTTAAGATGTTCTGTTATGTAATACAATCCATTTTTATTTCATTTTTCTGTATAATATGAGGTAGAGCTTTTTCACATAGAGAGTCAATTTTTCTATCATTATGTGTCGAAGGCAGTGTTTTTCACAATAAACTTATGTTGGCACTTTAATCAAACATCAATTTACTATATATTTTTGAGTCTACTTCTGGACTCTCTCTTCTTTGATCAACATGTCTGTCTTTATGCCCATACCACACTGTTTTCACTATGGTAGCTTTTATATTAAGTCTTAAGGTCAGGTTGTGTAAGTTCTCTGACTTTGTTCTTTTTCTTTAACCATGTCTTGGGTATTCCCAGGACTTTAATTTGCCATGCAGACTTTAGATTTCCATAGAAGCTTTAGAAGCAGATTCTGCTGCTGGGAGAATAAGTTACACTGACCTCAGGACAAAAGATGTACATGAACTAAATAAAGGACGACAAATGCAGACCACAGCAATAAAGTCTGTGGAATTAGTATGTGAGAAATTACACAATGGTCTAAAATATTAGTCTTGAAGGGATCTTAATGATGATTTAGTCATTTCACATGTGCAAACTGTTAAGACTGCTGGCTGTTTTTCACATGGCCACCAGCCCATTTCTTTTTCCTGAGTGTCTGCAGTCCACAGAGCTTCTTCTGGCTCTCTATGCTCCATCTGTTCTCGGCCCAGGAGTTCCCATGGGACCTCCCAAGGGTGACTCAGGTCTCATCTTCCGATAAGATAAAAGAAATAAGACAGATATTCGGGGTAGAGATGTAAGAGCATGGTGAAAGACAGACTGCTCCTGTTTAGATCCATATATAAAAGCTTTATTTTTTGAATCCCAAATTCCATCCCTTGGTCATCTGTACTGGTTCATTCAATAAATATTTCTGAGGCTGGGCATGGTGACTCAAGCCTGTAATCCCAGCACTTTGGGAGGTCAAGGTTGGTGGATCTCTTGAGCCCAGATGTTTGAGACCAGCTTTGGCAATATGGTGAAACCCCATCTCTACGAAAAATACAAAAATTAGCTGGGCATGGTGATGTGTGCATGTAGTCCCAGCTATTCTGGAGGCTGAGGTGGGAGGATCACCTGAGCCTGGGAGGTGGAGACTGCAGTGAGCCATGATCACACCACTGCACTCCATCCTGGGTGAAAGAGTGAGACCTTGCCTCAGAAATAATAATAATAATGATAATAAGTAAACATTTCTGAGCACCTACTTGGTGCTCTTCCAGGCACATGAGCTATATCAATAGACAAAACTCACAAAAATAATATTGCCTTCTGGAGGTCATATTCCAATGGATAAAACAGAAAATAATAAACATGATGCATAAGTAGAATGTTAGAAGTGATGAATGCCTTAGAAAAAGATTGGAGCAGGTTAAGGAGATGGGGATTGGGAGAGGAGACATTGCAATTCAAAATTGATTGGTCAGGAACTCAAACAAATACTTGGACACCGATAGCAGCATTATTCAAAATAGTCAATAGCTAGAAGCAACCCAGATGCCCATTAAGGGATGAATGGATAAACAAAGTGTGGTAGGCACACACAGTGGAATATTATTCAGTCATTAGAAACAATAAAGTACAGACCCATGCTACAATATGAACAAAACTTGGAAAGATTATGCTAAGTGAAATAAGGCAGTCACAAAGGGCACTTATTGTGTGACTCCATTTATAGGAAATATTCAGAATAGATAAACCCATAGAATCAGAAAGCAGATTGGTGGTGGCTATGGGTTTGTGGTGGAAGAGGAAGAATGGGGACTTCATGTTAATGGGTATGGGGTTATACTCGGGGATGGTGAAAATGTTTTGAAACTAGATAGAGTTAGTGGTTGTACCACATTGTGAATGTACCAAATGTCACTAAATTGTGCACTTCGAAATAGTTAATTTTATGTTATGTAAATTTCAGCGCAATTTTTAAAAATCAGAAGCAAAAAAAGAACAGAAAATTGAGTAGTTAGGCTAAGTCTCACAGAGAATGTACAGTTTGAGTGCTCACTTGGAGGAGGTAAGTTAGCTCTTGGAGGAGGTGGGTAACAGGAAGAAGCTGTCCAGGCAGAAGGAACAATGTCTGCCTAGTGCCTTCAAGGAACAGCAATGAGGATACGGGGTTGGAGGGGAGGGGTCAGAGAGGTGATTGGTGGTGTTCCATCGTGTGGTACCTCCCAGCTTCTGTAAAGACGTTGGCTTTTCCTCTGGGTGAGGTGGAAGACTTTGGAGGCCCCCTTGATTTGACCTAGGTTCTAACAGAATCTCCAGAGTGTCTGTTTTAGGAATATACTTAAGAGGGTACAAGTGGAAGCAGGGATAGCAATTTAGAAGCAGTTATTAAAATCCAAGTGAGAGACCATGGTGGCTTGGACAAGGATGGTGGCATTGAGAATGGAGAGATGCAATTGCAGGTAGGATGTCCTTTGAAGATGAAACCATAAGTTGTCCTGATGGATTGCATGTTCAATATGTGAGGAAGAGAAGAGTCAATAATAAATGGAGTCTTGGTCTGAGCCAACATTCAGCATGGAGTTGTCATCATTACAATTAGAAGACAATGGGAGATGCTGAATTTTCTTTGGGGCAAGGGAGGCAAGGAGGCTGGAGGAGATCAGAAGTTCTGTTCTGGAGACATGAAGCTTTTGTGAATTCCACTTGTTCCTTGAATATATGATGGTTTCTTCTGTTTTTGTTTGTTTGTTTTTTTAAATTTTAGATTCTAAGGTACATGTACTTGTTTGTTACAAAGGTATATTGCATTACTGGTGGGGACTGGTCTTACCCAAATTGTGAATATTGTACCCAGTAGGTAATTTTTCATTCATCACCCCCTACCCTCCCTACTTTTGGAGTCCCCAGTGTCTATTATTTCCATCTTTATGTCCATGAGTACCCATGGTTTAGCTCCCACATATGAGTAAGAACATGTGGTATTTGGTTTTCTGTTTCTTAACTGGTTCACTTAAGATAATGGTCTCCAGCTCCATCCATGTAGCAAAGGACATAATCTCATTCTTTTTATGGCTGAATAGTAATCCGTGGTGCATAGGTACAACATTTTCTTTATCTAGTCAACCGTTGATGGACACTTGAGTTGGTTCCATGACTTTCCTATTGTGAACCGTGCTGCAGTGAACATACTAGTAGAGGTGGAGAGGTGTCTTTTTTATACACTAATTTCTTTTCCTTAGAAAAGTAGTGAGATTTCTGGGTTGAATGGTAGTTTTACTTTTGGTTCATTGAGAAATCTTCATACTGTTTTCCTTAGAGATTGAACTAATTGACATTCCCAGCAACAATGTATAAGCATTCCCTTTTCTCCATATCCATGCCAACATCTGCTGTTTTTTGAGTTTTTGATAATAGCCATTCAGACGGGTCTTCTGGTTTTTGGAGGGGAGGATTGGGTGAAGCAAGAAGGAGTTTGGAGGGAAGGAGTGGAGGCTTGAGTGGGCCTAGAGTTTGGAGTATGGGCAAGAAGGATCCCAGAGACAAGCACTTTGCCCACAGCTACACAGCTAATGGAGCTGGGGGGCCCAGCATATTCTCCAGAGGCCCAGGCTAGGCCGTCTAGGGGCATGCTTGTTCTGCCCCATCCACTGCAGGTCCTGAAAACATTTTCATCAATAAAAAAAAATAAAAAAACAGAATAAAAATGATACCCAGATGTCCTCTAGTGAAATGAGGGGAAAAAAAACATCCATCCCCAGCTTATTGTGAGAGTCACTGAATGAGAGCCTGACTCACTGAAATTCATATAAGATTAATGTAACCAAGTTCCCTGTCTTTTGACACTGGTTTACAGTAAGAGCAGGCCACACATGGCCAGCTCTGGAGTGTGTTAGGACATTTACATTTTACATTTCAGTGTGATATCTGCTAAGTCAAATGAAGAAGTCTTGAAAGATACCTTCTAAGTTCGGAAGTATTTGAGTGTCACATTCCATATGCCAGCAGTTAGTTGTTGCCCTCAAAACATAAGGTTTTGTTTGTTCTTTTGTTTTTTGTTTTTTTAATGGTTATGTAAGTGAAGTAGATTATAAATAGGCACATACAGGATTTCAAAACTGTAACAAAATTAAGAAAAAGCTGGTTCAATGAGCTTAGATTCTATGAGATTAATCTGAAAAGGGAGAGTAGTTATGAGAAGTCTTAAAAAAGTGGGTGTTTGCCAGAGAAACAAGCGGACACTGGAAGATTTCTGATTAAGTTGGCAGAAATTTATGGGTGCTTAAAATGCCTTGCTTTATTCATGTATTAGAAGCCCTTGCCTTTTTGCAGTTTGTCTTAAGTTGCTATAAACTACTCTCTGTTATGTTGAATGGTGCCTGAATAGTGAGAAGCCAAAATAATTTAGTTCTTTTCAAAGAAGAAATTATAGACTAGCTTATTTTAATAACCCAGTCCAAATTATAAAAAGAAAAGCTTTACCAGCCTAATCTCTGGTATAGAGAATGTTCTCTTTTTTTAGTTGACATTGGGGGGAGAAAAGCTTGACTTTGAAGTTCAGCAAGTCTGGTTTCAACCCCAGCCACAACTGGGTGAACTTTGTCAAATTACTTAAACAGTCTTATCCTTGGGTTTTTATTTGTAACTATAAAATTTGAGTGATGTTAATGATAAGTACCACAGAGTATTGTACTTTGAATGAAAGGTCTTAATTGTCAAATGAACAACTGAATTATTTTATAGGAAGAGTTCAACTTTAATAAATACTCCTGCAGAATTTCATCATTATGATGTTAAAATTGATGGAAGCTTTATTTTTTAAACTGAGAAACTAATGCTTACGTGGCCTAGTTTAAGAATGAATGCTCCAACTTAATACATGTTTTAAAAAGATGTTTTGGGATACCAAATGTAAAAGAATTCCGAGTTTGTGTTATTTTATTGAACAAACCTATTCAGCACTTGGGGAATCGCAGGCAGCATTGCAGACTCGCTGGCTCCTGGCTGTGATCTCACACCCAAACTGCAATAATATCCTGATAAAACGGACTTCCACAAGTAGGTCAAGAATAATAATGTGCAGACCTAATTCCTCTAATTTACGGCGAACATCTCATGGTCAATCTCCCCGCGGTCAAAGGACTGTGTATCTCTTCCTCTCAGAGCCACTCCACAGGCTGAAAGGCTGACTAAACCCCTGACAGATAAGAGATTCAAGAGTAGTCCCAGCCCCCATGGGGAGCAAAGACGCTGGCTCAAAAAACGTACTGATAACTCTCCCTTTTGCAGCTACTCCTTTCTGAACCTTCCACAAGCAGTGGCAGTTGGATTCTGTGATTAGTCTAGTCTTCAGAGCCAGCCTTCTTGAGTTCAAATTCTGACTTCACCCCTTAATGTGAAGTGACATGGGCAAGTTGCTTAATCTCTCTGTGCCTCAGTGTCCTTGTCTGTAAAATGGGCATCATAATAATAGCGCCTGCCACATTGGGTGAGTGTGAGAATGAAGGAATTAATACATGTAAATCACTTAGACTGTGTCTGGCATAGAGGACATTCTAAAGAAAAGTTAGCTATTATCATTATATTATTATATGGGTCTGGAATTAGTTCCTGAATCCTTCTGAGATGTGATGACTTATAAACGTAGGTTGAGTTTACTCATGATAGGGTCATCGCAACTATGCATAGCTAAAATCAAATTTTGCTTTTCAAGTTTGTTTTACCTGGAGCCCTAGAGTTCAGGGTTATGGTTTTCTTTGTCACTCCCCTTGAGGGAAGCTTCTTAGTCACACTCTCCTTCTCTTTCTCTGCACTCTATGCACTCTAGAAAAGCTCCTTTTTTTTTTTCTTCATCCAGGCAGAGAGGCCTACTGGGACTTAAATCCAAGGAGCTGAAATCTGTTTTGGGATGGGGTGGAGTCACATTCTGGAACCTAGACAGAGAATTTCTAAGTTCCAGAAAGTGCTGCTTACTTCGCATTTCCTCTCCCCCACCTTTGCTTTTGAAACTCCTGGCACCAATGCTGCCAAGGCTGGCGGAGCTTTCCTGAGTGGTGTCTGCCAAATGAGGAGTCAAGGAATATCTGGAAAGGCAGCCTCCAGGTCCCCGATGTCAAGACCATTTAGAACTGAAAGTGTCCCAATATCGGGGTACAGGCAATAAGCATTAGTTATTAATCAGCCTGAGAAGTTGATTCTAAAATAGGAGGAAATGATTCAATTATTTCCTCTCAAGGGATTACTCAATGTTGTTTTTATGTTTAAATATTTATTTGTCAACATCAAGAATTCTTAGTACATGATGCACCAGCATTTTTGAACAAGTCATAGATTTGGCCACAAATCAAATTTCAGGATGGGAGGAGTGTCTCCCCTTTAAAATAGAAGAGAGTGAGTAGTCTATGAGGAGGGACCTACAAAGACTGGAAACTATTCTTAGCTCCGTCACTGACTCCAAGTTCATCCCCTCTGTCTTTCAGTTTGGGTAAGCATCAATTACTTATCTAAAATTTGTAATAAGAAAAGTCTTCATAATTCATGATTGTGTTTATCTTTATGTTAGTAAATTTCTATGTTGGTTCTATTCTTCCCCTTATATTTTAAGAAAAGAAGTAAGAAAGTAAATGATTATTTTTCTGAAAGAAAAAATTAATGTATTTATTATTATTCATAGACCTTCAACTACTCTTAGAAAGCCTTTGGTGACTCCTGGGAACAAGCTGAGTCAGGAACAAAAGTTTGAGGGTTTGGGGTTGAGAATAGGACAATTACTTGGCTAATGCTTTAGTCTAGTTCTGATTTTGCTACTCCTTAGTTGCTTTGTGATGACTACTTGCACATGTGTCTGTTTGTGAGTTATTTTTGTGAGCATGCTGCTACCAGCCTGTGTGGATGTCTGTGGTTTCACATGATACATTTTATTTTCTAAAGTCTACTGAATTTTATGGTTTTTTTTTCAAAAATAGAAACTCATATTCTTTCCTTCTTAATTTAGTTTCTTTCAGGACATTCTCATGAGACTGGTGAAATATAACTGCGAAGTAGCATGATAACTGTGAAATAGCATGATCATTGTGAAAGCTATATGACCCAAAACTTCCATAGGAATAAGTGCAATGCTTGCATATCTGAAACCTGCTGTTACATCTCTTTGCACTTAATAAATATGTGTTGACTGATTCATTCTCCTGGGTGGTGCTGAGAAAGTAAAAATCATGGCTGATAAAAATTCTGTTTATGGTTTTGTCTA